>NC_000015.10:32670813-32973843 GCF_000001405.40 Homo sapiens | reverse complement strand
AAAATAGTGTTTAAAGATTAGCTTTCCCAAAACTTCCATGCATGGTATGCATGAACTTGAGATGCTTCATTTGTAATAGAGTCAGACACAATTTGAAATAATTGGTATGATATGGACAGACAGAGAATGAATGAGGTGCTTATTACTTTAATCACTTTGAGTTGCTCTGCCACACTGAGGTCATGAACACAACCAAGACAAAATTGTAATGATCAAGAGAGATTATGAAACAGGAAAGGTCAAAGACAAGTGTTTTTTTGGGGGGGGTGAGGGGCAGAGAGAGGCAATTAAATTTTAGTGATCCAGAAAGATTTCTTACTATCATTGCAGCATATTGGTGTATGGTACATGGAAATTCATTGTTTTCCTTCTTATTTGGTCATTCTCCATATCAGTGAATACAGTATGTGAGGAACCCATTCATGGAGTCTGTGCCTGGTAATCTGCCCCCTACCTTGAGTGTTTGCAACAGAGGAAGGGTATTGGAAGAGGACAGTATTTGCAAAGACCCAGATGCATGAAAGAGCATGGACCTGTTTAGGAAACTGGAATCCAGGGCATATCTGGGGAAGGGACAAAAGCCAATAGTGGAGAAGTTGGTCAGAAAACAGATCAGAAGAGCTGTTGATGTGTGTGTGCTAAAAAGTTCATGTTAGTCTGCAAGTAAAGCTAATTATTGAAGAGATTTTAAGGACTAGGGATCTGCATTTATTTATTTATTTTTTCAAAATCTTCTTGGAACCAAAGTGGTTGAATTTGAGTCAAGAAAATGCTCATTGCCTTTGTCCAGTGAAAGATTGAGGTGGTGGGGGTGACAAGAGAAATCAATAACACTTGACAAATAGCATGTTGAGGATGAGAGAGAGCAAGAAATTCAGCATGACATCAGGTTTCTGGATGTGCTGACTGGAGGCGATGAGGCATTAATAGTGAGGAGGAATTTCAGAGGAGGAACACATTGGGGTTCGGCAACAATGAGTTCACTTTCCAACCTGTTGGATCTGAGGCAGCTGGTTAAATATTTAAGTAGATTAATCCAGAGGATACTTGGAAATATGATCTCAAGGTACCAAGTTTGAAGGTACTCACCTGGTGTCATTTATATGAGTATATGAGATCATCTAGAAAGATTGTATAGTGTGATAAGGAAAAAAATGGCAAGGAAGATGCCAAGAGAACCACACTTAAGGATGAATGAGTCTACAGATTGACTAGGGACAGCAAAGAAGTAGGAGGAGAACAAAAGGAGAGAGGTGGAATCGAGTTCAGGGAAGCAGAATTTCAATGCTTGTGCAACAGTCAACTCTTAACAAATGTGGCAGAGAGGTCAAAATCACTGAAAAGTGCTGATTGAATGCAACAGTCAAATCATGGAGTTTCAATAGGATGGGGGAGATGAAAGCCAGTAATTGGGTGAAAGTGAATGAATGACAAAAATAAAGCATGGGTCAAGTGCTTTTTTCAAAAAAGTTCTGCTGCGAAGGAAAAGAGGTAGGGTTGGAAAGTGCCATAGCTAAAGGAATTTAAGAAGGATTTTGGTATGTCTATTTTTGCTTTAGAAGCATAGAGCATGTAGACAGTAGAGGGCATGGGGCTGGGAAGCGTACCCAGAGCCAAGAGCAAGCTAATGGGGCCACTGGGCTCTGATCTGCCAGGCATTAGAGAGAGAATAATAATGACGGCAAACTGAAATAGCACTTACTATGCTGCAAACACTCTTCTGTATTTTCTTTTACGTATATTAATTTGCCTCCCTGGCATATCCGCTCTGTCAGGTACATTTTATTATCCCCATTTAGCTTACAAAAAAAACTGAGGTACAGAGAGGTGAACTTAACTGCCCGATTTGTGTTCTGCCCACTACACTAAACAAATGCCTTACCTCAGAGCTGCTAAAATGATATATAGCTTTACATGTCAGCTTCAACAGATTTAGAAGATCGTTGACAGAGTGGTAGAAAGAAGAGGAGGTGGGGCCAGGGCTTTTGCTCTAGATACAAGATTTCATCTTGGGGAGTTTATAATCTGATAGGGGAGGCAGAAACTCAATAAGTTCACCAAAAATATTTCCCTTATTAGGGAAAGTTTCACCATGCAGTATGTCTTTGAAACTCTTTCATATCATTAAGAAGTTGAGGATTGAGTAAAATTACTGCTTCTTGAATATTTGATTCTTAATCTTGAAAGAAGGTTTAGTTGAGAATAACAGCTGAGAGTTAGTTTGTTGTGACAGAACCGAACTAGTCATTAGAATGAAATTAAAATGTGGGTAATTCAGGGTGGTAATCAGGGCTAAGATGTGGGTGGAAGTGGACAGGAAAGAGAGAGAGAAATGAAGATGGAAATGATACGATGTTGAAACAAAGATTATCTCGATCTCACAGTTGAGTGAAGCTCGAAATTACTTAGGTAATCGGTAGTAGAACTCACAAAAGGCTAGGTAAACTTTGGTATTTGCAGTACTTTGCTTATCCTGATTTTGAGCTTTTCCTAGGTTTATGCCTGTCCCTCTACAAAGGTAGCATTGTCTGAAAATTTTAAAAAATAATTAGGAATTTGTTAGTCTCTTGCTCTGCTATTAGCATTAGCATTAGCAACAGAAACTAACAGTAAGATTTATCCAAACGTTTCTGTGTTCCAGGCATAATGCCTACTATTTTATATGAAGTATCTCATTTTACTTTTATAAAAGTCCTAGAGATGGCTATTATTTATACTTTACACTTGAAGATACTCAGGCTTAGGGACACAGCGTTCCCTGTCTGAGGTCATAGAACTCGCAAGTGCCTAAGCCAAGACGTGAACCAGGTGGTGTGAGTCCAAACTCGGCACTCAGCGCTCTGCACTGCACGAGAAATAGACGGTGTCCAGAGCTAGCCCCTTCCCTCAGAGTTGGCTCAGACCGTGTCCACATATGAGAAGATGAGCCTTCGAAAAACTTCGCCTTTCAGTTCTCCTGACTATAGCCCTTTAGGGGTTTGCTCTTGAGAATGAATATTAGAGAAAAGTTGAACCTAGTAAAAAATAGTTAAAAGTTATCTTTTTTTTTTTTAACACCAGACAAATGGTAGATCTCTTCATAATTCAATCTGCTGAACTATGCAAACATCATAGTATAAAAGTTATCTCAATGAAGGTAGATGAGCTTCCTGTGTGTATACCTTTCCCTCCAAGGCTGTTAAAATATTTCTTTACTTTTTCAATGCAAAAGGGAGCTGTACTTGTGCATGCTTTAGGTGTTCTAGATATTTGTGCTGAAATTATAGTGAAGAGAGTCTTGATAAGGGAGGCTCTTGGGACAGTGACAATGACAGTGAATATAACTATCCCAGTGATTTTTATCCATCCATTGCTGCTGAGGTATGTACTTCCTGGGCTACCTGCTGGGATACAGATAGAAAGACAATACTGTCACCAGTTTCATCTTGTGGAGTTTATAATCTCATGGGGGAGGCAGAAATTAAATAAATTGACAAAAAATATTTAATTACTGTTAAACTGGATTTTGAAAACTCTAATAAAATTCTAAATTTGCTTTCCAATTAACTGTAATAGGATGAATAGCTTTGAATGCTGAGGAACGGGCTGGTTAATGACTGCGAGTACACTAGCTCTGTGCTAATAAGTGTACAATTACAGACTCAGTGCATTAAAATAACTGAGGCAATAAGCATTAAAAAGGCTACTACTGTCTTATATACTTTAAAGTGCTGTGTAAATAGAAGAAAATGGCATACTATAATATCTTCATTATTTATGTTCTCTGTTCCTTATTTATTGCTATATTATGAAACAGACACAAATACTGATCTTGGGCTGCTTTTATAAGGAAACTTTAAAAAAGTAAGTTATCGTGGCTTCTTCCCTTGCTTTCTGTGTCTGCTGTATTGTCCTGGAAACTCAGTGAAAGAGACATTCTGGAAGACTGGGAGAACAGCTCTAAGCCAGAGGAGCTCTAAACCTATTTTTTTCTTTATAGTTTTCTTTTTTGAAACCAACCCGAAAAGTTGTAAAACAGATAGATATTCAAGCATGTCCAAAACTTTATTAAAAGTTTTGTGTTTGATATGCAAATTGGGTAAGAGTTCTTAAGTAATAGATGTACTTTAAGCCTTAATCCATGAAAATTATCTCCCGTGAGCTCAGGCTGGTTGAAATTGTGCTTTGACTCCTGCCTGTTTAGGTCCCTGGAAAATTCAGAGTGCAATTTACACCTTTATGGATTCTTAAAAGAATGTCTCTGTATTTCCCTGCATTTATGTGGGCCATGCTACAGTGGCACCATGATGGTATTATTGAGTTTCTAAATTCTTAAGTTTGTTCTTAATAAACTCATTACTTTCTTTCCCTCTGAATTTTCCTATAGGCACAGTTTGAACTTCGGGCATTTCATATCCGGGGCGAGCATGCAATGATAACAGCGAGACTAGAAGAAACCATTGAAAATCTGAAACACGAGCTAGAACACAGATGGCGAGGGGGTTGTGAAGAGAGGAAAGATGTGTGCATTTCCACCGATGATGACTGCCCTCCAAAGACCTTCAGAAATGTGTGCGTCCAGACAGACAGAGAGACCTTCCTCAAGCCCTGTGAAAGTGAAAGCAAGACAACCAGAAGTAATCAATTAGTACCCAAAAAGCTGAATATCTCCTCTTTAAGCCAGCTCTCACCCCCAAATGACCACAAAGACATCCATGCAGCACTCCAGCCAATGGAGGGCATGGCATCAAATCAGCAGAAGGCATTGCCTCCGCCTCCCGCATCCATCCCTCCCCCTCCGCCCCTCCCCTCAGGACTTGGATCTTTGTCTCCCGCACCTCCAATGCCACCTGTGAGTGCTGGGCCACCGCTACCACCTCCGCCTCCTCCACCGCCACCTCTACCTCCACCTTCAAGTGCTGGACCTCCACCACCCCCACCCCCACCCCCACTTCCTAACTCCCCTGCCCCACCCAACCCTGGAGGGCCTCCTCCTGCTCCACCACCCCCAGGACTTGCACCCCCACCTCCCCCTGGACTCTTCTTTGGACTTGGCTCTTCTTCCAGTCAATGTCCTCGAAAACCAGCCATCGAGCCCAGTTGTCCCATGAAGCCTTTATATTGGACTAGGATACAAATAAGTGATAGGAGGTAAGTTCTCCCCTATCCCATTCTCAGCATGTGAATTCCTAGGATTTGGCCCAAGTGATATTTTATTCTTACCGGGTCAATATCTCCATAGTGTAGCACCCATTATCAAGTGTGATACAGTGAATGCTTGGATAAACAATGTTGGGATGTTTGGGGAGATTGTCTGTCTCCATCAGGGCCTCTCTGTATTCTCTGAAGATGCTGGGAGAAACCATGTGTTTCAGTGTCAGATTTTTTTCCAAGGCAAATGTTCCATTTTACAGACTAGACAAGAGTCCGGATCTAAGCCAAAGCTTTCCCCAACATCACTACAATTGATTAGTAATCATAAAGAATTGAACCTGATTTCCATACTGTAGGTTCACTGAGGATTTTTAGAATTCTTTTTACTGTCTTGTTTTTAAATACTATAATCAACCCTATAATCTAGATATTTAACAGAAATGGGTGTTCTTCAGTTTTTATTAAAAGAATGAGACATGGCTAAGTTATTAGTTCTTTAGATCAGAGGAGAGTCTTAAAATACAAACTCTCTCTGCTTGAACTCTGTTTCTTTTAACTGCTAAGTACTCTCACATCTTCCTTTATGTCTTGATGCCCTTCAGAGAAAGTGTCAGTATGTGGATAGCTGAAAGCATCTTCCATTTGTATAGATTGTTAAGCTGGGTTTGTAAAGCAGCAAGATATAGTTGCTTGGAAACATCCATTCAAACAGATTTGAGTGTGATTTGTTCTGCCTTATTTCTGAGCCTGGAAGGAGGACAGTGAAAGAGATCTTAAGTTGTCTCTTGACCACTTTCTCCTTTAAAGTTTGTTTGTAAAGGACAGCAAATATAGGACACATTTTACAGCTTTTCCCAAGTCATGTGGTAATGCATTCTTCAATTTATATAACACTTTGCTTAGGCAAGGCAGGATATGAAACAAAATAACACACAACTCACAATGATAAAACAACCAGAAATCCCTGTGGAGGAGTGGGGAATACCCTAAAACTAAGCATATGTGCTTCATATTTTCCCCTTTCCTCTCACCAAAAAATAAGGGCCAAGAGTTTGTTTTTGGAACATCCTGATACTTCTTTTTTACAAAATTCAATTATACTTTGTAATTTCCCAAATGAATGGTTCATAAAAAAGTGAGATGATCCTGTAATAGCTTCTGCCATTAACTAAAGTACTAGTATTCCCTTTTTCCCAATAAAGACTCAGACATTTCCTAAAAAATCATTTCCCAGAATATTTATTTTGAGTCATGTTTCCGTATTAGTGTTCTCAAATTAGTGCACAGCCATTCCAGGGCAATAGCTCCCACCTGTAAGCCCTGGACGAGTGTGTCCGACAGCACGGGGAGCTGTTCCACACCTGTGTCCCACTAGCCTGCCTTCACTTCCTTCCCTGAGAGACTTCATGAGCAACAGGTAACTGTGGACCACAGCAGCCATCAAAGAGTCCCACTGGGAGATGTGGGCCCTTCACCCACGACCACGGGAAAGCTGGAGACAATCATTGTCTACATTGTTTCCTCCTCATTTAGTTGGCCGTTTTGAGAAGAAAAGCAATTGAATACTGAAGGTCTCACTGGTTTCATCATAAATCTAGGGCTTTACTTTTGAGCAAAATGAAAAGTAGATGAATAGGACATCAAGAGAGCCCTGCTTGGTGCGCATTTGAACCTGAAACATAACACGGGGGGCTGCCCCTCTATGATGTGTTAAGACTGCAACACGGGCACTTCCTGGTGGTACCACATATTCAAGTTCTTTTATTATGGGTCCCTCCAACTTTTTGTACCTATTAGCACTACTGCTTTTAAATGAAAATGACTCAAAGAGCCTGTGGAGTATTTGCTTAGGAGCAAAAGTGCAATTATTTGGGATACCTTCTCATAAAGGAGGCAAAATCATATTTTAATATTTTGTGCAACTAGAGGATTAAGTAGTTTATATAATGATTGCATCATAAATGTTGGTCTTGCTCTTCTGGGAAGCCAGAAACAAAATGTGAATTTTCAGCATTATGTGTACACTGCCTCTCATCTACCTAAATTGCTTTTGACTCCTGGTATGAACTGATTTTTTTTCTTTTGACGTTTTGCCTTCTTGGGTGTCTCTTTCGTGATTTCTAGAATAAGCAAGAGACACTTAAGGAAAAATAAATCCTCATCTAACTACCTTTTCAGCTTCTTAGTAAGTTTCTCATTTTCCTCCTCCTCTTTCTCTCTCTCTCCCCCTGCCTTCCTTTTGAGCTAGAATTGTATGTTCAGTGGTCAGTTGACCACCATGGCAGGTCATTCGTTGGGAAGCACGTCCTTATTATTGCCCTACCAAATGCTGGCTGTCCCAAAATCACTGAGAGGCAGTGTTCCAAAATTCTTTCATTCAGTATTGGAAATACCTTTCCCATAGAAATAGTGTTGTAAATGGTGATCAGGTGCTTAAACTGATCACGGTTGACTCCCAAAGCCAATTTACTCCAGAATATAAGTGAATTATAATACTAGTTACACTGGCCTGACCTCAGAGTCCGTGGGGCTAGAGCCAAGCAGGTGCAGGAAGTGGGGATGGGGCTGAGCAGTTGGCCTGACACTCTGCATCACTTCACTCTAGACGTCACCCCTTAGCTGCCCAGAACCTTCCCAAGGCCCAGACCAGTGGCCCTTAACATGCCGCATGCTCACTCCAGAATTCCCAGCTGACTTCCTTCTTCAAGATCCTACTTCTCCCCCGTCTCCCCCAGCACCACAGAGATAAGCACTTAACATCCGTGGTGCTTATGCTTCAAGTTGAAGTTAAGTGAGTAGCAGAGGGGTATGGCTGAGAGAGGAACACATACATGGATGTACTTCACTGGAAATGTTCTAGCCCTTGGGTTGGGTAATGGTTTCCCAGGTGTTCATTCTATTGTTATACTTTATAACTTCCATATGTCATACTATTACATGGTTCAACTATTGGCGAAATCATAATTTAAAAAATAAAAAGTAGAGGAGAGAAGAGGTGAATGTGGCCAAAACCAAAATGTCATATATCATGGGAAAGGCAGATCTATTGCAAAGTGTGAACACGCAGACCTGAGGAGCCAGGGCTGCCAACTGTTTTAAATACCAAAATCACCTGTAGTATTACAAAATTCTGTGGACCATTCCATGTAATAATAGTTATCTTTTTAGTTTTCATTGAGAAAATAGGTATGGAAATAAAGCTATATACTTTTAGATGTTATGGATTGTAACATATACCTATGTTTGATAAACAATAAGTATATAGATGAAATTTGTGGGCATTGATAGTATTTATTATTATTATTATTTTTGAGATGGACTCTTGTTCTGTTACCCAGGCTGGAGTGCAGTGGCACAATCTCAGTTCATCGCAACCTCTGCCTCCCGGGTTCAAGCAATTCTCCTGCCTCAGCCTCCCAAGTAGCTAGGATTACAGGCACCCACCACCACGCCCAGCTAATTTTTTGTATTTTTTAGTAGAGATGGGGTTTCACCATGTTGGCCAGGCTGGTCTTGAACTCCTGACCCCAAGTGATCTGCCCACCTCAGCCTCCCAAAGTGCTTGGATTACAGGTGTGAGCTACCATGCCTGACCAGTAAACATTAATAGTGTTTGAAATTAAGATAAGAAAGTAAACATTTGGGAGATGTGTTCTGACTGAGGGAACCCTGAGGAGTGACCACTGGAGTCAGCTCACGGAGGCTGTTCTGTTACGCCTGATTCTCAAGAGCTTTTCTTCCCTTCAAAACTAGGGTGCCCCTGTTTCTGGAAGATGAAACAGCCCAGTTTCCCTATGGCTACTTTAGATGATATCCCATGAGGTGCAATGGAGGAGGTTTTTGGTTGGTTTTTGTTGTTAGTATTGTTTAGGGGACTGAGATACTATGAATCATGTATTTTAAAATAGGCACAGCCTGTTTACATATTAAGGACGCTGCACTGAGTTTACCTGCATGAATCCTAAAAACTGTATTTAAAAGTAGTTGAAAAAGTCCAAAGAGGAGGCAGGTCTTTACTTCGGTACTCCATTTTCAGTCTCCTTCAGAATTAGCCTGTCACAGTCTCAAATTGGTTATCTTCTCAGCCTTTATATGATGCCCATTTTTACACATCATGGAAATGCCACAGGCTGAGGGAGGAGCAGCTTGGGTGCCCCCAGGAATCCGAATCCCAGGATTTCTAGTCCTAAGGAGTTTCTGTAGAGCTCTATCTTTGATCGTAGCTAATGACAATTACTTTTTTGGAAATACGTCTGTGTGTGTTTTAATGTTCTATAGTATATTTTGACTTTAACAAATGCGTAACATAAAAAGCTTTTCTCCAAGCATTATTAGAGTTTTATGTGTTTTTTTAGAAAAATGAAATTAAAAAATGGATTAGAGAAAGATTTCATTGTATTACATTCCTTCCTGTTTTGGTTCTTATGGTTAACTTGTCATTTTCTCTTTTAAGCCAAAATGCTACACCAACCTTATGGGACTCCTTAGAAGAACCTGACATTCGGGACCCCAGTGAATTTGAGTATTTATTCTCCAAAGACACAACTCAACAGAAGAAAAAACCTCTGTCAGAGACTTATGAGAAGAAAAACAAGGTCAAAAAGGTACTGAGTGATTATGGCAAAGCTGTAATTATATATTATACAGGGAAATGGTATATATGTGTGTGTGTGTGTGTGTGTGTGTGTGTGTGTATCGTATATACACACACACACATACCTATACATATATGTGTGTGTATCATAGGAATTTATTACATATTCTGTGTGTGTGTGTGTGTGTGTGTGATTCATAGGAATTCATTACATGCTGTTGGTGCTTTCCCTGGTTTCATGAAATGTTTCAGAAGGTTTTGAGTGGCAGATGGCAAAGGGAGCCAATAGTTCATGAAATCTGTGCCTGCTATTTTGGCCATATCTTCTGAATTTTCAAAATTTAATCTGGACTTTTTCAGCCATTAATTCTGTTGAAATAAAAATAAAATTTAATTTGTAGTTAGTGAAAGTAGTCTACAGGTTATATGGAAAATAGGTTTTATTTATAAATTCATTCATTTAACAAGTATTTCCTAGGGGTTTACCATGCTAGGCATTTGTTCCAGGCCTGCAGTATCCAGTATGGTAACGTGGCTATTAAATAATGAAATTAAATAAAATAATTTAGTTCTTTAATTGGACTAACCACCTTCTTTTTTTTTTCTTCTTCTTATTTATTTATTATACTTTAAGTTTTAGGGTACATGTGCACAATGTGCAGGTTAGTTACATATGTATACATGTGCCATGCTGGTGCGCTGCACCCACTAACGCGTCATCTAGCATTAGGTATATCTCCCAGTGCTTTCCCTCCCCCCACCCCCCCGACCCCACAACAGTCCCCAGAGTGTGATGTTCCCCTTCCTGTGTCCACGTGTTCTCATTGTTCAGTATCCACCTATGAGTGAGAATATGCGGTGTTTGGTTTTTTGTTCTTGTGATAGTTTACTGAGAATGATGATTTCCAATTTCATCCATGTCCCTACAAAGGACGTGAACTCATCATTTTTTATGGCTGCATAGTATTCCATGGTGTATATGTGCCACATTTTCTTAATCCAGTCTATCATTGTTGGGCATTTGGGTTGGTTCCAAGTCTTTGCTATTGTGAATAATGCCACAATAAACATACGTGTGCATGTGTCTTTATAGCAGCATGATTTATAGTCCTTTGGGTATATACCCAGTAATGGGATGGCTGGGTCAAATGGTATTTCTAGTTCTAGATCCCTGAGGAATCGCCACACTGACTTCCACAATGGTTGAACTAGTTTACAGTCCCACCAACAGTGTAAAAGTGTTCCTATTTCTCCACATGCTCTCCAGCACCTGTTGTTTCCTGACTTTTTAATGATTGCCATTCTAACTGGTTTGAGATGGTATCTCATTGTGGTTTTGATTTGCATTTCTCTGATGGCCAGTGATGGTGAGCATTTTTTCATGTGTTTTTTGGCTGCATAAATGTCTTCTTTTGAGAAGTGTCTGTTCATGTCCTTCGCCCACTTTTTGATGGGGTTGTTTGTTTTTTTCTTGTAAATTTGTTTGAGTTTATTGTAGATTCTGGATATTAGCCCTTTGTCAGATGAGTAGGTTGCAAAAATTTTCTCCCATTTTGTAGGTTGCCTGTTCACTCTAATGGTAGTTTGTTTTGCTGTGCAGAAGCTCTTTAGTTTAATTAGATCCCATTTGTCAATTTTGTCTTTTGTTGCCATTGCTTTTGGTGTTTTAGACATGAAGTCGTTGCCCATGCCTATGTCCTGAATGGTAATGCCTAGGTTTTCTTCTAGGGTTTTTATGGTTTTAGGTCTAACGTTTAAGTCTTTAATCCATCTTGAATTGATCTTTGTATAAAGTGTAAGGAAGGGATCCAGTTTCAGCTTTCTACATATGGCTAGCCAGTTTTCGACTTTCCAATTTTGTTCTTATGCCTAGTGGCTGCTGTATTGGATAGCATAGATGTAAAACATTTCCATTGTATAAAAAGCTCTGTTGGACAGCACTGTCTTAAGCATTGGTATGTGTTGAGGGCAAAAAATAAAAGTAAAATAATAATAATAATAATAATAATAAATCCTTGCCCTGTGGAGCTTATATTAACAAACACTAAACATAAACCCTGTCAATCACATAGTAGTGCAGGGGAAGGAGGGTCGACTTTAGTAGGGTGGGGGTGAGGTCTGCAATTTTAAATGGGGTGTTCAGGGTAGACCTCATTATGACGGTGGCTTCTGAGTAGTGACTCAAGGACTCAAAAACTTGAGAGGCACCAGCTTTCTGTAAGAGAATGAGTTTAGGACTGTCAGGCAGTCAGAGACAACCATGAGGACGAATCACACCTCTGCCACACATTGACTGTGAGATCTGAGGCAACGGTACTAGGTCCTTTCACTCTCTGTGTCTGGGTCCCTGCACCATAGCCTGAGATGATATCTGCTCATAATGTTCTCTAAGTAATTATTCAATGGGGTAATCCATGTATCAGGCTCAGCATAGTGCCTGGCTCACTGTCAGTGCTCAACATATGACAGCTGCTCTTGTTTTTGCTACTGTTACTACTACGGCTACCATTTCCCTGTTTTAGTGGGTTTTTGTTTGGTTGGTTAGTTTTTCTTATTTTTAATAGTAGCAGAAATGGTGTTGAGGAAAAAGTATAGTACTCTGTGTTGCTATTGACTTGCTATGTGAGCTTGGGCTGGTTGTCTTCCTTGTCGTATTTTCCCTTCTCTATAAAAAAGGATTACAGGCCGGGTACGGTGGCTCATGCCTATAATCCTAGCACTTTGGGAGGCTGAGGTGGGTGAATCAGCTGAGGTCAGGAGTTCGACACCAGCCTGGCCAATTTCGGGAAACCCCGTCTCTACTAAAAACACAAATATTAGCCAGGTGTGGTGGCGGGCGCCTGTAATCTCAGCTACTCGGGAGGCTGAGGCAGGAGAATCGCTTTAACCCAGGAGGCAGAGGTTGCAGTGAGCTGAGATTGCCGCATTGCACCCCAGCCTGGGCAACAAGAGCAAAACTCCGTCTAAAAAAAAAAAAAAAGATGAACAATATCTGAATCTACCTGACCCACCAGTATGTTGTGAAATTCACATCTAAGCAGGTTTGAGGCAGTGTTTTGAAAAGTATGTAATATTGAATGATACCATCAACCCTGCCTTTTTTTTTTTTTTTTTTTTTTTTGAGACGGAGTCTCACTCTTGTCATCTAGGTGGGAGTGCAATGGTGTGATCTCGGCTCACTGCAACCTCTGCCTCTGGGGTTCAAGCAATTCTCCTGCTTCAGCCTCCCGAGTAGCTAGGATTACAGGCATGCACCACCATGCCCGGCTAATTTTGTATTTTTAGTAGAGACAGGTTTTCACCAAGTTGGCCAGGTTGGTCTCGAACTTCTGACCTCAGGTGATCTGCCCACCTCACCCTCCCAAAATGCTGGGATTACAGGCGTGAGCCACCGTGCCAGGCTACGTTTCCTTGTTAAATTACATCATGGGGTTCATCATCAGTTCATTTCTCAAGTAATGTAATGATTATGAAATTAGCTGCAAATTACAGGGGAAAAAAGGAAAATGTCTGAATTCAGTTTTCTGTTAATCAAATCAGATTTTCCCACTGACTTCAATTACGGATAAAAATCATGATCAAAATGTTTCTCAAGGTCACTGTAATTGTGTTGTCTTGAGAAAAATATCCAAAGAAGTATTAAAGGAAAATTTTAAAAGGCTATATTGCATGGAACAATTTGAATTTTTCTAATAAATTGGCTCTGTGACCCCACCCAAATATCATGTCAAATTGTACCCACGTGTCTAGGAGGGACCTGGTGGGAGGCGATTAAATCATGGGGGTGGATTTCCCTTTCTGTTCTCCTGATAGTGAGTGAGTTCTCACGAGATTTGGTTGTTCCATAAGTTTCTGGTGCCGCTCTCACCCCACCCTCTCTCTCCTGCTGCCATGTTGGTAGTATCTTTATAGCAGTGCGAAAATGGATTAATACAAATAGTAAGTTCCAGACAAATCCGGGCAAAAAAAGGTCAGCTGATTTACATAGAATGTATTCCCATGCAATTAGATTCATATGAGATGGAGGTAAGCCTGCTTTGTAGCCAGGCTGGCTTTTTAAATGCCATCTATAGAAGCAGAAGACTTGTTTCTACCTGAATGGCAAAAGGAAAATCTGTATATTCCAAAGCCAACTTCAGTTTGCCTCTTTCAGGAAGGCTTGCCTGAACTCACCAGAATCTCCTCTGAATGCTTTCTTATGCAGGATCGTATTAAATTTACTTTTGTTCTTTATTGCTTCTTAGATTGCTATTACTCTTTTTGTTTCTCTCCAGATGCTTGAAAACATGTTGTTTACTCATAGAACTATTCACTTCTGTTTTGGTGAATGAATATTTGTTTTTAAACATCAAAGCATTTGGTCATTTATTATTTCTTTTCTTATAATAGTTTGCCTGTTCAACAAAGGAGTTTAAGGCAGTTAGTACTTGATAACATTTATTTTGTTTCTCTGTCTGAGGGGGAAAATAACACTTCATTTAAACTCTTTAAGTTTTCTGAACAGGGTGGTTGCCATTGCCCCATGGAATCCGTGCACTTGTGTAGTGCTTGCTTTTCTCTGTAAGTGGAGGCAAAAAATTGGGTCTACTGAGCTTTGTGGTAATATGCAGCTTAGAGTTTTCAGTGAGCTTTGTGTCCTACCTTAGAGCTGAGGTTTTAAGTTTTAAAGAAAATAGCAAGCTGAATTGATGCCAGAAAACTCCAAACCTGCCTCCTATAATCTTTGCTCCATGCCTGTGGCCAGATTTCCAACATCAAGATGGATCCCTTGGTCTCTTCTGAGAGTCAGATGTTTGTTTTCTTTCCTCTTGAAAATGAAAGTGGTTTTAGAGGTGGTGAGCAGCTGAGGAGTTTCAGCATTGAAGGCCAACTCCTTCAGCTGGATCATGGAATGGTTCCCATATGAGAAGACCAGGAGGATACTTGCCAGATAGGTCTTTTTATAATGACTGAACAAGAGAAAGTGCTGGGTACATTACTGGATTTCAAAATCCAGAATTCTGAATCTTGGCTATAGGGCTTCAGCCAGCATTGAAACGTGAATATGAATGTCTTTTTTTTTTTTTTTTTTTTGAGACAGTGTTTCACTGTTGTCGCCCAGGCTGGAGTGCAATGGTGTGATCTCGGCTCACTGCAACCCCCACCACCCAGGTTCAAGCCGATTGTCCTGCCTCAGCCTCCCAAGTAGCTACGATTACAGGCACCCACCATCACGCCCAGCTAATTTTTATATTTTTAGTAGAGACGGGCTTTCACCACATTGTCCAGGCCAGTCTCAAACTCCTGACCTCAGGTGATCCACCTGCCTTGGCCTCCCAAAGTGCTGGGATTACAGGCGTGAGCCACTGCACCCAGCCATGAATATCCCTTAAATAGAGCTGGTCTTCATCCCTCAGCACATTTCACGTTTGTATTTCAGAAGTAATGGACAGAATGATCAAGAGTCTGTGGAACTCAGATACTAATTTCTAGCTTCAACTACTAAAATAGTATTTAAATTTCATATCACTGGCACTTGTTTAAGCATGTATGTATGTATGTATGTATGTATGTATGTATGTATGTATATCTTCTCAAACTAGGCAGGGATCCTGTTCTGTAATATCATGTAGTCTAGGAATTAGAAGAAATCTTACCCATCATCTTATTTCTCTCATATGGCACATAAGAAACTAAGACCGAGAAAGATAAAGTGACTTGTAGGGGTTTGTACACTTTTAACTGGGAAGACATTGATGATGATGAACACTTGTTCATCAGCATGTGTCTGCATTTCCCCTTTATTTAAATGGTAACTTGCCACCTTGGTGATAGTATCAACTTTTATTCGGGTGATTTATTTGAAGTTTATGAATGAGAGTAGCCATTATTAAAAACATCAACAAAATATAGCCACACTTCTGCATATCCAAAGTATTTCCTACATTGTGTAATTATCCATGGTTTTCTTCAGAGTCTTCCAATAGGAAGCCAAATCTTTGAGTAAAAAGATGTGCTTTCTATGTAACTCCAGCAAAAGGCATATATAGATTTGGAGCTGGTGTTTTTCTTTGACCTTATCAATTCCATTTAAAATATTAGCTATAATAAAATAAATTTATTACTAATTATTACAAATTTATATTGCATACTTAGATAGGTGCCATTCTCATTTGTGATACTAGACCACTCTGCCACGACAAACATGGCAGTAACCAAATTAAGAACCAGAGCTCAAGATACCAGCTGTCAATGGAACCACCACCACTTGCTACTATCTCTTATTTTTTTCTTTCGTAACATTCAGAAAAAGTCATTTAACCTTCTCACACTGATTTCTTCTCTACGAAATTGGGAATAACACCCCCTTAATATGGTTATTATAAGTATAATATGAAATTATAAGAGTACGTTAAGTATTCTTTGCATTAATCTCTTAGTTTATGAACTAATGTGAAAGCTTTGGAAAGAAATTCTTAAACATCTTTGATTCCCAAGGTTTTTAAGGTCTTAAAGCATTAATGTGTCAATTCCTAAAACTATTTGCAAATGGGAATCTCTAGATTATTCTTGTTTGTTGATATTCATGGAAGTATCCCACAACTTCCGTTAGTGATACATTCGGACATCTAGTAGTACATATCGTGTTTGTATAGTCTCTTTTCACTGAAAGATAAAGAGTTTCCCCTGTCAATATGTCATATTTACACTGTCTCTAAGTGACATTTGTTCCTGAGCAAGGTAGGTCAGCACCTTGACAAGGAGCCAGAAATCCACCTTCATTGTCTGTGATTCTTTCTCCTGGTTCCTGTAAAAAAAAAAAAAAAAAAAAAAAAAAAGAACTGCTCTGATAAACTTTCCAATTGTGTTTTAAACTTGCCCAACGACATTCTGAAAATCAGCATGATCTGCCAATATTCCTCCTTTTTTGAGATGCCATGATCTGACTAAATTATAAATCATCTCTGTTTGTTTCCTCTTCTGTAAGATATGTAAAAGGATTCCTCTCTCCCCGTCTCCCTCTCTGTCTCTGTCTTTTTAATAGATATTTCTTAAGAATTAATGAGATAATGGCTATTCCCCAAACACTTTGGGGGAAGGGGGTTGTGATGGTTCAGCAGATACTAGTCTGTTGAAATTTTGTGGTGCCAAAAGCCTTCAGCATTGATTGTAATTTGGTCACTTTGGCAAGGATCATAGCTGTAATTCTCAAATCCCAGACTTTATGTCTCAGTTTATTGGGGAGGGGAGAAGGGTGGAAGAAGAACATTGTTTGGAAGCCTGAACATAAATTTATAGGGTTTTCATAACCTATTGCTTTCCAAGTTTATATTATTTCAGCTTTGGTGTACAAAGATAATTTCTCTGGGCTCCCTCGGTGTAAGGAATGTGCGTTAGTTTTTTTATATGAGGGTGGTGATAGGTTTGTCTACCCCTTTACGTTTTTCACGTGTTGACAACTGAGCAATGGGGTTAGGGATTATCATCTATAGAAGTGAGTGAAATAACTTGCCCATGTGTTGATTGTACTAATATATGACCTGGGGGCCTAAACTAGCGCTCTGTCCCGATTTCTTGAGTGATATCTGGAATGATCAGGGCTTTCCTGTTCTTCAGTTTAAGGACTCCTGACTGGCCGCATTTACTGAAAGGAAACAGGAGCTCCATGACAGGCACCAGTTTACAAAAATTCCACCTTGTAAATTTTATTTGGAAATGAGACAGCCCCAGAAGTTGTACGTTTATTTTATTTGCTTATTTTTTTAAAAAAAAAAAAGAGTGGTTAGGACTTGTCAAATATGAATATCAATGATTCTTTCAGAATGCTGCATCTGAGTATTATTCTTGGAGTTCAACCATGTTTCTCTTGTTGGCTGTTCAACAGTAACTTGATCTGGATTTGTGTCTCCAGCCAGCTGCATTTAGGATGCTCTTTTCCTACCCCACACCACAAGAGGGCACCTTAGAATGCTGAGATACAAAGATAAAAGTTGCATGGATCCTAGAACCCCCAGAACAGGAACCTGGAAGAGAGTAACTGCCCCCAGCTCTCTCTTTAGTCTTCTCATATCTCTATTGTGGACCATGAGGCCAAATTTCACAGCAAATTACCCACACAGAGTATTGGGAGTCAATTGCATATTAGAAAGACTTGAAGGTATTAGCAGAAAAAAAATCATTAGTAGCCATGGTTCCAGTGCTTAGAATGAATGATTGCAGTATAAAAATATATGGAATATTAGAGTTAGCGTCTTTGGGACTGATTCTGGAATTCCTTTCTCACCACACACACAGACACGTGCGCGCACGCACACACACACACACACGCACACGCACACACATCTTTAAAATCTTCCATATCGGAAGAGAGTGAAAAGCAAAAGTTTATTTGAATATAGATTTGGGGTTATCTGTTTGGAAAACACAAAAAAGTACAGGATATGCTATGAGAGAACCATTCTAAATATTTATGCTTTAAAAAATATTTATCTTCTCGTTGAGGGAAGTTTTGAAGTCTCGCCTATATTTTCCCAAATCTCATTCATTTATCCTCAATCCAGGCCATTTTCTGAGATTCTGTTACGGGGTTGGAGCTAGACAACAGGATGAGGCTGAGCGCCTGTGCTTGGGACCTTGATGGTGATAGTGAGTCCTCTGGCCTTCAGTTCCAAGCTAGAAGTATGTGAAGATGTAACAAGAATAGGGAAAGATCATATATGTATACTTCGGTTGCAAGTCCAGGTCACATGGATGCTTTTGAAGGTGAACTTGTAAGTGCTTTGCAAAATACACACATCTCCCATGTATGTGATAGTCAGAACAGCCCCTGCACATGCCCTCACAGGCACATGCTTAATATGAACAGAGAAGTCTCAATGACCTTGGATTTATTTGATGTCATTCAAGTGGAGATTAAAAAATAAAGATATCACTAGTAGTGCCACTGCTAAATGAGGAATTTTGGTTAAGTGCCTGTCATATATTAACTAATTTGATCAAAAACCCAGTGAGACGGTTCCTATTATTGTTCCTGTTTTATACATGAGAAAACTGGAGTTTAGAGGGGTTGGGCAACTTGCGTAGTACCACATAGTTCTAAAGAGCAAAGGAATGTTTCCAGCAACAACCCCACAGCTTATTTTTTTGTTTGTTTTGAGACAAAAAGTCTCACTCTGTTGCCTAGTCACTGCAACCTCCACCTCTCAGGTTCATCAAGCAATTCTCATGCCTCAGCCTCCAGAGTAGCTGGGACTACAGGCACACCTACCATGCCTGGCTAATTTTTGTATTTTTAGTAGAGATGGGGTTTCACCATGTTGGCCAGGCTAGTCTCCAACTACTGACCTCAAGTGATCCGCCCACCTTGACCTCCCAAAGTGCTGGGATTACAGGCGTGAGCCTCCGTGCCCAGCCTTGTGTTGTTAATTACTTGATAAATGGGCATTCGTCTGCATTTAACTGCAAGTTCTGACTTTAAATTCACTTGGCCAAGACTGAATTTTATTTTTTGGTCATTGTATAGTGAAAAAAGTGCCCAGCTTTGGTGTCAGTAAACATAATTTCTAATTCTGACTCTGACCCTAACCAAATATCGAATCCCGAACAAGTCCTTTAAATTCTCCGATCTCAGGTTTCTCATCTGTCAAAAGATAAACTTTAATTATATGAATTCCAAGGATCTGGTCATGACTTCTTTGCAGATGAAGACACTCAAGATCTGCCAACTTTCATTTTATTTTTAGAAGGCAGATAGATGAGGGTATTACACATTGAGCAATATCTTAGCGCTCAGATCCAGGCCTAATCAGATGGATAGAGCTGTCTCAAACCATCAGTAGCATATTGTATGAGCCATAGGTACATGGGGGTTCAGGAAATAATTGTTCTGATTTTAATAATCCCCCAAATGTAAGGTATATATATTGGAGAGTTATTTTTAAACAAACCAAGTTTTTTATGTAGTGGGGGTATTGAAGTACTGGAAATATGATAGAGAAAACTGCAGTGGAAATTAGCAGCCAGAGATCTCGTCTTGAAGGTAACTATTAGTTGTTGTAGTTGTTGTATGTCCAGTCATGTAACCCCTCTGACCTTAACTTCTATACCTAACATGGCATCTGGAGTGAAAATTTGCAAATATGCTTTCCAGATGCAAAATCTCAGAACTTAGCTGAATGTGGATACGTTCCCACATACATTTTTAAACTGAGTGTGTGTAAGATTGAAACAGTGAATTTAGATTTTTACCTAGTCAATGAGCGGCATGGGATATACTGCAAACCAGACTCAAACCACAATGTTCCCACCTTCCGGTATACAGTATTCTCTCTTTGCAGTTGTCCTTACATAACAGAAATGCATTTGGCGGCAGCAGCCAGTGGTGGAACTGGCCAGCCCCCGTTGTGCTGGGGTGGCCCTCCACCATTTTTTCCTCCGTCTCCTAGCAGAGTTTCCACGGTCGAGAGGCCTGGAGCTCAGGTTACACCAGACAAAACTGTCCACTTACTTCCTAGGATAGTCTGGCTGGACCCCAGTGCTATGGCCACACTTCCAATTTTTGATAAAATACTTTTGACCCAGAGCTTCATTTCATTTAGACCTGACCTGATTTCCCTCCAGCTGAGGCTAATTTGCATGGCTGTAAACACGGACCTTACAAAGCTCACCAACTGTGATAAAAGCAAAGGAAACCTGAGACCATTGGAAATTCAAAAATCTGCCTTCTGTATCCCAGCCTGACTCTGAGTTATGCCTCAGCCCAGGAGGCTTCCTGTGTGCAGCAGCTAAAAAAATGTTATTCTGATTGATCTGATTAGGGCAGCAAGGTTAGCCATGGTCAATTTACAAAGACAGTATGAGAAGAAATCATGTGTGTCGTCATGTTATGGGTCAGCGAGGCCCCTGCCAGAAGTTACGAAAAGCCACAGCTCTGCCAGGACCATTATCAGATCTCCTAGGTGGGGTACAAACGGGATTGGAGGTTTAGGGGGCCCCTCCAGTGGAGTGAATGACAAAAGGGATTGGACTCTGAAGAGCGGGTGAATCAAATCATGCTCGCTCGCTTCCAGCTGGATTTCTTAGCCGCCAAGCCCCTTACATGTGAGTGGGAGAGCCTGGGAGTTCCCCAGTACAGTGTGGGGAGGACTGCCTTTAGCTTCTCACTGCAAGGGAAAGAAGAGGGTGGAAAAGCTAATTTGACACGGACGTGAGACTCTACGTTGACCCACAGAAGCAGCCAGATGGAACCTATTGGGCATTTTGATCCCTCCCTTCGCCACAAGAGTAGTTTAATTGGGATCTGGCTCCAGGCCCTTATTACTAAATAACCTGAGTTTTCGTGTTTTCATTTTCATTAATTAACTTTCATGCTAGGTGCCTTATTAGTCGCATTAGGCATTTTGCATGTCCAAAATATCTTAGGAGGTGAGAAGGAGGTCTTTAAAAATAGTACAGAGCTGCAAGTACCAGGGGGTTAATTCATGGCCGCCTAATTATCACATCACTTTTTACTCTCTTGTGGACTCTGTTGTACAACTTCCTTAGTTTAAAATATGCACAAAACCCAGCTTTAAACTTTGTTTTCAAACGGTTATTACATTCATATTGACTCTAAAGATTTTGGAGCCTTCACCTTGGGTGTGGTTTGCTTCCTTCCTGTCCAATTCGGGAACATAAATGTTCCTTGCAACACTGGGATAAGACACATTAATTAACAAAGAAAGATTTATATAAAATGAGGCCAACTGAAAGCTATACTGCTTGAGCTGGGGCTCATTATAAATAGATCACTCTGTATATAATCATCTTACTAATGGAAAAAATGAGACGTTGAGATGGTTGCTTGGAGAAGAATGTGATTCAGAATGTAGCAGTAAAACGCCTAAAGCATACTTTGTTTAGAATGCTTTAGTAAGACATTGGAGAGGCTTGGCCATGATGATGTTTTTGTTGTATATACATATACTCTTGGGGTGTGGAGGTATCTGAAAAACTTAGCCCTATAAAACCCAGCCATTCAGTTGCCACTGCAGGAAAGGATGAGCCTCTGAGGCTGAAGGTGCATGGAAAAGGAGGTAGAACTCACAGACCTGCACAGAGAGTTCATACCTATGAATTCAAGATCAAGCTGAGATCTGGGCGTTTGCCTCAGAGCCATAGGAAGCCAGTGACAAGGCTGTAGCAGAGGGCTGAGCTCCAGTTTCTGACCAGCTGCCTTCTCTAGCATGCCCAGTGTGGTGAGAGTCACCACTAGACTAAGTATGGAAGGTGGTAGTGTGGTAGGGCAGCAGGGGCTTCTTGAACCCCACAGGCCTGGCTGAGTCATCATTCATGGGGCAAGTCCCTTCATCTTTCTAAGGCCCCTTCGTACAGTTTTCTCATCTGTAAAGAAAGAGTAATATTAATGTCTGCTTCAAAGGTGGTTGTGAAAATTAAAATGTAGTATGTGAAATGTTTGGCCTGGGGCTTGGCACATCAATGGTGCTTTCACTATGCTATTACCACCATCATTGCCACCATGAGAACTGGGAATAAGAATAATGAAACATCCTCCAGTGTCATCCCAAAGGAAAGCAAGAGGTTGAATTTTAACCAGAAGCCTCATCTCTCATTCACTTATGGTTCCTGGACCCCAGGGGCTGCTAGTTACAATCCATTTCCCCTATTTGTGTGTGCGTGGATGTGTGTGTGTGTGTGTGTGTGTGTGTGTGTGTCCCACTGGGGCGCAGCTATGCAGTTAAAGCAAATGAATTTTAGCCAGATTCTCAGAGATGAATTCCTTCAGTGTGTACCAAGAAAAAACCACCCAATGCAAGGAAAAGTTTAAAATGTATCTCCATTTTCTAGTTCTATTTGTATTTTGCTTTCATGGTAACCTGTGTTTGTGATACAATTTTAAGAATGCCAGCTATTGGCAGGTAACATAATATCACCTTTTTAAATCTTTGGAGAGCATGATAGTCTATAAATAAATAAACATATGTAGAATGACCGATTTTGGTAATGTGAGGCTCTTAAAATATGAAGTTATTTTAGGTTGGTTTCTTTATTAACAAATAGACTGCATTAACTTTCATACAGTACTTGATTAAATTTTATCAACATAATGCATGAATAGAATTTAAAAAGTCAAGCAATATTAAGACTTTAAAAAAAAAAGCAAAAGTTCTCCAAATCTCAATAAAATTTCAAGGAATTTTTCATA
Organism: Homo sapiens; assembly: GCF_000001405.40. NCBI lineage: Eukaryota > Metazoa > Chordata > Mammalia > Primates > Hominidae > Homo > Homo sapiens. The sequence continues at coordinate 32,950,933 of NC_000015.10, read as the reverse complement.
CAGATCACATCTGCTGATCAAAATGAAATTAAGTTAGGAATCGTGTCAATAACAAAAAGATAACTAACAGTATTGAAAACTACATTTTTTAAACTTTTAAGTCCAGGGGTACACGTGCAGGTTTTTACATAGATAAAGTTGTGTCATGGGGGTTTGTTGCATAGATTATTTCGTCACCCAGGTATTAAGCCTAGTACCCATTGGTTATTTTTCCTGATACTCAACCTCCTCCCACCCTCCACCTTCTAATAGGCCCCAGTGTATGTTGCTCTCCTCTGTGTGTCCATGTGTTCTCATCATTTAACTCCCACTTACAAGTGAAAAAATGTAGTATGTGGTTTTCTGTTCCTATGTTAGTTTACTAAGGAGTATGGCCCCCAGCTCCATCCATGTGCCTGCAAAGTCATGATCTCATTTTATTTTATGGCTGCATGGTATTCCATAGTGTATATGTACCACATTTTTTAAAATCCAGTCTGTCATTGATGGGCATCTATAGGTTGATTCCATGTCTTTGCTATTGTGAATGGTGTTTTAATGAACATACATGTGCATATGTCTTTATAACAGAATGACTTATACTCCTTTGGGTGTATACCCAGTAACAGGATTGCTGGGTCTAATGGCAGTTCTGTCTGTAGGTCTTTGAGGAATTGCCACATTGTCTTTCACAATAGTTGAACTAATTTACTCTCCCACCAACAGTGTAAAAGCATTCCTTTTTCTCCACAGCTTTGCCAGCATGTTATTTTTTGACTTTTTAATAATAGCCATTCTGACTGGTGTAAGATGGTATCTCATTGTGGTTTTGATTTGCATTTTTCTCTAATGGCCAGTGAAGTTGAGCTTTTTAATATATATATATATATATATATATATGTGTATATATATATATATGTGTATATATATATATATGTGTATATATATATGTGTATGTGTATATATATGTGTGTGTATATATATGTGTGTATATATATATATATATATATATATGCTTTTTGGCCTCATGCATGTCTTTTTTTGAAAAGTGTCTGTTCATGTCCTTTGCCCACTTTTTAATGGGGTTGTTTTTTTCTTGTACATTTGTTTCAGTTCCTTACAGATGCTAGATATTCAACCTTTGTCAAATGCATAGTTTGCAAAGTTTTTCTCCCATTCTGTAGGTTGTCTGTTCACTCTGTTGATAGTTTCTTTTGCTGTGTAGGAGCTCTTTAGTTTAATTACATCCCGTTTGTTAATTTTTGCTTTTGTTGTAATTGCTTTTGGCATCTTCATCATGAAATATTTGCCTGTGCCTGTGTCCTGAATGGTATTGCCTAGGTTGTCTTCTAGAGTTTTTATAGTTTTGGGTTTTACATTTAAATGTTTAATCCATCTTGAATTCATTTTTGTATATGGTGTAAGGAAAAAGGGGTCACTTTCAGTCTTCTCCATATGGCTAGCCAGTTATCCTAGGACCATTTATTGAATAGGGAATTCTTTCTCTATTGCTTGTTTTTGTCAAGTTTGTCAAAGGTCAGATAGTTGTAGGTGTGCCGTCTTATTGGTGGCAGTGAATAGGTTCTCTGTTCTGTTCACTTGGTCTATGTGTTTGTTCTTGTATTAGTACCATGCTCTTTTGGTTACTGTAGCCTTGTAGTATAGTTTGAAGTCAGGTAGTGTGATGCCTCCAGCTTTGTTCTTTTTGCTTAGGGTTGCCTTGGCTATTCGGGCTCTTTTTTGGTACCATATGAATTTTAAAATGGAAAAACTTCCTTATTTTTAAAAATACATGATCACACCCATAAATAAATTGAGTTAAGAAAGTAATTATAATGGAATTTTAAAAACACTTAGCAAAAAACAAAAATACTGATAAGACTCATAGGATGTAGCTGAAATGTATAGTCATGAGTATTTATATTAGAAAAGCAAAAGATAGATCAAAAATCAGTTAAGTGCCTTAAATCAATAACTAGAAAAATACAAAAAAATCAAAGAAATTAAAAGGAAATATTAGGTTGAACAGCAGGAAAAAGCCATTTTTACAGGTTAAATATGTCAAATATTTGCAATTTTCTGTGGTTTAACCTAATACATTTTAAAAGATGAGAATGGAATTTTTTAAGTTAATAGAGAACATCAATTAAAGACAAAAGTTTCTTCTTTGAAAAAAAAGAATAACATTCAAAAACTTTTTGCAAGATTGAGCAAAACAAGCATAAGTAATATTAAGGAAGTAAAAGTGAATGTAACTACAGATGCAATAGAAATGTATAATACAATACCATGAACAAATTTTTGCCAATAAATGAAAATAATATGAAATAATTTTGTAGAAGACTGTGAATGATCAAAACAGTCAAGAAGTAGATCACCTGAATGGTTCCGTAAATATTAAGGTTAATTAAATTAGTAGTTTAAAATCGTCACACAAAATGCGAGGTCCAGCTTATTTTATTACACTAAGCATGTCTTTCTTACACAAAATATTAGATAATAGAAAATAATATTAAACTCAAGACTAGTATATATAATCTTGATAGCACAACCAGACAAGGGCAGAAGTAAAAGAAACTACAGGACAATTTCTCTCATAAATATAGATATGAAGATCTTAACCAGAATATTAGCAAATGAAATCCAGAAATATATAAAAAAATGTTTGATAATTAACTGATTTATTCCAGACTGGCAAATTTGATTCAAAATTAGTAAATGCTTTTTATAAATAATTAAAATGTTAATAGATTAAAGGGGGAACTATATAATTGAAAGATGATGGCAAAATATTTGATTAAATATGATTATGATTTATAATGAAATTTTGTAACTAAGATTGTAAGGGAATAGCTTTAGCCTCAAAAAGAGTGTCCACGAAGCAGGCATGTGACAAGGGCATATTTGGTGAAAATTTGAAAGCTTTCTTTTTGAGATCAGTACGAAATAGGAATATGATACACATTTCTACATCCTTTATTTAATCTAAGCAAGTGTAATAAGGCAAAGAAATCAAATAAAATATATTGGAAAGGAAGAAATGAAACGATGAATTGTGATTTTTCAGCATAGAAAATCTGTATTGACAAATTTAAAAAATGAGAGAATAGAGTAAACCTAGTAGATATGAGATCAGTACCACAATAATCAATTGCATTTTTATACACTATTAAGTTGGAAAATAAAGATACCATTAGAGGGACATAAAATAAGAATAAATCTAAGCAAATATGGTCGAGTCAGTGTAGAAAATTATTCAACTTTATTGAAAGCATTAAAATAGACCTAAATAAAAAGAGAGACATAATTCTCTTCATGAATGGGAAAGCCAATATTATAAAGATGTTAATTTTTCCCAAATTTCTAGTTTCAAAGTCATTTCAATCAAAATCTAAGAATTACTTGGAATTTAACAAGCTTATTCTAAAAATTTGCATGCAAGAACAAATGTTCAAAAAACAACTCCAAAAAAGGAAAACTAAGTGGGAGATATTCTACCTCATATAAAGGAAAATAAGGTAATAAGAGCTAGTAGAGTGGCTATAGTATGGCAGTAATTGTCACAGGAAAAACTAAATAAATAAATAATGAGTGAAAAGAATTGAGAGCTCAGAAGCAAATCTATGCATATATGGAAACTAATACATGACAAATGTGGTATCTCAGATCAGTGGGCAAAATTGACTATGAATAAAAGTATTTTAAAAATTGAATATATATGGCAAAAAAAGGAAAATGGATCCCTACCTCACTTCATGAATAAAAGACAATGCCAGATGTAACAATGAGAAAGGAAACATTTAATAATTTTTGAAAATAATATAGGAGCCTATCTTTTGGCCTTATACGGAAAAGACATGGAAAGCACAAAACAAATAATGAAATGTGACTACATTAAAATAAAATCATTGACATGAACTCTTGCTCATCAAGACACCTTGAAGAGTATAAAAAGATAGGCCACATGCTTGAAGACATTTGTAATACATATAGCTCAATAAGAATTGTTATCCAAAATGTTTGTGGAATTCTTACCAATCAGTAATAAAAAGAAACTATGCTACCTGATTGTAGTAGATGGAATTACAGATCATGCACCTAGTTGCTCCATATGCAGACTTTGAAACAATTCATTTCTATTTAGCTTCTTAACCATTCCTGTCTCCACCAACGCAGGATGCCTCTTACTCGTGTATGTCTGGCATTCTACCTCCCACAGCTATACCTAGGAATTTACCAGTCCTCCAACTTCACATTTTCTGTTTTAAAACTTAAAGGGCTCCCCTAGTTTTATGGAAGATAGATTTTATTTTTCAAATCATTAGGTCTCATAATTTTGGGCTAATTTTTTAGGAGAAGAGGAAGTCGAAAGGCCTTTACCACCCCAAATTCCAAGTGAATTTGATTCTCATATCTTAAAGGCTATTCCCTTGTTGCAATATGACTAATTAGGAATGTACATCTTTGCTGGAATAATTATTTCAAGGGAGAGGCCACAGGACTAGAAGTCAGGCATCTAGGCATCTCTGGGCAAATCATCTACCATGTGTGTTACACCCTTGTTGATCTAAGAGAACCTCTGGGTGCATATGCTCATGGTTCCAGTCAAGATGGGTGTAGACGCTCACTCTTCATGGATGGCAGTGGGTAGGTTTTTTCAGTCACTATGTTATGCCATTCACCTGAAAGCCTGAATGATAGTGTATGATACGCACTTGCTTCCCGTGATAGCTGTGCTATGAGAGTAAGAAGGAGGATAAGACTAATTACGGGGGAAATGTGCTGGGACATAACACCGCAAACCCTAACAAAATCTTGCAGCAGTTCTAAAATATCTACTAAAATACAGTAATATTTCATCTTTCTCTTTTTACCAACATTTCGTGGAATATTTATTTTATATTCATGGAAGGAACTCAGTGAACCTGTTGGAAGCAATATGGCACTTACATATCAGCAGCTGTTAGCCAGAAAATTAACAGAGTGGAGTGACTTGGGTTGTAAGTAGTGTACATTATGGCAATGGCGGCAAATGAAGACTATGCGAGAAGTTGTCTGCAAAAGGAAAATGTGAGGTGCCCTAAGTATCTTTAAAGGAAGAAGTGTTTCCCTTGGAGTTCTGTCTCAGATTTTGCCTTCCAGTGGCTTGAGGCACTGCAGCTAGGGGTGCTCACTCTTGCTGGCTCTTCACCTCTACACAGGAGTGGGAAAGAGCCAGGTAATTTGCATCGTGGATACCCTCTAAATCAAAGGCCATCCATCATTTCTGATATCTTGAATGCAATGATTATCATATCAAAGACATATGATGACATTGAAGATAATAACTTTTCTGTTGCCCATTATCTCTAACCAGCTTGGCGTAATTATTAGCATGTGTTCTTTCCAAAAGCCTAACACTCTAACATGTTGGAAAGAAAAAGCCCTATTTAAGCCACCAAAGATATACGTGTGTGAGACTGGGTTGAAGTTTTTATTATTAGATGAGAAATTATATAGACAAGACAGGAAGTCCAAAGGTCATGCAAACTTTGTTATTTAGAGGTTTTAGGAGGGCACTATGGCTGTCTGTATACTTGGGATTGGCTTTCTATGAGAAAGTTACTTCCAATACTTCCTAAATGAGTACAATAGCTTTAGTAAAGGACTCCGTGGAGATTGATATTCTGAAAGGGGCTCATGGGAAAAACCTCTGGAAATCAGGGATTATAGAAACATACATATATCTATGTATTGGCACCGTGCTAAGTGCCAATGATCAGTAACAAAATAATACATTTATTTAGAGTCACTTCACCCCTCAAAATGTCCATGGACCAGCAGCAACATAATCACCTAGAAGATTATTAGAAATATAAAAATATCAGCCCCTGTATTAGTTTCCTAGGGCTAATTTAACAAACTGTCACCAACTGTTGACTTGAAACAACAAAAATTTATTGTCTCATAATTCTAGAGTCTAGAAGTCTAAAATCAAAGCTGTTCGCAGGGCCAAGCTTTGGTAGCTCTGGTTCTGTCTGAAGGCAGTGAATGCACTGATGTCTCTTGGTCTTTTCTTCCCGCAAGACTCCATGATCAATAGGAAAAAGCATGTGATTTTGTTTGGGGGTTTGTCTTCTACATTACACAAAATCAGAAATCTGCCCACAGCCCTACCCTCCCCCCTCCAACCCATCACACCCCCACACTGTCATAGCCTTCACCTGCTGTGGCCTCCGCATTAGCCTTCTGAGTGGAATTCATCAGCCTGAAAAACAAGAAAAGGGTTTTTCTGTCTCGTCAGGATGGGGATGGGGTGCCAAATACGTTCTCAGACTCAAGACAGGGTGACAATTTGCCTTTTCACATTTCTTGGTGAAGAGCCTAGATCCTTAAAGTAAACTTCATCCAAGCAATTTTATGTGTCCCCAAAAATAAGGCCATGGAAGAGATTCAGACCTAACAGTTTGACTAAACAGTGAAGCTTAGTTTTCCTTGAAACATTTAATGAGACAGATTATCAGCTGTATGTGGAAAGCTTATTTTAATGTCATTATCAGGCCAGTTGACAGAGGCTTCTTCCCAGAGGCCTACCAGGCCATACTGGCCATTAGCAGCAAGAGCTGTTTTGCACCACGTCGGATGACATTGCATAATATGGCACTACACAGCCAGCCAACCAGCTCTTCTGGGTGTGATGGCAGAGTGGCAGGGGATGGAGCAGGGAAGAAGAAGGGGACCAAGGAAACTGAATCAGCATTGTACTCCTGGGCACCTGCCAAGTAACAATTGCATATTTCCAAAGAAGCGGTTATTCTCCCGTAAGAGAGAAAGCAAGATGGCTGTGGTCCTGCCCTTCCCCTTCCCCAGGCACTCCCTTCTGGCACTGGCTGGGAGGAATCATTGCTTACCTGTCCCATTTGTAGTCACTGCCATATTAGAAATCGTAGGGAGGGGACTAGAATAGCCACAGCTATAAAAGGATTCTGCCAGTTGGTTCCCCCATGATTTTTTTCTGTGCATAAGGCCTGTATCCATAGGCTACCATACCTCATTGCCTTGCATCGTTTTGCATCACTTCTTGGAATTTCTTTCCATTGCGAAACTCTCACTCTGTTTTCCCAATTAGATGTCTATTACTTAGAAGATTTTTTGATTTGGATGGCAGTTAAATGAGAATAAAAATTAAACCTAAGGCCTTCTTAATATTCTCTCTCATCTCACAAAGATACTGCTCTCTAATGCAGCTAAAGTTTAGACCCTATACTAATTTATAATTTGGAGGTATTCAAACTAAAGTATCAGTGCAATCATCAGAGCCTGTAGCCCTTGAATAAGTGAAACAATTTCTGCATCTCTAACATAGGATTCTACGTGTCTTCCAACCCACTCCACAAGAATGTCTTAAAGAGAAACATAACAGTCATTATGAAGGTACCTTTATCTATTTGGAAGCCCATGACTTAGAAGTGGGATGACTGTTACTAAGACAAGCTGACTTGTCATCAGTAGCATATCTACTTTTTACCAACCAGCCTCTTAATGTCCATAGTTTGGCCAGGTGGTGGAATTCAGCGAGTATTGATGTGAAGCATAAGCAAGAGATAACACTAGTTTGATGGCACAAAAATAGAAGTTGTATTTTTTAGAATTGTACTTGGGAGAATCAGATTGTCTAATTTATGTGAATTCTCCACGCTGTTGTTCAATCTTACCAAGAAAGGCCAGATCATTTACACACTTGTTCTATATAGCTGACCGTGTACCCTATGTGGATATTTGGTATACAGGTCGAGTATCCCTTATCTGAAATGGTTGAGACCAGAAACGTTTCAGATTTCAAATTTTCCAGTTGAGCATTCCAAATCTGAAAATCCAAGACCTGAAATACCCCACTGAGCATTTTCCTTGAGCACTGTACCAGCGCTGAAAAAGTTCTGGATTTTGAAATACTTCGTATTTTGGAGTTCTTGAGTTTTGAATTTGGGATGCTCGACCTGTATATCATTGTCATGAAAGTAAATGTCTACTCATATATATATGGTTTCTACATTTATTTGTTTGTTTTTGGTGGGGTGAAATAGTTGATTCAGACAGGAAAAGCAGCAACTTTCACATGCCCTTAGTTCCCTGAAGTGCCAGCAGCTATTCATTGGTGATAGCACATGTGGCTGTATTTGAAAAAACTCTCTGCTTATTTGCCAGGCTCTAGGATAAAACTGACTGTGCTGGAGATGGAAACCCTGTGACTGGAACTGAGTATGTTCAAATGTGAAACTTAAGCCAAAGAGCAAAATATGCACTCGATCTGGTATAGGTATGAATGTGTTTGGTGTCTAGCAAAGGTGTAGATGTAGAAATTAATCATCTTCCTTTCAGACAGGGAAGGCTCCATGGAAGAAGAGGGCTTCTGTGTTTCTCTTAATTTTGTAGCTATGCCAAACTCACTTGGCTGAGCAGACTTCCAGCACTTGTGGTCTATTCAGAACCATTTATTTTTATTTTTGGCCCTGTCTGCCAAGCTCAGGCAGAAAGCCGAAGATATACAGTGTACAGATTTTCTGTAGATGTAAAAATCCCACTGGACCTGACAAGAATTCTTTCTCAGCCTGTCTGGCAGAACTTTTCTAGCTGAGGTTGAAGGTATGATTTTCCCAGTGTAGCAAATCTGTCTTCCCATTTTTGTCTTAATTCTTATTCACAGAGGCAGGCTTTAAAAAAATTCACATATGTGAGGAATAATAATAATTTGTCTATACTGGCTTAATGTACAGGTTTAGACAGTGTGGGCCTGCCTTTCCCACTCTGGAAGGCATTGGGAGAGTCCCTTAGGCGATGTAATAGTACGCACGTGTGACATGCCCTAATCCTGGCATGTGGCAGGGGTCTGGAAAGGCTTTGCCTTAAACTAGGCATGTCTAATAGGGTTTAACGCAACCTGTGAATTTGCCCCTGCACAAGGTCAGCTTGTAGGTCAGTGGAATGCTGCACAAATTGCATTCTCCTCCAGACTGTAATTATACCTAGGAGAAAGCCATGTGCTGCCAAGTTCAGCTGACTCTAGATAGGGCGGAGATAAAGTGAGGGCTTGCTAACGTCCCTCAAAAACTGATTTTTAACAATCTGATATAAAACATCTCTTGTTTAAAAAAAAATGGTGATCTTGAGGTTTCTGAAGGAGCTTAGTGTAGGGGATGGTGACCAGCTGTTTCCTACCTTCCCTGAGAGCAGAAAAAGATGGTTCAAAATGGGAGCATGAGGAATTTGAGCCAAACATCAGGTAAAATAGTTCACTGCCAAAAGTCTCTTAATACTAGAAAATGACTTGGAGGATTATTACACATCAGGTAATATGCATATGAGGACAAAGAAGAATGAAAAGTGAGTATGATAAGGGATCATAGACTAGGAGTGGAATGAACAGTTTAATTTGTATTTACAATTAGCTGAAGTAGTGCTCTGTTGTATTGTTTGAGAGAAAATGGCTATAAATGTGTGCATTATCTAAATGTAACCTTTATAATGAAGTGTGCACATTCTTGTAAAGTAAGGTCTATACTTACATACGTGGACTTCTGGGCCAACCCAAAGGCAGAGGGATAAATTAGATGAAATTTGTAGGTTTCTTCAGTGCTAAGTGTTAAATGACTCCAAAATCCAATTCAACCAGAGTAACATTGGATAAGCAAAATCTTACAAATACTTACACTCTCCAGTAAATGTTTTCTGAACTATCTTTCCTGAACAGCCTGTAGTAGCCACTTTTCCCCCCAAGAACCTACATGGAATAAAATCAAGTTGGGAGCTTAAAGCATAAATTCTATCTACTGGCTTCACGTAAACATGGAAAATAATTATTTTGACATTCATATTATTGGTTCCTGCAGCTTGATTTTTTTCGCAGGCTGCTTTTTATGTTACGTGGGGATAAGGCACTAACCTGTGGGCCGGGGCTTTTGGGGAACCTTTCCTTTGTTATTTACCTAAGGCAAGCTAACTAACTCCTTTTAATATGATGAAGCTGGATGCTAATACAGTCAGGAATCCCACTAACGTCTAACAATCAAATGTGATAAACTGACCTCATGGTTTTGTGAAAGCCTCTGCTGCTATTGGGTCTTAATGCCCGGAAGAACCTTTACCCTAGTGGCCATGAAGAATGGTAAGAGTCCTTTCTGTTTGGACACCCAGACCATGAGTTACAGTGTCTTTTGGGGTTCATGTTCTGCAGAGCCTATCATCTCTCAAGACTCTGATGGAGAGGTTTTATAAAAGTGAGATCTGGATTTTTGTTTCGGAAAAAAAGGCACTGGATGTAACATTCTTTTGGGAATGTGTTTGAGTTACGTGGATAAAGATTGTGCTAGAAACAGCCACCTTTTTCAAACTCCCTTTTTAAATAAGAGTCTTGGCATTTTCAAGGATCGTATACCTGAGAATAATTACAAACTCTTTTAAGTTACTGATCTTATGAGTAGCTCCTGTATCCGTTATTTATATATGTTTGCCCTCTTTAAACTAGTCTTTGAACTCCATTGAACAGACACACACACACACACACACACACACACACACACACACACAATTTTTATTTTGTTTGCAGTAGACATGGGAATTTGCGTATTGTGAGGACCGTTGAATTGGACTGTCTGCCTTTCAGCGTTGATACAATGACGAGCAAGGGCAGGCCTAGAAATAGAAGGCTGAAGGCTGGTCTCCTGACTTTTCTCTGAATAACTGGTTTACTACATCATGATGTTGATCCCATTCCACAGCTGGCCAAGAGGTCATTCATGAAAGCTCAGCAGGCAAAGGTTGAAAACTAGAGGGAAGGACTGTTGTAGTTTATGGCTATAGTTCTCAGTTTTTGTATTTCTACTTAGATTGTGATATTGTTGGGAACCTCTTCCTTAGGCCAAACAACTGAAAAATTGTCAAAATAGCACAGAATGCTAATAGCAAACAGAAGCTTAAGGAGTGGGTTGGTGCTTAATAATTAGGTTTTTGAGTTAATTATCAGTTTCTTATAACTTTTGTATTTGAAATCTGTGCTTATGTAAATATATATATTAAATTTCCTACCATAAAAAGAGCAGAATATTAAGTATCTGATAATTTCAGGCAATTTATGATTCTAAAAATTTCCCAGATTATCACTATGATCACCAGTCCACAGCGTTCAGTAAATAAATATATAGATATGGAAGGTGTGATTCGTTGAATTTGATTTCTTTCAAGCACAGTATAAGAGATGTCAATGGATTTGGGAGACTAAATACCCAATATTAGTTTATCTTCATATAGTTTTTCTCTTCCAAGGGGAATTTTTGAAATTCACTTTTTCTGTCTAAAAGTTAGCTTACTAATAATGAATATAATCCAACAAAAGAAAAGCTAGGGAAATTTTCAGTTAATAGATGGTTCAACATAAATTACGTTCTGGTTATTTGAAACTTAACAATGATTCTAAAAAAGCATTCAGAAAGCGAAGTAGTAATATTGGTTGATAACAAATTAAAAAAAAAATCTTTGTCATGTTCCACATCTTTGTTATCACTTTTTCTTGTTCTCTTCATCAGTTTTCTTCACTCTTGTCTTTTTTTCCCCTTAATATTTTCTTCCTCACTACTCTGCAATAAATTCTTCGGTAATGGGTATATATCTGGGTAAGGAGGTTGTAAGATTTGATAATGAACATAAAAAATGAATTACCGTAAAAATTCGGTTAGCTGTGCTTCTTGCTTTAATGCCCCAGCAGTGAGATAGCTATACATACTTTACAGGACTCTTGAGCCTGAAGTATTGTTATCACTCTGGAAAGTCCACAGGGGGCCACTAAAGGAATAAAGGTTTACAGTATTGCAATACTCACTGCCCCCAGTGCACAACTGTCCATTTGGATTGGCTAATGTGCAGAGGAACACAATACCAGTGCTTAGTGGAGATGTAGTAACAGGTCGTTCTATTCCCTCTTCCCTTTGAAAATGACTTTTATGTACAGCAGGCTCTTTGTAAATCTTTTTTCGTCTTATTTAGCTAAGCCCTTATTTAAGTGTATTTGTATTGTACCAGCCTAGTAGATCTAGTAATTGGAAAATATAGCAAAAACAATATAAAGACAATTCATAAGATGTGACTAATAAAAATCATTAAAAATGCAAAATAAAATCATGAAAACACATTTCACCTGTTTTTCAGCCAACAGTTTTAAAATTGGTAATACCTAAAGTGGGTGTGGGAACAGAAAAACAGTTGCTCTCAAATACTTGGCAGGGTAAGTCTAATAAGAAACAATTCTGAAATATTTATCAAATTTTCAAATGGGCATATTATTTGAATGATTTCTATGAGTCCTATGAAAATACAAACTTGCATGACTAAGGATCTCTCTGCCTGCTTGTTCGTTGTAGCATTCTTAACAATTGACAAAATTTGGAACATTTCTTCAGACAGAGTCTTTGCTCTGTCACCCAGGCTGGCGAGCAGTGGCTTGATCTTGGCTCACTGCAACTTCCACCTCCTGGGTTCAAGCAATTCTCATGCCTCAGCCTCCCGAGGAGCTGGGATTACGGGAGTGTGCCACCACACCCACCTAATTTTTGTATTTTTAGTAGAGATGGGGTTTCATCATGTTGACCAGGCTGGTCCCGAACTCCTGGCCTCAAGTGATCCACCCACCTCGACCTCTCAAGTTGCTGGGATTACAGGTGTGAGCCACAGCTTGCCTGGCCAAAATTTGGATGATTTCTAATTGTCCTTTAGTAGGGGAATACTTAAATGATGTGATGTTTTTAGAAATGGCTCTGCCTGCACTGACAAGGAAGTTGTCAGTAATGTGTTTCTACGTGAAAAAAACACGCTACACAGTGAAAAAAAAAAGTGCAACAAAATGTATACTTTTTCTCTCCTATAGTCTTCAAGTTTCTTTTTTCCTCCTGTCTACTTCCAATACATTCTCCTCACACCCTGCTAGCCCAATTTCTAACCAATCTCAGAAAGATCTAAGTGTATATCAAAGTCTTGGGTTGTACTGAACCATTTCTATGTGTGTTCACAAGTCTAATGTGTTATTGTCCTCCATTTGTTTCCTTTCAGTTATTTTGCATATCTTAAGGAAGATCTTTTAAAATATATGTTTCTTCTACTCTTTTTCTCGTTACTCTTCCTTCATTTCTAATTCTTTTCCTTGTAGTTTGTTTGGTACTGTCCTCCAATTATGAAGGAGAGGCCAGCCCCCTTTCAGCGAAGCCTGACTCAGTCTCAGATCAGTCTGCTCTTACTCTCACTACCAACATGTCCATATGAGCCACTTTGTGACTGGGAGCATATTTGGTGGAACCCAGCCACTTTTGTCTTCTCTCTCTATCCATGGATGACATAGCATTTGCCTCTCAGAAACTAAAAGTGGGAAAGGGGGAGGTAATGTCATCAAGATGGTGGAATAGAAAATACCGGATCCTTGTTGCCCCATGGAGATGCCAATTTAATAATACACGGGCCAGTTCCCTTTGTGAGAAATTCAGAAATCAGTTAAGAGGCTCCTAAACCCCAGGTGAGCATGAAACCAGTTGTATTGAAGCTAATAGGAAAATTCATGGCACTCACTCATCTGACTCCCTTTCTGGCACAATACATTGATTTAGAGAAAACTACCTCCTGGCTTCTCCTTTGGGAGGGAGAGAGAAGACTGGATCTTATGTCTAATGTTCAGACTTTTGGGGAGGTACTTTGAAGACTGGTTTCTGTTGTGTGTGAATCTAAGAGCTAACAGGGAAAGATGCCAGGTTGGGAACCACTGAGAAGAAAGATGATGATATGAATTAGTATGCATTCAGTGCAATTGCCCCTCACCCTTGCTCAGGGCAGAGTAAGTGAGAGTAAACCTCCAAATCCTGGCTTCTCCTTGGAGAAGGAAAAAGTCGGAGCATCCGTCCAATGCTCTGGCTTTTCAGAGGGCCGCCCAAGAGACTGATTTCTGTCTTGCCCGACTTGGAGTGCTGATGGGACACAGCATACTCTAGATGCCTGGAGACTGCTGAGAACAAAAAGCTAGGTGGCCTGCAGTACAGTAGACAGAGGCCAATACAGCTCAGCAGCTTCTCCCACATGGACTGCAGGGGAAAGAAGAGTGGAGCTTGTGTCTAGTGTTTCACCTTTTCACAGTGTTGTCCAAGGAACTGTTTTTTCTTCTTCCTCTGCTTCCTCCTCCTCTTGCTCTTCTTCATCTTCACCCATCTTCTTTTCTTCTTCTTCTCCTTCCTTCCTTTCCTTCTTTCTTCTCCTTCCTTCCTTCTTTCTCCTCCTCCTTCTCCTCTTCCTCCCACTCCCCCTCCTCTTTTCTCCTTTCTCCTTTTCCTTCTTTGACTCTGTGTGTTCATGGGACTTGACATACTCTAGATGTTTGGGGGCAGATGAGAACAAAAAGGAGCTGGACAGCTTATACCTCCAGAGAAACTGCAGTACCATAGACAGACACTAGAGAGAGCAGGGATTATGAGCTCCTGAAAAACCAAAATCCCTCTAATTGGGAATTCACATACGTAAGTCCAGAGAATATTTATCCACAGAAAAAGGCTTGAAAATCCCCCAGAGACACTAGCTGGGCTGATTGGCAAAGGTCTTTCACTGTATGAAATCAGTCTGTAAAGAATGAGAATGGTGACTTCTTTTTCACATCCCAACACAAAGTAACAAAGCACACAAAGAAACAGGGGAGCATGGACCAACCAGTGGAACAAAAGAAATCAAACCAATCCTAAAGACACAGATGTATATGAATTACTTGACAAATAATTCAAAATAAATGTCATAAAGATGTTCAGTGAGCTCAGGAAAAAGATACATGAACAAAATGACAGTATCAACAAAGAAATAGAAAATATTATGAAGAACCAAACAAATATTGGGGCTAAAGAATACAATAACCAAATTTAAAAGCTCACTAGTGGGGTTCAGTAGCAGACTTAATGAAGCAGAAGGAGGAATCAGATAAAGAGAGGTCGTTTGAAATGATCCATTTAGAGGAGCAAAAAGAAAAAAACGAAGAGGAGGCTAGGTGCCGGTGGCTCACGCCTGTAATCCCAGCACTTTGGGAGGCTGAGGTGGGCAGATCACGAGGTCAGGAGTTCAAGACCAGCATGCCCAACGTGGTGAAACCTCATCTCTACTAAAAGAACAAAAATTAGCTGTGTGGGGTGGCGCACGCCTGTAATCCCAGCTATTCAGCAGGCTGAGGCAGGCGAATCGCTTGAATCTGGGAGGCAGAGGTTACAGTGAGCCAAGATCACGCCATTGCACTCCAGCCTGGGTGACAGAGCAAGACTCCGTCTCAAAAAAAAAAAAGAGTAAAGAAAGTCTAAGGGATGTATGGAACACCGTCAAGCAGATCAATAGACACATTGTGACAGTTACAGAAGGAGAAGGTAGGAAGGGAGGAAAGTATATTGGAAGAAATAATGGTCAGATATCTGGCGGAAGAAATAAACATTCAGATTGAAGAATCCCGATGGATCCCGATTACAAGAACTCAAAAGACCACACTGAGCACATTATAATCAAACTGTCAAAAGTTAAAGACAAAAAAGAGAATTTTGAAAGCAGGAGGTGAAAAGCAACTCATATAAGGGCACCCCAACAAGACTATCAGAAGATTTCTCAGCATGAACTTGCAGACCAGAAGGATATAGGGTAATATATTCAAAGCAATGAAAGAAAATTACCAAGTAAGAAAACTATATCTAGAAAAACTGTCTATCGGCTGGGTGCAGTGGCTCACGCCTGTAATCCCAGCACTTTGGAAGGGTAAGGCAGGTGACTCACAAGGTCAGGAGTTTGAGACCAGCCTTCCCAACATGGTGAAACCCCATCTCTACTAAAAATACAAAAAATTAGCCAGGCATGGTGGTGCGTGCCTGTAATCTCAGGTACTCAGGAGGCTGAGGGAGGAGAATCGCTTGAACTCAGGAGGCAGAGGTTGCAGTGAGTGGAGATCATGCCATTGCACTCTGTCTGGGCGACAGAGCAAGACTGTGTCTCAAAAAAAAAAAAAGAAAAAGAAAAATTGTCTTTTGGCCAGATACAGTGGCTCATGCCTGTAATTCTAGCCCTTTGAGAGGCCGAGGCGGGTGGATCACCTGAGGTCAGGAGTTTGAGACCAGCCTGGCCCACATGGTGAAACCCCACCTATATTAAAAATACAAAAATTAGCCCAGCATGGCAGGGGACGCCTATAATCTCAGCTACTTGGGAGGCTGAGGCAGGAGAATCGCTTGAACCTGGGAGGTGGAGGTTGCAGTGAGCCAAGATTGCGCCATTGCACTCCAGCCTGGGTGACAGAGTGAGACTCAGTCCTCCCCACCCAAAAAAAAAAAAAAAAAAGGAAAAAAATTGTCTTTCAGAAACAAAAGAGAAATAGATGTTCGTAGATAAATAAAAGTGTAGGGTGTTCATGACCACTAGACTTACAAGAAATGATACAGGAAAGCCTTTAAAGTTGAAATGAAAAGGGCATGACATAGCAACACAAAAGCATATGAAAGCGCAAAGCTTGTAGATAAAGGTATATATACAGATAAATACAGAATACTATAATGATGCGGATAAATCACTTTTAACTCTGGTATAGAATTTATGTCTGCCAGATATTAAAAACAAATATAATTATAAAAATACGTTAATGGATACACAATAGAAAAAATATAATTTGTTATATCAATTACATGAAGTGTGGGAGTGGAGAAGTAAGAGTAGAATTTGTATATGTGATTGAAATTAGCTTAAAATAGATTATTATACCTATAAAATGTTTTATGTAAGTCTCATAGTAACAACAAAGAAAATGCCTATAGGAGATACAACAACAAAAAGAAAAGAATCAAAGCAAGTCACTGTAAGAAACAAAACACAAAAGTCATCAATATAGAAAAAGACAAAACTACAAAAGCTACAAAACAATGAACAAATTAGCAATAATAAGTTCTTGCCTCTCAGTAATTACTTTAAATGCAAATAGAGAAAATTTCTCAGTCAAAAGACATAAAATTGCTAAATGGATAAAAAAAGATGGAACTATATGCTGTCTATAATAGTCATTTTAGACTCAAGGACACAGGCTGAAAGTGAAAAGGGATGGAAAAAGATATTCCAAGAGTTAATTTAAAAAAACCAACAACTGACATCCTTAGCTAAACTAAAAACAATCCAAAAGACAGCAGGGTGGCCATAGTTAGAATTTAAGTCAAAAACTCTAACAAAAGAAAAAGAAGGACACTATTTAATGATAAAAGGGTCAATTCACCAGGAAGATATAACAGTTATATGTGCACCCAACGTACAAGCCAAATATATGAAGCAAATTTTTACAGAACTAAAGGGAGAAATACACAGCAACACAGCAATGGGAGATTTCAATAACCCACTTTTGATAAATGATGTAACAAGATAGATAAACAATAAGGAAACAGAGGACTTGAGCAACACTATATACCAAATGGACATAATGGAAATAGACCATTCCACCCAACAGGAATTGGGTTTTGAAACACATTCTTCTCAAGTGCACATTCTCCAGGATAAGTCACACGTTATGTCAGAAAACAAGCCTTAACAAATTTTTAAAAATTGGAATTATACCATGTATCTTTTCTGACCACAATGGCATGAAACTAGAAATAATAGCAGGAAGAAAACTGGAAACATTATACATACAGGGAAATTAAACAGCACACTTTTGAACAACCAGTGGGTCAAAGAAGAAACCAAAAGGGAAATTGGAAAATATCTTGTGACAAACAGAAACAAAAATACAACATACCAAAACATATGGGATGCAATAAAAGCAGTACTAAGAGTAAGGTTTTAGGGTGAACACCTATGTTTAAAAAGATTTCAAATAAACAACCTGACTCTACACTTCATGGAACTAGAAAAAGAAGGATAAACTAAGCCCAAAGTTAGTAAAAGAAATGAAATAAGGATTTCAGCAGAAAAAAAGCAAAATAGAGTATAGAAAAACAATAGGAAAATAGTCAACACAACCGAGTTGGTTTTTTGAAAAGATAAACAAAATGGACAAATCATTAGCTAAATTAAGGAGAAAAAGAAAACACAAGTATATACAAAATGAGAGAGAAGACATTACAACCGATGCCACAGAACTGGAAGGATTATAAGAACCTACTATGAACAATTACATGCCAAAAAATTGGATAACCTAGGAGAAATAGATCAATTCCTAGAAATGTACAACCTAGCAGGACTGAATCATGATGAAGTGGAAAATCTGAACAGACCTGTAACAAGTAAGGAGATTGAATTAGAAATCAAAAACCTCCAGAGAAAAGCCCAGAACCAGATGGCTTCAGTGGAGAATTCTACCAAACATTTAAAGAATAATTAACAGGGAAGCAGTGCTTCTCAAACTCTTCCAAAAAATTGAAGAGGTCACCCTTCCAAATTCATTTTATGAGAACAGCATTACTCTGATACCAAAGCCAAAGACATTACAAGAAAAGAAAACTACAGGTCATTAGCTCTTACAAATATAGATGTTAAAATTCTCAACAAAGTACTAGTAAACTTAATTGTCTCACTCTGTTTCCTAGGCTGGAGTGCAGTGGCACAATATCAGCTCACTGCAACCTTGGCCTCCCGGGTTCAAGTGATTTTCCTGCCTCAGCCTCCCAAGTAGCTGGGACTACCAGGCACGTGCCTCCATGCACAGCTAATTTTTTGTATTTTTAGTAGAGACGGGGTTTCACCATGTTGGCCAGGCTGGTCTCTAACTCCTGACCTCAAGTGATCCGCCTACCTCGGCCTCCCAAAGTGCTGGGATTACAGGCATGAGCCACTGCACCTGGCCCAGTAAACATAATTTAATAGCACATTAAAAGGATCATATACCATCACCAAGTGTCAATTATCTCTCAAATGCAAGGAAGGTTCAACATATGAATATTTATCAATATGATATATTACATTAAAAGAACAAATGATAAAAATATTTTGATAGATGCAGAAAAAGCATTTGAAAAAACTCAACACTGTTTTCTGATAAAAACTCATCAAACTGGGAATAGAAGGAAATTACCTAAAGAAGGAAATATTCTTTAGAAGGAATAGAAAGAAATAAAGACCATATGCTAAAAGTTCAAAGCTAATATTATAATCAAGGTTGAAAAACCAAAAGCATTTCCACTAAGATCAGCAACAAGACAAGGATGCTCATTCATGCTACTTTATTCAACATAGTGCTGAAAGTCATAGAGACATTAATCAAGAGAGAGAAATAAAAGGCATCAAAGTTGGAAATGAAATAGTAAGATTATCTGTGTTCACAGATATGATCTTATATGTAGAAAACCCTAAGGATTCCCCCAAAAAAGCAAACTGTGAAGAACTATGAAAAACATTCAGCAAACTTACAGGATTCCAAATCAACAAACAAAAATTCGTTGTGTTCTTATAACACAAAAATATTAACTACCTGGAAGGGAAATTAAGAAAACAATTTCATTTAAAGTAACATCCAAAAAAATGAAATACTTAGGAATAAACTGAAGAGGGTAAAAGACTAGTACAGACTAGTTTTGAAAACTATAAAACATTGCTTAAAAAAATTTAGGAAGACACAAATAACTGTAAAGACATCTCATGTTTATGGATTGAAAGAATTAATATTATTGAATGTCTGTATTCCCCCAAAGCAACATACAGATTCAGTGCAGTTCCTCTTAAAATCCCAGTGGCTGCTTTGCAGAAATAGGAAAAAACAATCCTAAAATTTGTATGGAACCACAGAAGACCCTGAGTAGCCAAAACCACCATGAGAAAGAACAAATCTAGGGAACTCACACTTTCTGAATTCAAAACAAATTGCCAAGCTGCAGTAATCAAAACAGTATGGTACTGGCATAAAGACAGACATTATAGGCCAATAGAACAGAATAGAGAACCCAGAAATAAACCCAAGCATATACAGGCAAATGTTCTTTGACAAGGGTGCCAAGACTGTACAATGTGGAAAGGATAGTCTCTCCAACAGATAGTGCTAGGAGAACTGGCTATCCACACACAAAAGAATGAAATTGGACCCTTATCTTGGAACATATACAAAAATCAACTCAAAATAGATTAGAAACTTAAATGTGAGACTTGAAACTATAAAACTTTTTTAAAAAATAGGGAAAAGTCCTCTAAAATTGATTTTGGCAGTTGTTTCCTGGATATAGCATGAAAAGCATAGACCGCCCCCCCCCAAAAAAAGCAAAAATAACAGATGCACAAAGGGGACTATGTTAAATGAAAAAGCTTCTGCTCAGCAAAGGAAACAATCAACGGAGTAAAAAGACAACTTACAGAATGGGAAAAAATATTTGCAAACCATATGTCTGATAAAAATGGGCTAAAGACTTATCCAAACATTTCTCCAAAAAAGGTATACAAATGGCCAATATGTATAAGGAAAAGATGCTCAACATCACTAATCACCAGGGAAATGCAATTCAAAATCACAATGAGATAACCCCTCACACGTGTCAGAATGGCCACTGTCAAAAAAAAAAAAACTGAAAAATACCAAGTTTTTTTGAGGATGTAGACAAAGTGGGACCTTTGTACACTGTTGGTGGAAATGTAAAATGGTGTAGTCACTATGGAAAACAGTATGAAGTTCTTTAAAAATTTAAAAATAGACCAGGGACGGTGGCTCACGCCTGTAATCCCAGCATTTGGGGAGGCCAAGGCGAGCAGATCATGAGGTCAGGAGATAGAGACCATTCTGGCTAACACGGTGAAACCCCGTCTACTAAAAATGCAAAAAATTAGCCGGGCGTGGTGGCAGGCACCTGTAATCCCAGCTACTTGGGAGGCTGAGGCAGGAGAATGGTGTGAACCCGGGAGGCAGAGCTTGCAGTGAGGCGAGATCAAGCCTCTGCACTCCAGCCTAGATGACAGAACGAGACTCCAGCTCAAAAAAAAAAAAAAAAAAAAAAAAAATTTAAAAATAGAACTACCATATGATCCATTAATCTTTCTTCTGGATATTTATCCAAAAGAATTGAAGTCACTGTATTGAAAAGATATTCCCATGTTGCAGCATTCACAATAGCAAAGAGATGGAGACAACCTAAATGTCCATTGATGGGCAAATGGGTAAAGAAAACGTGGTGTGTACATACAGTGGAATATTACTTGACCACAAAAAAAAAAAAAGGAAATCTTGTCATTTGCTACAACATGGATTGGCCTGAGGACATTATGCTAAGTGAAAATAATCTAGTCACAAAAAGATAAATGCTGCATGATTCCACTTATATGAGGTATCCGTGGTGGTCAAACTCAAAGGAATGGAAAGTAGAATGGTGGTTCCCAGGGGCTGGAACAACGGCGAATTGGAAATCTGCTATTCTGTGGGTATAAAATTTCTGTTACGCAAGGTGAAAAAGTTCTAGAAATCTGCTGTATAACATTGTGCTTGTGGTTAATAATGTACTATACATTTAAATTTTTGTTAATAGGATACATTTCATGTTGTGCACTTTTCATAAAAATAAAGAGAAATTAGTGTTAAGCCTTCAAAGCCATGGGAGAAAAAAAAGACGAAGAGACTAAGAGGATTTAGGACATATCATTCTGTGCGCATTGTGTCCCTACCATTGTAGTTGGTTTTGAGAAACCTGGTGGTATTTCACAAGAGTGGCTACATGGAAACATAGAAGGATCTTTTTGAAAATTTACTTAAAAGTAGACAGAGAATTTGGTTCAGGTAGGGAAGAGAATACAAAATGCTCCAACTTCACCACTGCTTAGCTGCCCCCAGCCCCTTTGTAGGAAATCAGCATCAGATTTCCAAACAAAAACGTTTTAAGGCATTAGTCCCAGTAAAGGTAACACTCAGCAAATACCTGGTTGTGCCAAGTCATTCGACAAAATTCCAAGCATGGCTTATGGTGATAACATCCTTTCCACAGTTAAGTCTGGTTGTATAATGGGGTGAGGGGTAGATTTGCCTCATTTTACTCAGGGACAGACAGAATCAATATCTTTCTTGCTCTTTTACTCTCTCGTGATTTCTCTCCTGCTTTCTTTTAATTAGCTAACAGAGAAATGTGCATTTGTACATTACCTTTCTTGTAGGCAGAGTATTACTGGTAGTTTTCAGAGCCCTAACTGGATAGCTTGGTGCGTGTTCATTTGAAGAAACTTTTGCAACCCAGCTGTGATCTTGTCATAAATTTGATCCTGTTCCTGTGTCCTTGTCATTGATGTGTATGCCATGGTTGTGGTTGTATCAGTCACCATCCTGGACACTTAAGAATAAATCTAGTCAATTCCCAAAACGTTTCTCTTTTTGAATTTGCACTCCAGTTAGTTTAGGTGATGCTTTTATTTGCCTTTTTGACTCTACAGCAAACTTCTTACGACTTGATCTGTCTCAGTCACCTCCGCATCCCCAGAATACAAAGCAATGCCAGGCACATGTAACGTGTACAGTAAATATTTTTTGAATGGGTGCATGGCTAAATTGACTTTTCTTAATTTTTTTATTAGATGAAGAAATCATTTGACTTTAAATTTGGGTTCTCTAAGAAAAAGCCAGAAATTGCATTTTTAAGGAAGATATTGTATTATGCTTAATTGCCTTTTTTTTTTGCTTTTCCTTTCATATAAAAAATTACTGAGTACCTTCTCTATTTCTGTTTAAAACTCCTAAAATTCTGTATGCCTCAAGAATCTTTCTAAGGCGAATATTGACATGCTTAAACATATTGACTGAAAAATGAGATTTTTTTCCTTTACATCTTGATTAATACTTAGTATTTACTATCTTTTAGGTCTAATCGTTATATGAAAGTAGCCATTCTGAACAGGTAAAGGAAAAAAATATCTGGCAATAATTGATTCAAGATCGATTAATCAACAGGTAGTTAGACAATTAGGCAGTTAGATCATCTTTATTGGAACAAACTATTGTTGTCCCTTACTTTTCAACCAGCAAGCAACTCAGCTATTACAGTAATAATACAAATGTAGATGTTTGTTACTGTTTAGTCTTGTCTTCACAGTAGTTTGGCAATTCTGTAAGTACCTAGGTGGGAAGGAAAGCACAGCTGTTCAGCCTAGTTTGTATTTTAACCAGCAAAGCACATTAAAAACATTTGTAAGATTTGTGTTTTGTGGGTGCTTCTCTTTTATTTTTGTAGCCCTGCCACATGAGAGGAAAGAGAGTTTTTTTCCCTTAGTGGCAGCTTCGTGATATGTTACCAGGGAGCTGATTTGGTTTACTAGTTGTAGAGAAACACAAAACTATGTAGACTTCTCCATGGAATATTCATAAAGGTTGAAATAACTGGCAATGAGGTATGTGGAGTTTCTATGAAGATTGTAAAAATACATAGTATTATAAAAAATAATTTTAAGGCCAAGTGTGGTGGCTCACACCTATAATCCCAATAATTTGGGAGACCAAGGTGGGAGGATGGCTTGGGCCCAGGAGTGTAAGAGCAGCATTGGCAATATAGTGAGACCTCACCTCTACAAAACATCAAAAAAATAAAAATTAGCCAAGCATGGTGGCCTGCACCTATAGTGCTTGCTACTCGTGAGGGTGCAAGGATCCCTTGAGCCCAGGAGTTCAAAATTACAGTGAGCTGTGATTGCGTCACTCTACTCCAGCCTGTGTGACGGCGCTGGATACTATCTCAAAAATTAATTGATTAATTTAAAACTAGAGCTTTGTGTGCAAGGTATTATATTGTTTATATTAATAATAACAAATAGGAAGTAACCTCTCTGAAACAGAAAATCTTTAAATAAATATATGTCAAGAACTATATTAAGTGCTTTTCATATAGTCATTTAATTTCTAAAATAAATGTATAGGCCAGGTGCAATGACTAATGCCTGTAACCCCAGCACTTTGGAAGGCTGAAATGGAAGAATCACTTGAATTTAGGGTTTGGGATCAGATCAGCCTGGGCAATGAAGTTTTTATGGAGACCTTGTCTCTATAAAAAAATTTAAAAATTAGCTGGGTGTGGTGGCGCCTGCCTGTGATCCCAGCTACTCTGAAGGCTGAGGCAGGAGAATCACTTAAACCCAGGAGGTCAAGGCTGAGACAAACTCTGATCACACCACTGCACTCCAGCCTAGGTGACAGAGCTAGACCTTCTCTCAAAATAAAATATAGACTAAATATAGTCAGCCCTTCATGATGAGGAAATCAATTCATAGAGGTTATCACTTTACCAAGGCCATATCACTGGTGGCTGACTCAGCTGTTCATGCTTTTTCCCCTAAATCACTCAGAAGATGACATTACTAAAAAGATTGGAGGCTATGAAGTGACTTCACCAGTAGCAACATGAAAATATTCCAGTGATAAGTGAAAAAGATGGATACCACATTCTGTACATCTTGATGCTGGTATAACTTTGTACTTGAGTAAAATGATCACAGTAACATATAAAGATTTAGCGTTTGTATTAGGCTGATGGAATTTTGTGTGTTTGTTTTGTAAAACGTCTGTCATTGTGTAAGATGTCTATAATTGTGCATAAGTTACTTCCCAATTAAGTATTATTTAAAGAGTGCATGCAGCATCAATTTAGTTCATCAATCAGTGTATCTAAAAAAATTTAATGTTTTTGGTGTGCGTCCTGAAAGACTGCATGGTCATTTGAGCTTGTATTCTTTTTTTTTTTTTTCTAATTTTAGATCATCAAATTGTTGGATGGAAAACGATCTCAAACTGTGGGAATCTTGATATCTAGTTTACATTTAGAAATGAAGGATATCCAACAGGGTAAGTCTTTTCTATCACTTTTGTTTTACTTTTTCCATTTTTTAAAAAACATTTCATTCTGAAGAATGTCAAACACATACAAAGTTAGAATGCCCTAATGAATCCTATATACCCAATACTCAGCTACAGAACCATCAACTCACTCTTGTTTTATCTGAAAATGCCCCCCTCTCACCAAGTAGGTTATGAAGCAAATTTCAGATGCTTTATAAGTCATCTGTTAAAAATGTTAGTACTATTGCTAAAAAATAAGGATACTTTATTTATTTATTTGTTTTACAGGTGGGGTTTTGCCATGTTGCCCAGGCTGGTCTCAAACTCCTGGGCTCATGCAATCTGCCCACCTTGGCCTCCCAAAGTACTGAGATTACAGGCATGAGCCACTGCGCCCGGCCCAGGGGTACTTTTCCAAACAATACTCCACCCAGTGCCATTATCCTTCCTTCAAAGACATTAATCGTAGTTACTCAGTATCATCACATAAGTGGTTCTAATGTCCCTGTTGTTTGTATACTCATTAATTCATCCATTCATTTATAGTTAGTTTAAATGAGGATCCAGACAAATTCCATGCATTGCCTTTGACGTGTCTCTCAAGTTTATTTTAATCTAGAAGTTTCTACCCTCCATTTTTTCCCCTTTTGTAATTTACTTGTTGAAGAAACCAGGTCACTTGTCTTGTAGACTTCCCCACATTTTAGGTTTTGCTGATGATGCTGCTATGTTTTTATTTATCATGTTCCCCTGTCCCCTGTTTTCTATAAACTGTCTGATCTAGAGACTTAATCTGAGTGGAAGAATACATCATAGATGCTATTATGTTTTCTATCAAGAAGTGCATAATATTTAGTTATCTGTGATGTTAGTGAGCACTTATTATCTTTGCCTGGATTTATTATTTCAATAGAAGTTTTCAAAATAATGATGTACTAATTCCATCATTTCTTCTTTATTAGCTGGAATACTTCTAGGGAGGAATACTTTCCTTCATTTGGTTACGTCATTGTTTCTTCATCCTTTCGTTTTCAAAATGTTGTTATTTCTATTTGGTTATCTTTGGCTCAATTTTAGATAAAAGACATTTAAAGAGAAGAGATTTTGTGTGCACATATTTTTTATTAGTATCTAGAAAAGTAGACCAGAACACATGATACCTTTTCAAAATCTGTGTCTCGCATGAAAACAATACTCCCCTTTCTCACTAATTAATTAAATGTAAATCTTTGGGGGTTTTTTTGGTTTTTGGTTTGGTTTGTTTTGAGACGGAGTTTTGCTCTTATTGCCCAGGCTGGAGTGCAGTGGCGTGATCTCGGCTCACCGCAACCTCTGCCTCCCGGATTCAAGTGATTCTCCTGCCTCAGCCTCCCAAGTACCTGGGATTACAGGCATACGCCATAACATACAGCTAATTTTTTAAGTAGAGATGGGGCTTCTCCATGTTGGTCAGACTGGTCTCGAACTCCTGACCTCAGATCATCCACCCGCCTTGGCCTCCCAAAGTGCTGGGATTACAGGCGTGAGCCACTATGCCCAGCAAATGTAAATCTTTATATTGACATTTCACTTATATTTGCTGAGTGATAATACAATCTCTTAGATGGTTTCAGTAGAATTTAGTATGAGTTTCACAGTGGAAACATCTGACACCACACGGCCCTTTAGGTTTCAGTTCATGTTGTTTAGTTGTTTGACTTTGCTACTCAGCAGAATACCCATAGGTCCTGACCTACAAGACACTTAAGTTACTTTCACATCACCTGCTACTTTTCCATTCAAGGGAGCATTGTTAGGGACTTAAAATTTCGCTACATTACAAAAATTAAAAATTCCACAAAAAACTAAAACATCTTAAATGATAATCACAGAGCATTCAGATAAGCTGTATCGTATTTAAGCTCATTAACAGAGCTGAATACATAAGTGTGAATATGAAACCTCAGATACAGTGAGTTTGGCAGAGGGTGGCTAAATAGGCCTGTCATTGAAATTAGAATGGGATTCTTCAGGGACTTTAGAAGAATCTCAAGTTAGATCTTCCAGAAGAATTGAGTTTCTGAAAAATTCACATCAGAAGAATGTGATGTTAGAGCAGAGGGAAAAAAAGAAAAACAAAAACAAATGTTTTCAGGGGAGTTTATAGTCTTTTGGTAAAGGACTGACTGTTTTGAAGCAGTTATTGAAGTTAGGGATTCTTCAGGTATCACAGAACGGTCTTGACAGTGGTCTCCATGAGCCTGGTGAAACTCAAGTGTGCTTGATTTCATCACCATGATGTGTAACGCTGTGGATGTGAGTTTTCACAATGTCCATATAACCTTAGACTATATTCCGTTTGTTTTAAGCATGTCCTACTGCAGTGCGTCAGATTTCCCCATGGATAGAAGTCATTCCAGCCATGTGATAGTCCAGTTACCAGCTCAGGACTGTAAACTTTCCCATGGCATTCTAGCCTTATTAGATTGAATGTTTACTGTGAGTTTGAAAAGATATTTGTCGATCCAGACCTTTTCCAATGTTATACTCTAGATAAGAACATGCTTCTGTGAAGCGTACGTGAACTTTCATTTCAGCGTCCGAATGTTGACTGTAGCATCACAGACTTCTAGTCCTTGTGGGAACTTTATTGTTCGTTTTCCTTCCTCAAGCACCTCTGTGATCCACCACAAAGTTGGCTCCTAAGTTCTAAAAAATCATCTCCATTCCATTTCTTCGTTTAGTAATGCATTCCAGATGAATATGGCGCTATAACTGGAGGTTAGTTTTCCTTTGGAGTCATTGACTGACACTGGCATCTGAAGGTCATTAGGAGCCCAGGCTGTATCAGTTATATTTCATTCTGAATTTGTGTGTGGAATGTACTTGGCCTTGTGTTGTCACCCTGGTGAAAGGACTCCCTGTGCTGATGTTGGCCTAAAAAGTTTATTTTAATGTGAGAGGGGCTATGGTTAGATATGACTGGAGGAGGCCAGCTGGCCGCCTGGCAAGATCTCACAGCCGACCAGCCCTGGTGAAATGACAATTCAGAGGGTGTTCTTCAGCCCTGTGGTCGTATATTCACCTTTAGCCATGCACAAAGCCCAGAGGGATTAACTCATACTTTCCAAACTCACAAGAAGCTGATGTATAAACCAGCAAGCCAGTATATTCACTTAGAGGAGAGTATTCCTTCTTACAACAACAACAAAAAAAATTGTCACATTTATTGATTGTTTTCTCCACATCATTTGCCTCTACCTGCCATTTTCCCCATTAAAATGTCATTTCCATCACTCTGTTTCGGCATATGCATAATAAGCACACGGTAAATATCTTTTTGAATGCAAAGAAACAGGCATAAACAGGTTTAGAGACAAAATACAGTACGTGATTCTTGGAAAACTCTACCATTAAGTTGATAGGAATAGAAGTACTTACAGGCCTTCTGGATAGCTTCAGGCATTCCAATTTTCCAAATGGCAATGACATTTCAATTTTTCTGAGATTGCAGCTTTGTCACCTTGATAACAGTTTTGTGTGTTTCAGTCTGCAATTGTCTCCCACAAATAGATCATGTGGCTTTTACTGGTTTGGCTGTTGAAGAGCAATCTTCTCTTCTTCTTTTGTAAGAGGAGCACTTCTCTGTGCTCTCCTTAACACAGCCTACACTCTCCATTCAGGAAGAGTTTTGCTTCTCTATACCTTAACATCTGACAGGTAACAAGGAGCAGGGCTAGTGTTCATTCCTTTATGCATTTCTTTGCCAGGAATTTCTATGGTGATTAAGCATTGTTTGCAAATAACTGGGCTAATGTGTCATGCATAAAAGTCATATATTCAAGTGTTCGTTGAATTTAATTCAATTTTTAAAAAATACAGACTTAATCTTAAACTAGATAGGATCAGAATGCCATGTATTCTATTCCAGTGCACTTGGACAAAACTGCCTGCTTGCCTGCCTTCTTTCCTTCCATAAAACTGTATAGAGTGCCAGCTCCGCATCAGGTGTCATGACTACAACAGCACATAAGATCAGGCTCTAACATCCTCAGGCACACCCAGGATGGTGGGAGAGATGTAAAGCAGCCCAACATTATAGTAGAATTGGCTATGAAATAACAGAGCAGTATCTTGACTCTTCCTGTAAAAGTTAAGATTAAGTCTGAGAGGATGAAATAGTGGTCATCACACAGAGATGGAGCTTTTCCAATTGAGGAAAGAGCATGAAACAAAACGTGAAAAACAGACATGTAATCCCTGACTTCGGGAGGCCAAGGCAGGTGGATTGCTTGAGCCCAGGAGTTCGAGACCAACCTGGCCAACATGGCGAAACCCCATCTCTACAAAAAACACAAAAATTAGCCAGGCATGGTGGTGGCACAAACTTGTAATCCCAGCTACTTGGGAGGCTGAGGTGGGAGAATTGCTTGAGCGTAGGAGGTGGAGGTTGCCGAGATCACGCCACTGTACTCCAGCCTGGGCAACAGAGCAAGACTCTTATCTCGAAAAAAAAAAAAAGAAAAAAAAGACACAGCTGGAGTATATAGATTGTATATATGAATGTGGGTTGTTTTAAGGTAGAAGGCAAGAAACACAAGCAGCATCCAGACCAGGAAGATCATGAATAGCATCACAAGAAATGTTTATATTATTGCATCAGTAATGGGGACAAGAAATCTAAGAAGGGCCATGTTGTGATCTGATTTTGAATGCAGCAATATCTATCACACTGTTCATGGAAGACTGGCCTCTAATGTTTTCCATGCTTGGCCAAAACATAGATCTCTTATTTCACTTTGTCCCACCTGCATCTCATCTCACTGCACTCTAGCCAACTACAGTGGTCTTTGATTTCTTACAGAGGCCAAGTACTTTTCTTACTCTTTGTCATTGCATGCACAACACATTTTGAATGAACAGTTCTGCACGCTCCCTCTGTTTGAAACGCTTTTCCACCCCACTCTCTATGTAGCTAGGTGTTTTTCTTTAGGTTTCAGCTTAAATGTCACCTCCTAGGAGAGCCTGCCTAGGTCCTCCCACCCTAATACAGGTCATCCTAATTTAATACTCTTATTTCCTTCACAGCAACTAATATTTTATTTGTTCATCTACTTATGTTTTTATTTACATCTACCACGAGAATATAAGCTCTGAGAAGGAGACTGCTCACTGATGTATCCCCAGCACCTTGCACCTGTGTCTGGCACCCAGGTGATGATCATGAAGTGCCTGTTGAATGAATAAAGAAAAATAGGACTGAAGGTGGAGAAATCCTTTAGAAGGGATTGTGTTTGTTCAGATGATAAATGACAAAGGTCAGAACTGAAGCTATGTCTATAGAAATGTAGAGAAGAGACCACGTATGAGGGATATTTGGAGAGAGAATTGCTACGGTTGCTCACATCAGATGCAAGGAGTAATACAGAAGACTTTTGGCTGTACCTTGGGTTTCTGGCTTCAGCAGGAATGTGTATAATGGTGCCCCAAGCCAGAAACTGAAAACACAGGTGCAGACGCAGGGCTTGAAGCATAAAGGTAAATTCTGTTTTGGATGATTTGAGTGTGAGATGAGTGGAAACATCTCAGCTAAAGTGTTCGGTGAGCATCTAAAAATCTACCTTTGTGCTAGTGGTAAGCGGATAGGGCTAGGTTAGACATAACATACTCCCAAAAGTAACCTTTATCCCTTTATTTCTACCCAAGATAGTGTTTGATGTCTTGTAAAAGAAAGCCAAATCCATATGCTGGCTGAAGTGAAAACACTGAATCACTAAAGGAAAAGCCTTGGTTGTAGAGGAAGAATGGTTTCAGGAGGGTGACCATAATACCAAAAGCACTTGCATTTGGTCCAGGAGAGACTCTGAATAAGTAATCTACTTACTGCTGGTTTTCCATCTGCTAGATAGGATGACTTATATTTAAAAGCATTTGGCATCCTTGGTCACAGTGACTGCCTACATGATTGCAAATTAGTGTTTTCATTCCATGTTAGTGAGTTCCTCTTATTCTTGTCCCAGGGGAGATAGAAAATTGCTGTTGACTATTCTTGATATAAACGTTCATATGCATTGCAACAGACTAGATGCCAGAAACCTCCTGGCATTCATTTGGAATTTCCCATACACGCAGAATTAATATTTATAATATTTAAATAACATCAAGATAAAACATCCTTTATTTAGTTCTTACTAGTTCAGAACGTCAGTTTGAGAGATCAGCTGCAACATTGGCTTTCTTTCTGTTTGGGAATCTCAGTTCAAAGTGTACAAAAGGGATGTCAGCTATGTGCTCAGAGTCTAAAACCCAGGTCTGAGAATGCCCGCTGGACCTTGTTTCCTTTTGCCTTAATAATTGCCAGAAATCTTTGTCAAAGTTTATGCAAGTTGTCTAAAACGTAATGAATTTGACCAGGCATCTGAAATCCAACATAACTTATCTAGGACTTTCCTGAGGAACAATCTCAGTCTAGCCTAGAAGAGTGTCTACTCAAAAGGCTTTTGGTCTTCAGAATTTTTTTATCGTGCACCCCAACAGTAAAAAGTTTGAGTGCATGTTTCTCAAGGTCTATTTTCTAAAATATAAGTGTAGGACATAACTAATATGCATGTTATAAAATATATGCAAAAAATATGAATTAAAATAAGATTAGTAATATTTTTAAATGTCTTGCTAATTTTGATGGCTTTGGGTTCTTATGAGCCTGATATCTCAAGGCTCAATATGCGATTACAATGAGTCTCATTATTAACAGTAATGAAGTTAAACCCACATTTTAAGTAGCCTTAGTGATAAATTCTGTTTATGGGGATCAACTTCTTGGCGGGTGCCATTTGGCTATCCTTGTTTTTACCCACTTCCATAACTGATGAAGAGTTTGTACTAGCAACCAAAGTGTCTGCTCTACCATTTTCCTATTGTTGATGGATTATCTTAAATCTGGGGTTTCACTGCAGGAGGCTTTTGAAGCCAACTTGTTTATTTTGTGAAGTTTAGTTAAAACCAGATTTTAGAATAAGAAAACTTCATTTAATACCCCCCCCATCACAATATGTTGAAAGCAAAGGAACAAGTGAGCATGCCACGTCTGAAAGAGTTTATCCACCAAAAGTGCCATGTGACCCTGACCTGCTGACATACAGACTAAATAAATGGGCAGTTTCAATTAACTTATTAAATATAGGTAGAGCTAAATTTTTTAAAATGTTAGATAAATATAAGTAGTCACTCTAATATTTTCCTTTCCTTTTCCACCTTTTCCTCCTTCCTGCTGTGTCTAAAACACCTAAGCAGCGGGGCTCCCACCTACCCTTTCTAAACCATTCTGCATTCCTTCACTCGCAGAGCTGAGTCCAGAAAGCAGAGGGTGGCATTTCTTTGTACTTTACCTTCAGGCAACTGGCTGAGACCATCCAATCTGCCTGGAATGTAATTTTGGCTTAAAAGAACCAGAACTAATGGACGAACAGAAGCAGCTTAACCCAAACTGTTTCTCATTCCACTGCCCTCTGGAGAATAGAGGGGATATAGAAGGGGAAGTTTTGTGAATTCTATGCCCTGTGCCCTTCTTTGAGGTTTGAACCATGGACAATCTTAATTGCGCCTGTAAAAGGAGACCTTGGGCAACTTGAGGCATAGTACATGCCTGGACTTAGGAGACAATTTGGATTTTTGCTTTATGAGATTGAGTGATTTTGAAGTTTTGTAATAGATTAGATAAGTATCCCTTTTGCGATTGTCCATTTCTTCCACCACCCAGGCAGCTCCTGTTCACTGTGTGTTTTATACTTGTCTCTTACTCCATCAGAGCCCAGGTTAACATGACACAATAGCAGGCATTTAGCAATTTAGATAAGATTATAAACTATACTATAGTCTCTTGATTTTTTTTTTATCTGTTTGGATGCAACTTTTGTTTGTGTTTCTTCGTGTGCTGTGTGCCTTAGTTTTCCTTGTTAGTCAGTTTTGGCATGCAGTGTAAAATTACAATTATTGTTATATACTCAAGAAAATTAGACTTTATGTTACTAGAGATTTTATTTTCTTCTTATTTAAGGTAAGGTATTTTCAAGTTCCAGGTTTCTTTTTTTTTTAAAGAAATTCTGTCTGCTGTGCCTTAGCTGCAATATTGATTATTTTTGAAGAACTGCAAATAGTTTGTAACAAAGATTAAAGCTTAATCATTTCATTGCATATGTTGCAATAGCGTATTAGAAGTGAACCATGTATTAGCATGAATTAAATAATGGTGGAACTATGAATGTATATACTAAATAAATGAAATTTTCATAACATGGGCTGTATGTGCTTCCCACTCTGGGATTGCTGATCAATGTAAAAAGCATATGATGCCATTTAGAGACCCTGGTTTCTTTGTAGCCTTTTGTGGGTAGTTTGTTCTTAATTGGTTAATTCATTGAAACTTTTTTTAGATGGTAAGGATTTTAAGTGGAATGATTATTTATAGCCTGACATCTATGAAAATGAAGTACAATCTTTGTCCAGTAAATTACCACTGCCTTGGAGGATAGTTGGGGTGGTTGTCGAATTGAGCTTGGGAAACCAAGCAGTGTGACTTTGTGCCTTAGTTTCATCATCTGTAAAACTAGAAACAACAAACGCACCCGCCTCATATGATTAAATACAAAACACTTAGAACAATGCCTGGTACAGAGGAAGCTGCCAATAAATTCTATCAGTTATTAAGTATTAATCCCCAATAAAGTCTGCCTGCTGTCCTCACCCTGTGGTGGAGTGGACAGAGATTCTTTTAAGCTGCTACTTAATTGGTGCCCTTAAGCGTCTCATTTGGATACTTGCATAGAGTGAGGATTTGTGCATATCTGGGTTTGCACAGGTAGGCCTGGTGCTTATTGGAGGTGGAACCTAGTGTCCAGTAGGAGAAACACAAGGTATAGGTTGTAGGAGAACTATGACCATTTTGAAGAGGCTTGTTACAGAGCTCTTCAGCGGGAGCAGATCTGTACGGTCCCCTGGCCTTGCCTCCGAGTGGTCCTTCCACGCTCCACACCCCTCTCTACTGGCTCCCCTTCTTTCCACTTCTTGCAGTTTTTTTCATAGACTTGGTGTTTGCTCTCAAGGATGACCTCATTGTTGGGAGGGAAAACTGTGGGAAGATGTTTCTGCCTTCCCTTTCCTCAACTCTCAGATTGTACTACTGCCTCTTCCCATGAACCCCATGTTATCGTTGCCTTTGTAGAGGTCACGGAGTAGGTTTGTCAGAGTTTTGTGGGATATAGGTGACATGAGAGTTTCAAAAAACCAAGTCCTTCTATATTTCTTTCCCTGCTCTGTTCTCTTTCTCTTACTGATTGAATTTCTGTCGAGTTCTGAAAAATACCAGTATTTTGGGCAAAGCAGCTAAGTTTTATTTTGGCTGTTGCAGAGTTAACATTGTAAACAAAATAATTTCTGCTAATAGAGTCAAGTAATCCTATCAAACTTTGCTTTCCTGGGCTGGACCAGACTATATCTAGTCCATTTGCAAAACATTATTACATACCCGCTTTGTGCAAGAGGCTTACATCAGTCACTTAAGGAAATAAAAAGAAGAATAAAACAGGCTACGTACAAATCATTCTCAAAACCACCGTCAGCCGAAACCTGGTGAGCCAACCCAACCCTACCTACCTGTGGCATCTCCCACACTTCGGATGACCAGATTTACTTTGGCTAATCTTAACAGACTATACAAGGTATGCCTTTCTCACCACCGTGTCCCATGCTTCTTGCTCAGAGGTGCTCCCTCAGTCAAAGAGAACAACTCCCTTAAATAACTCTGCCTGTCTTTTTACTCATTAGAAGCCCTTCGAACAGCAAGTGCATTCTTTGTTTATATGGGCATGGTACACTTGGAGAGAGAAGTGTTCAGGGTTGAAAAATGGCTGGAGAGCTGAGAGAATCCTGCATGTTCTTTCTACTTAACCCTGGTCTTGTGAAAAGCCATCTCTTACCCGGAGGGGGAATTTTCCCTGTTGTATGAGACCCTGACCCCTTGCATGTGCCCTAAAGCAGGCACATAGTTTTTATGTGTGCCTGTTAGTTTGAATTTGTGATACTGATCTGCTTTTTGTCCCTGCTGACGGTTATTATATCTTAATGGGCGAAACACTACTCTAATGATCCTTGTGTATATAATTCTTGTGGTACAGAGCAGGCACCAGAGGACCACATAAAAATGTTTGCCTCAATTTCCCTGCAAAAAAGAAGCCCAGAAACCAGACTTGACCAAGTAACAGATTTTTAAAGGTAAAGGAATCTAATAAAATTACCAGCTTTTCACAGCGTGTGTCTACTTCCTTTTGACATATTGTGAGGTGTAGGTGAAATATTCTAACCGAACTGACAGTGTGAGTGGGACAACTAAGGAGGGAAGGAGATAAAAGTAAAAACCACCAGCAGTGATTGATATTGCAGTAGCAATGAGCTGTTGGGGTCTCCCCTTTGTGGACTTGACACTTCACCTTTCTGACACCATCTGCAGGAGTGTTAGTATAATGAGACCTATACAGATGGAAACAAAAGTAGGATTACTTGGAATTACTGTATCAGAGCTTTGAGGCTTGCTGTAAAATTGCATAGGCTTGTATTTGTTGGTTCAGTTTATGAGCGGTGTGCCTGTGTGCACACACATGCGTGGAAGAGACAGAGACAGAAAGTGAGTGTTTTCAAAGTATAAAATGGAGGGAGCGATCTGATCTTGGGTGACGCCGAAAATAGTTTAGTTGAAGACTGACTTCTTTCCACATTGTGATCATTATGATTACAAATTAGTTAACTAATTAATTGGGCTTATGTAATGGCTAATAAGTTTAATGGTAAGTGCTTGCAAGAATGACTTAATCGGAGAGCATTCATTGATTCTCTAATACGTTGTTCCAGTATTTTGAGAATAGAATTATCAGGTGTGGATTCTGGCTCTCTAGGAACCTAAACTATATTTGGTGACTAAGACATGGGATTATGTACATGTAAGGCAGTTCTCTTAGGCATCCTAGGACTTGGTAGGCCTTTTTATTTTTCAGACTTCTGGCTGATACCCTAACCTTCCCAGGCCAATATTATTAGAAATAATACAACTAATTTAATCTCCATAAGTTCTAGGCTCAGTATCAATCTCTTGATATTGCTTCTGCTACCTCTGAATTTTCTTTTACTTTTTAGATTTTATTTTTAAGATCCTTCCGTGGAAGAGGAGAAACTTCAGTGGAATACTTGGCATTGGCCCTAAGTTCATCTGTTTATCTACTTCTTTTACCTGTCCTTTCCTCTCTACTCCATTCCTTTCCCAGTCCCTGGGGGACAGATCAGTAGTCATGCTCACCTCTTAGACTCCTCTGCCTGTTTCTGGGGGGATGGTACAAAGCTCTTCCCCTAAACCTAGGCTCAAAGCCTCAGAGTGGTTTCAGGCTAAGTCCCCAGAGCTAGTTAGCAATGTCACTATAATAGTGCTCTGTAGTGTCTTTCTTTTTTGCCCTATCCTTTCTGTCCACACTATTCAAGTTTTTGCTACCTCTTGCCCATTACAATAGATTCTAAATTAGTCTTTTCAAATTTTGACTTTTTGTGTGTGTAATATAATTTTGTCCAATTTACTCCTCCATTCATAACTGCTCAACAGCTCTCTCCTGTATAACAAGTGTATTACAGGTTCATCGTGGCATTCAAAATTCTACAAGGTTTTACCCCAAACTATGTTTGGAGTGTATCTTTCTAGTCCCTTTAATTAAGTCTCTCTTCAAACCAAAATTGAACTACCTGCCATTGCCTAAACATTTTGTGAGCCTATTATCTGCTGCTTCTAGCTGGAATGTTTTGTATCCTTCCAGTTTACGTTCACTGGCACGTATTGCATACTTACAAATTGTCATTGCATGGATGAATTTAGCTTAATTATTGGTGATTAATAGATTAGTGTTTTCAGTGTCTGCCTAAAGCAATATAATAGTTGAACTTTTACTCAACATTTTTCCTAAGGAGATACAGCTATTTAAAACTTTTTTGAATAAGGAAAGATATTTTCCTTATTCATTCCCTAATAATGAGAAAACTCATCTTTGAAGTTAATTATTTTTGTTAGGGAGTATTCAGGCAAGCGGTATAATCTACACCGAGTGTGTGAGTTGGGGGCACAATTATGTAACTGCTGGCCAAACCTTGATTTTTGGACAGGGTCAAATTGGGAAGAAGCAAACAACCATGATTCAGATACATGCCTTATAAGGCTGTGCCCCTTTAGAGGCTCTCTGGTTTCTTTTTAAGACCCTATGTTCTCTTTGTCAAGAAGCTTTTCCTCCCATCAGCAGGACTCAGTCTTCAGGAGTCGTATGGTATAATTATACCCACAAACATCTATGTTATACATGCTACACCCCTGGTACCATGCTGGGAGACAGTTATCAAGATGCTTAAGAAATCAACTGCTGACTGCAAGGCTTTCACAGTCTACTGGGAGAAGGAAACAGTTATGCAACATACCACAGATTCTTAAAGTATACCATCTTCACCTTATGTAAAATATGAGAGAGGTACCATGGCAGAGGAAAAGATTGAGGACTTAATGATGTGAGGGTCAAAGGATGTCCTTCCAGGGCTTTGACCTCTGTGCCATGGAGAGATGAAGAAAGGGAGGAAGCCATGGCATGTTCAGGAATGGGGAAGGACACAGGGTGACTGGAACCCATGGTGCATGGAGAACATGGTAGGAGATGAGTTTGGAAGTGTAATTGAGGCGAGGCAGGGAATGAGCTTAACAACCAGGCCAAGGAGTTTAGACTTCGCCGAGTGTTTAAAGGAAGATATTGGAGGTATGTTAAGCATCACAGTAAAATTTTGAAATCCATGTTTTTAAAAAGTAACCTTGGTACAATGAAGGATGGATTGATGAGAAATATTGAAATTATAGATAAAAATATGATAATACAGACTTGGAGGTACCTGGCATTTCCCTTAAGACACTTGATCCATTATTTTTTGTAATTAGAGTTCTGTGTCATAGACCTTTCCTGTTAATAATGCTTTCTGAAGTTGGGTCTTGAGTGGGGTTTTAAAGGACTGGAAGGGTTTCCTAGTAACCGCGATCAGAAACACCTAAGAATTCGGGAAGGTTGCATTTACAGCACAAATCACTCAGTAGTTGTAGTTTTCTTTCTCTAACTCTTTCCAGATGTTAAAGGGGATAAGGCATTAACAAGCATTAAAACACATTTACAATGTATATATTTGAAATCATGATAGTAATAGCTCATATATACCATTTTGGGCTTATACCATGTTCTACGTGCTATGCTAAGCATATATCTTACCTCACTTAATATTTTCACTAAGTGGTATTAGAGCTGTTTTATAGATATGCTGAAGCTCAGAAAATTTAACATGTCAGGATCACACAATGAGTAAATTTTGCTCTGTCCATGATAGTCACCTTGATTTTTTTTTTTCTATACCTTGAATGTGTTCCTTCAGAAAAAGAAACTTGTCTTTGCAGTTACCTCTCCCTGGGACGTTATTCTCCAAGATAGCCACAAAACTGATCTCTGCAGGTCTTCTCTTAAATGTCACCTCCCAAAGAAGCCTTCCTTGAGCCTTCTGTCTAATGTTGTACATTTCTCTGTTTTACTTTCTTCATAGTAAATTGTTATCTGAAATTATGTATTTACTTGTTTATTTTCTGTCCCCAGACTGGGATATAAATTTCATGAGATTAATTAAGTACTTTGCACTTCTAACTTAAAAATCCACAGTATTTAGAACAGATCCTGTACACATCCAACAAATACTTATTCAAGGGCTGGATGGAGGAATGAATGAATCCATGTCTTCAGAGCCCATGGTTGTTCTCAGTCCCAACCTCTCTGGGTGTTATTTTTCTGCTACTGAACACACTGGAAGGGGCACAGCTGACAATACCATCTGAGGAACTGTGTGCCTGGGCCCCAGACTGATTAACTTTTAAAAACTGAGTATTTACTTACTAGGAAAAGAAACTCACAGGTCATTCTCTTTCTCATTAGTTAAGATTATTTGATTATATCTAAGCTTGTAATATATAGTTACCCAGGATGCATGATTAGTTAACATGTAAACATTTTTGGTAGATTATTGTTTAGAATTTGACCTTTTCTTATGCGCTCATGTTGGTTGATTTTTGTGAGAGAATACTGAGATTTACATAAAATAGACATTGTTTCTGGCTATTTTGGTTTTCAACGCACTAGACATTTAAAAATGCCTGTTGTGTCTGACAAATTAGTGGATTTATGTGATCTCCACACACAAAATAACAGTCTTGAGAGGACAAATCCTTTCTTTCTGTCCTTAAACTGCATTTTTCTTTACTGGTTTCACATTGGCCTTTGTGGATGTGTGATGTTCCTTTGTCTTGGTGGAATCTGAGGTGACTTACTTTGACTCTAGCATATTAACCTCCTCTTTTCTCTCTGTTCCATGTATCTAGGAATAGCTTGCTGATTAACCCCTAAGTTTGAGAAGGTGG
Source organism: Homo sapiens (assembly GCF_000001405.40). Lineage (NCBI taxonomy): Eukaryota > Metazoa > Chordata > Mammalia > Primates > Hominidae > Homo > Homo sapiens. The sequence continues at coordinate 32,911,685 of NC_000015.10, read as the reverse complement.
CCTGCAAAGGAATTTTAAGTACATTTCTTGCTGTTCTGTGAGGTTCCATGATCTTAGCTCAGTTAATTTTAGCTTTGTTAAAATTGTATGAAAGGGTTCATGTGATTCTAAACCACAGAAGAAGCAAAATACCTCAAAAACAACCTGCCCCTTACCTTGGTCCCCACCTTCCCAAAAACCATGGTGTAATGCAAATGAACAGAATAAATAGTTGACGAGCAAAATTTTAAGGCATTCTAAGTATCACTGGTTGGTTTAATAAAATTAATTAGCCTGCCACGGAGAAAATTTACTAGCGTGCTGGTTAATTTCACAATGTAAAGTCAGGGAAGGGAGGTAGGGTTGAGGGAACAAACCTTATTAGTTTTGAATAATTATTTAAAGATGTGGACCTGCTTATTTCAAACACTTCGATAGCCAAATCCATTAAGGATTTTAAGTCTCAATTTTTGCATCCCAGTATCTATGGGAAGGTACCTCTCTAGATGAAATCATAAGCATATTAGTTAACGGCTAAATTAATCTTAAATAATACAGAACAAGTAGAATCCTAATAAAGCCATGGGAATGAGAGCCTGCCTGAAGACTGGCTCATGGGAGGTTTCCATAATCTTAATTTGCTATTGATGCAATTATTGTTTTTTCTTGTCTTTTTAATCCAAACAAGATGTTGGCAGTGGCCACGGAAAGGTGCCTGAAATCACATGCCTGAATTCATTTAATTTGCCAACATTGTCTTTTTTCTCTCTTTCTTTCTGGTAATGGGCAAGAGTCAGTTCTGGTGCATTAGGTACTAAATCTCTTCAATTACCATCGGGAAGAAAGATTTAAAATTGTGCTTCAAACCTACAAACTGATTTAGTTTTAAAGCACAAACACTTCTCCTGTGGAGCCTAAATTAAACTGCAGAAAGGACTCAGAGCCTGAGGAATTAAACAAGGCAGAGCCAAGGCTCAGGCCAATGATAGGAACCATTTTGGTTTCTTTCATTTGAGACCCCTGGTGCGAAAGGAAGGGGAGCAGAGAGGCACAGCTTGTGTAAGAAAACGCAATACTCTGTTAATTGCTTGGAAGCTGGATGTGGAGTAAACATTGGTGCAGGGGACCTAATCAAATCCCTTATCCTCTTTTCTTTTTGGGTGCTTGGCAGCCATTTTCAATGTGGATGACTCCGTGGTTGATCTGGAGACCCTGGCAGCCTTATATGAAAACGTGAGTGTCAAAGACTTACAGAGCTAGTATTTCCATATTTATCTTCTACCTGAGAAATGACTGAGCTGTTCATGTTCTTTGGTAGTAAGGGTTTTGACGTGGCCTGGAAGAGATTAAGGCATAGAAACACAAGCTTGAATGGGAGTGGATGTGAGAAGCACTAGATTCCTGACTCCCACTGTGGTATCTGGGCTAGCAGATCTCATTGCACACTTGCAAGGCAGGGCATCTCAGGTGGACACCATTTACGTGCCCTGGAACCCAGTCCTGTCACTTGCTGGCCAAGTGAATGAAGGTAAGCTGCCTACTGAAATGATAGCGTGCACTGGTGTCTACTTCTGAAGAATGGGACTGCTAATACCAGCTTGGATGATTACTCTTAGTCCAAATGAGTTGATGATATTGAATGTGGGAAGGTGTGTAGAATGGTAGGTATGTGTTTTGGATTTAGAATGAGACAGTCTTAGGTTTGAGGTCCAGCTGTGTCTACCATTGCCTGCTAAGTGACCTTGGGCTAGTTACTTAAACTTCTTAATCCCGTTGTGATCATCAGTATAGCGGGGATTATAGTAGGCTCTGATTTTTTTTTTTTAGTCAAATGAGGATTTAATATATGTAGCAGTAGCAATGTATTTTGAAAGTCAACAGGACTGTACACATATAAGGTTTTTGATTTGGGTTTTAAGTGGACATAACCAGCAGAATTGTCAGGCTCTCTTGAGAAGACAACACAGGAGAGTCAGAATTCCCATGATTGTTCATTGTTTTGGTTCACTGACTGTTAGGCTACAAAAACATAGATTGAACCACATTCTCTTAAGTAATGGTATTTCCCAGGAAGCTGTCTAGGGCTCTATAGTGTACTGTGGTCACCAGTTCAAAAGATGATTCGTTTCATATTTATGTCCCCTGGGACCTTAAGTTTCTTACAGAAGATTTCCATAGTCTAATAGTCTAGGCTTGGTGGCATCACCAATTCCTTGCTCATTTTCACATCTTTATATGTATCAGGAGCTACTTAGTACAAGTGGGTCGGAACTTCTCACGTTTCCACTAGTAAAGCTTTCGTTAATAAACCAGAAAGTACACAAATACCAGGCCATTGGGAGCTAATTATGCACTTGAATACTTGGAGGTCAGCAAGGTATAGAGGCAGAAAGAGGGAGTTCCAAGTCTGAAGCTCTTTAACAGTTGCTTAGTACAAGCCTCAGTGGAATAATCTGTAAAATGAGGATACAGTGGTTCATGTTAAAGAACTTTGTCAAAGGCAGTACCTTCCAGATGCTTTGTGTTGTTACCATGAGCTCAGGACTAAGCACATGGTTGCCGCTTGTTAGCTCACAGTAGAGATAAGCTTCATTCAACTGAAATAGTTGGATAAATTGAGAAAGTAAGTGACTCAATGCCAAAATAAGTGGTACAGACAATGAGTGCTTACGAAATTTGGAAAAAGGGACGTTGTTGACTAGAAATGAAAGAGCTGCGAGTTCATATAATTTAGGGCTGTTCTAAGAGTAAGGAAACAAATTCTAAGAACAATATTCCCCCAGCCTCCTTACAGAGGAAGAGATGGGGGATTCAAAAGTAGAGCTCAAATAGCTGTACTTCTGTGTCCAGCTGCGTGTACTTGTTAGGTCCATTTGCATTGAATCTCAAACTTGAGCATGCATCAGAATCACCCAGTGGGCTTGCATCCCCCCACCCCCACCCACACCCCAAGTTCTTGTGTCTAGGGTGGGCCAATAATTTGCATTTCTGACAAGTGACAGGTGATGTTGTTGATGCTGCTAGTCTAGGAACCACACTTCGAGACTTTGAGACCCACTGCCATAGCCAGAGTCTCACTTCCCTTTTTTTTTTTTTTTTTTTTGGTTTTGTTTTCTATTTTGATACAGAGAGCCCAAGAGGATGAGCTGGTTAAAATAAGAAAGTATTACGAGACATCCAAAGAAGAAGAACTGAAGCTGCTGGATAAACCTGAGCAGTAAGGATACTTAACATTTTTCTGTTAGGCCAAAAGGAGAACTGCAATTTCTGTCTTCTTGTCTCCCAGCTCAGAATAACCAAATCTAAATGTGCAGCCAGCTAAATCACAACACCGTCATTCCTGTGACCTGTTGCATGCAGCAGGATGACCCTGCTGCCGGGAAAAGCAGCGCTGAGATTTGTGCTGTTGGATACAGTGTGTCTCACCCCCCTCCCCCACCCCAAGAGACTCCCCTTTCTTTTTCTAGCAACTTGTTAATTCCTCCTAGACTAAACAATTTGACCAAAAGGGTAACTGAGGAAGGAAGAAGGCATTGTTCTGTTTAAGGTTCTCTTGATGAAGTTAAAAAGATGATATCAGAGTCACAGAATTCAAGTTTATTTTCCTAAAGGTCATATCCAGTAAGTGCAGCCTGAATGTGCTAGCTTTTCCCCAAACTTCTCCACCTGCTCTGCCCAAATGTGGCTTTTTCTCACCCTCACTCTGTACATGCTTGTTTTTCTCTCCAGTCACTATCTATGGCTGCTTGCTCTGTTGTTTGTGATGCCGTTCCATAGGCTTTGAAGACCCAGAACTCCGGGGTGTAACTGAGTGACTCTTGGGGTCTCGAAGCCATAGATAAGCTCCCGGGGCTCTGCAGCCCCACGACCCTGCCCAGCTTTCCAGGGCTTAGGACTCTGTGAGACTGTAAAATGGGTTCAGAGGACCTGTGTCCTCTGACACAGGTTCAGAGGGCCTCTTTTGCCTGTTGCTACCTTGAATTTTTTTTGTCCAGTTCAGGCCAACCCTCTCAATCTAGAGATGAGGCAAGTGTAGAAAATGAAGCAGAAATGGAGCTATCAGATCAGGGTTACCAGTCAGCCCTAGAAACTTCCAAGGTTCTCCGGCTTGCACTGGAGTTCCATGCCTTGTCCCTTGGGTCCTCTAGAAACGGGTCCCCAACCCCTGGGCCACAGACTGGTACCAGCCCATGGCCTGTTAGGAACCAGGCCACACAGCAGGAGGTGAGTGAGAGACAAGCCGGCATTACCACCTGAGCTCCGCCTCCTGTCAGATCAGCAGCAGCATCAGATTCTCATAGGAGCACAAACCCTATTGTGAACTGCGCATGTGAGCGATCCAGGTTGCACGCTCCTTATGAGAATCTAATGATTATCTGTCACTGTCTCCCATCACCCCCAGATGGGACCATCTAGTTGCAGGAAGCTAGAGGGACCATCAGGGCTCCCACTAATCCTAGATTATGGTGAGTTGTATAATTATATCATTGTATGTTACAATGTAATAATAATGGAAATAAAGTGCACAATAAATGTAATGTGCTTGAATCATCTTGAAACCATCCCACCTCCAACCCCAACCCCTGGCCTGTGGAAAAATTGTCTTCCTCGAAACCGGTCCCTGTGCTAAAAAGGTTGGGCACAGCTGCTCTAGAATACCTCAGTCCCCATGGATGCCTGGACATTTAGACTCAGGAAAACATCTTAAATGGCTGAGGATGGGAGTTGGGAAGAGAATTCTGGGTTTACTCAGTTGACGACAAACCTACATGATGGTTCTGGGAACCTTGGATGACTTGCTCTCACATGGAGCATGGTCCAGGATCCCCCCTCAAAGTAGGTTTCTAAAGCCTAGGAATATTGTGAATCAAGTCAAGTGAGGTTCCCTTGCTGTCTTGTTCCACTGACTTGAGACACCTTCCTTACCAATCCCTACCCTCAACTGATCCTATAGTTTATTTCCAAGTCATATTTCCTATTATAACAAATGAATCCCTCTTACGGTGCTAATGACTGAAAGTAAAGTGATTAATAATGGGCTGTTTCAACACTGAAAAGGCCATTTGGTTGTATTGGGGCACAGTGGGCATATCAAAGCACTTGGGTAGTGCTGGTTATACCAAGTTACACAGTAATATTCTCCTCTAAGCCTGGAGTTGGCAAACCTTTCCTGTAAAGGACTAGATAGTAAGTCTTTTAGGCTTTGTGGCTTACGGGATGTTACAAATATTCAAGTCAGCCATTGCTGTGCCAAAGCAACCACAGGCAGTATATAAACAAATGGGTATCGCTGTGCCCCAATGACATTTTACTTATGAACACTGAAATTTGAATTTCATGTCATTTTTACATGTCATAAAATGTTGTCCTTCTGTTGACTCTTTTTTCAACAATTTAGAAACGTAAACATCGTTCTTTTAATTCATGGGCCATACAAAAACAAGTGGTGGCCTGGTTTTGGCCTGTGGGCTGCAATTTGCCAACCCCTTAACCACCGAGCAGCCCTTGTTCTAAGCTATGGGAATGGCTGATCCGGTGAAATGAACAGGCAGGGAGAGATCATGCGTTTCTGCTACTGTCCTAATTATTGTTCTAATTGCCGGGACTTAGATAATGGTAGCAGGTAATTAACACACAACTTACTCTTGTTTTCTCTACTGATGATCTAGATAGAAAAGCATTTTTAATGTTTATAAATGGTCATTGTAATGGCTTCGTGAACACGCAAACCCAGCAAAAAGGACTGTCATGCTGTGCTGGTGAGGTGACTTGCCTGGGCTCAGTTGCGGGAGGGTGAGGCACGGATAGATGGGGGCCTTCAGACCTGGGTGCATTTCACCTTTGCTACCAACCTCCTGCACAAACCAGCATTTGTTTGATTTATGCCACTCTGATTCTCTGGCAACTTATTTGCCATTAACTCCAAGTGAGTCGACTATAAGCATGTTTTACATACTGGAAAATATGAATCATTTATAGTTTTAACGTTGCAGTTTCCTAAGAGCCCTGTGGTGCCCAGTCCTATAAATCAGAGCATGGAGAGGCTGGCCTCATCACTCACCTCATCAACTCTCTTACACTCCAGTGCCAGATTTAGAAAGCCATTGCCCACAGAGGTGTCATCTGTTTGGGACCAGGCTGTCTGAGAACCACTCCCTCTAGGGATGGCCGTTGACTCTTATGCTGCCGGGTAATGGTTGTGAGGTGAGGCTCTACTGGGTTTGATTAGGCCTGGTACACACTTCTCATGGCCTAGGGTGAGAACACTATACACAGTCTATTGTGATTTTCATGAAGGTCCACAGCTGCCTTGGGGCCCCCACACAGTAGACTCTGTTAGTGTAATCCTCCATCGAAGAATGCAGGTTGCAACATTCAGTTATGCTATGTGTATCGCCTATGTGCACATACACCTTAGGTGATACCATTCAGAAATTTAGGGATAATAAATCAAATGTTAGTCTCTTAAAAACATGAGCCACATTGCTTCATTCCACCCGTCAGCTGAGTTGCTGCTGTAGATGTGTAACCCAAATAATGTGAGACACAGAACGTCTTTCATATATTAGAAGCTGAAGTTGCAGTCCTTCCTAGAAGTATTAGCCTACATTGGAGAAAGAAGGGAAGGATCCCTCATTTGTGGCTTCTTTTGGGAATATTTAGTCTTCTTTCTTACTGAACCTAGAATGTAAAGTTAGACTAGCCCAAAAGGAACTCAATCCATAAATATTCAGAAGTACCAAGGCCCAGTGTCCAAGATCCCATGCTTGGGAATATTTAAGAGAGTTACTGTGTTTGCTCTTGTGGGTAGAGGATAAAACAGTAATGGGGCAGGGCAGGGGAAGAGAAGCTATTTGTCAGATGCTTGCTTCACAGCCTTCAAAGTAACCCATACCTCTGGTAGCTTAGCAGATAAATAAGAGAGGAGCTATGGTGCTCCTTGCATGGCTGTTTTTGGATGGCAAGGGTCATAAAACTCTATTTTTTTCCTCCAAATTTGCTTCTTTATTATTTTGTATTTTCGCTATACCCAATATCCACGCCAAAACTGCAAAGTCATCCTGGACTCTTCACAACATCTCTTAGGAGTAGGTTGCTCTGGGTCTTGTTACCTTAGCAGCTTCCTCATCCATTTGCCCCTCTCCATTCACACTGCAAGCCCCTCTTACCTTTCCTCTTGGAAGATTACAGCTGTGGTCTAGGAGGTCTCCCAGCCTCAAATTTCCTCTCCCATCCAATCAGCTGAGCTGCTGCCATGGAGATTTTCTACAACAAAAAGCAGAAACTGTCACCTTCCTGTTTAGAACCCTTCATTCGTTCAGAAGTTTAAACCCTGTATTTTAGAATACAGAACACAATTTTAGCATCTGCCTTCTACTCACTTCCCCCACAGATACCATTCAGCCTATCTGGGCTCTCCCGGCAGTTTCTCACATGTTGTGCGTGAGCATCACAGGGCTCCGGGGACCCTAGCTGACAATGTTCCCCCCATGACACTTGAGTGTCCTGCATTTGCTTTCCTAGCTCCTCTTCTGGATCCATCACCGAGAGCACTCATTCACACTCCACAGTAATTGTTGGTTTACTTCTCAGATTATCAAGATGGGACTGTAGATTAAGCTCTGTTCTCAGATCTTCGCATGGTCCCTGACACACTGTAAATGCCTCATACATTCCTAAAGGACAGACTGACATTCTTGGTGACTGATCTTCTAGTATGAATTTTCAAGTCTTTCCAAAAGTAATGTAAAATTATGATCTTTTCTCCCCCCTCCAACTCTTCGTATGGGTTGCAGACCCTTCTGCTTAAAGAGGACATTGGAACATTTAAGATTCTTTAAGAGCTTTTCCAGTGCAAGCCCTAACCCCAGAAAGGCTTTAATCCTAGAGAGCCTTGCAATTCTATCCTACCCTTTCTTGCGTAACATACATTGATAAGACTATGGTCTTGTCGCCTCATATTGGTCCTATGCTTCCTCTTTTGAGATTAGTTATAGGTAACTATTCATTCAGCATTTTCTGCTTTTCATCTAAGTCCTTTTTGGTGAGCCGAGGCATTGATCTGTATATTTTCCCAGGTGGTGTCTGTAACTGCTTCGCTCACTGTGATAGGAAGTGTACATGCTCTGGGAACTTGGGTCCTGAATGACGCCTCATGGGTCACATTTAGAAGGGGAGAAATGCAGGGCCCTTCTTTCAGAATAGCTCAGCATCTGAATAAATACGTCTTCCCCAGACTCATTACAGGATCAAATGCTGTCAGTCTTGTGAGCTTTTTGCTTCTTATGTATTTATAAAGACTGATGATACCCCTGATTTCAGTCATGATAAATGAATAAATTGTTTAATATTCATTAAGAAGTAATTTACACAGAGTTTAACTTTTTCATCTTGTCCTAATGCAGAATTCCTATGAATTTCTACTTTTATACTTCATCAGATAATTTTCATAATAATGGGTTATTGAACTTTAAAACAAGATTGTGTTTTCTCTTATGGATATTCCTTGCTTTCATTAAATGTCATCTAAAAAAAGATTGTGGATTATGACCTAGTCGTGGAATAAATACGAAATCAATTGATGTTAGAAATTAATTAAAACCCAAATCTCCCTAAAGGTAGAGGCAGCACAGGGTGTATAAGCAAAGAAAATATCTTTCGGTATAGAAAGAAGTAGGCTTCAGCTTTGTTCCTATGTAAAACCATTTTTGGTGAGAGATGGCAAAATTCCTTGGTAATGACGTTATGAGTTGACCAAGACTTTCAGAAATATCAGTTAATCATCATCTCAACACCAAAATGAAATAAATGGCTGTTAGTAGATTTTCTCCTTTTCTGAATTCATGTCCAACTGTTTCCACCCATTTTCATTTATACCCCTTCCTCTGGTGGTTGGCCTGGAGAGTATGTCGCTCTTTCCAACTTAGTTTTGCAAAGGGAACAAGTGCCCAACCACTCAGACAGTGAGCTACTGTGTGTAGGTCAGTACTCACCTTTAGCTTTTAAGATCTGTCTTGCCACATTTTTAAGGAAACTTTAGGTTGTCTACTTAATGAGTGCCTGCTTTGTTCTAAATACTGAGTTGTAAACTATGTCTATGTGTGTAAGTTAATGTGAAAAAGTAAACAAATATCTGGAGAATGTGATCATTATAGACCATTATGTAACTCACTGAGCAAAAATAGTAGCAATATCACTTTAGTAAGAGATTTTTTTTTAAATCACTTGTCTGTAGACATTTGCCTCAAGTCTTCAGTTTGCTTAGCCTGTATAAATACACCTTTAGAGAATGCTGCATTATGAGGGAGTTTATTGCATAATTTTTCTCGTGTGTTAAAGACTGGGGCTTTCCATTTGGGTTTAGTCTCTTGTTTGGGCAGCAGGAGATAGATAACTTGTTTAGTATACTTGTGTTAACTTTCTGTTCCCGAAGGAATTTCTATACCATGCATTTATTCATCATGCTAGAACTCCTTTAAAAAACAGCCCTGTTGTCAACAATGGAAACCATGCCCTTGGAATTCCTTGAGTCTACCTATGTGACACCTTTTATAATTGTTGAGATTGTTAGGTAAGGAATGTTCCCAAAGTGGGTCTTTTTCAGCTGTCTTTTTATTTTCCTTGTGATTATATGTGAAGGTAGATGACACATTTTCTTTTTTACAGATTTTTACATGAGTTAGCCCAGATTCCTAATTTTGCTGAACGTGCCCAGTGCATAATCTTCAGATCTGTCTTTTCTGAGGGTATCACCTCCTTGCACAGAAAGGTAGAGATCATCACGCGAGCTTCTAAGGTATGTTTACTGTCTAATTTAAAAGATAGCCTTGCTCTGAAGAGTAAAGAAGAAAGTGGGAGAGACCACTTTAATGCCATTATAGAAACCTTTTTGGACTCAGATTGTATGTTTTTCTAAGTGTAAATTTGATGATTATCTTGCCCGTGTGTGTGTGTATGAGAGAGAGGGAGAGAAAAGGAGATGCAGATGGATGAAGAGGGAGAAGGAGGGAAAAAAATGACACTTTTACAGATTCCTTCTAAAAAATTCTGAGTATCTTCCAAAGTACATACTGGCCACTAAAAACCAATCTAAATAGCATGGTCTGTTTCTTATTTTACAATTTGGATTGCAGAAGAGATTTTGCTTGAGATCCATACATTTGATCATCTGAAATGTGTCAACCTAATAAGAGGATCCTAGAGACTTGATAAGTGAAATAAATGACTGACAGTGAGTCATTGGCAAAGAAATATTTGTTGGCTTTACTACACTGGTGTTCATTATAAGGTTAAATTCTAGCACCTGCCTTTTTCTCACAGTTGACCCATGCTCTTAAGGACACGTTATTCTTCTCCACAAATACTGTAGTACTTTGTTCCTTATTTGGAGAAATGATTTTTTTTCCTCTAAGATATGAGATATTTCAGTAGAGAATAAATATTACTGAAATATAATTATACACGCACTAATAATACCTGAAAGGCAGGAGCAGAAAAAGAAGTCTGCCTGGAGCTGAATTTTTTTTCTTTCTTTCTTTCTTTCTTTTTTTTTGAGACGGAGTCTCATTCTTCTTGCCCAGGCTGGAGTGCAGTAGCGTGATCTCGGCTCATTGCAACCTCTGCCTCAAGGGCTCAAGCGATTCTCCTGCCTCAGCCTCCCAGGTAGCTGGGATTACAGGTGCCTGCCATCACGCCCAGCTAGTTTTTGTATTTTTAGTAGAGATGGGGTTTTACCATGTTGGCCAGGCTGGTCTTGAACTCCAGACCTCAGGCAATCCACCTGCCTCGGCCTCCCAACGTGCTGGGATTACAGGCGTGAGCCACCGTGCCCAGCCATTACTTTTTTTACCCTGAAATAAAGGGGGATAAAATGTGAATTAAGACCATAAAGAAAAAAAATTTCAATTGGAAAATTGTACTTGAAGTAAAAAATAAATAAAAGGACAAACAAATGAGACAGGGAGACAAAGAAAATCCTAAGCAGCTTGAAATTGTAAAAGTTAATAGACAATACAACAAGCACTTAATAAAGTAAGTTTAATAAATTTATTAAAGATGGCCTACAGCCTTAAAATGCATTATTGTAGTTTAGCTCTGAAAATTATATCCGGGGATAAAGAAGAACATACTTCTTCTGTATCTGCTCTGCATTTAACTGTATTGGTTATCTAGATAAATAGTCCTGAAATACATCCTCAAAAGGTAAACCCCTTTCTACCTAGAAGTCATCAAAGGTTAAGCCTTACTATATATACCAACTCCCTTTTTACAACTTCTACTTTAAAATAAGTATTAAAAATTAAACTGGCTCAAATGAAAATATAAAACCAATAGTTAATCCTCATGTATTAAAACATGCACTGTTTATAATTAATTTGAGTGGGTAGAAAATAATGGCTGTTAATGTGTTTGTAAAGACACTCATGGCTTAGTAAAGTGTGTTTTTCATTTCAGCAACTGTTAATTCTGTTGGTACCAAGCCTCCCGACAGCCTATTGAGTACACAGTCGATATTTGTTACTGAATGAACATGGGTGCATTTGGAGTTCAGCTCCGTAATAACTGGTGTTTGCCATCACAGGACTTGCTGCACGTGAAGAGCGTGAAGGATATTTTAGCTCTCATCTTGGCTTTTGGAAATTATATGAATGGAGGAAATAGGACTCGGGGACAAGCCGATGGATATAGCTTAGAAATTCTGCCCAAACTCAAGGATGTCAAAAGTCGGGTATTTATTTTTCATAATAAGTTCCCATGATCTGCCATTATTTTCTTTCTTTACCTTTAATTTTAAAAAACGTATTCCAGATTGTTCCATTTATCTCTATCCTCCCCTTAACAACATTTATATTAGAGCATGCATTTTTTTGTTTGCTTTCTTTTCACTTTCGAATAAAGAGTTTTGTTTGGTTTTTTTTTTTCACGTTAGACTTTATTTTCAATTACTCAATTCCCATCTTCGTGTGCTCTGACATACACAATCAGGTATTGAACTGCTACTCAGTGAGAGAACAAAACAGATAGCATACAGTACCAGGATCCTGCAAAGGCTGGAGGCTGTTTGAGTTTAGTGTTGGCTACTAGTAGTTTACTCATTCCTGAATGGCAGAGCAATGTTGAATCACCAATTTTTTGCCACAACAATTGGGCTGGGGTCTACTGTCAAGCTCTCTGAGCCTGATTATCACTTGGCTCCACACCCCTGTGGCGCTACCTCTTTAGAAACAATCAGCCCATAGCTAGGCGTCCCATGGGGGGCAGGGGGGTGCAGGGAGGGGAAACACACAGGCAAATTAGAATTAGGCCCCAGTGAGCAGGACACAAAGGCTGCCTTGTGGGAGGGCCTGCTCCCCACTGGCCTCCCGGGGTCATAAAGTGGTGTGGTGCTCCTTTTAAGCTGGCCTGGATTGTTTTTCACACCATTAAGAACGCACATTTTTTGAAAGACGGGCAGGGAGGGTGCTTTTCTGTTCTAGGCCCTGGTTCCCTTTAGCATTCCCCGCACCTCCTGTCTTGGCTGTGTGCCAGAAAATACAAGGACACAACTTTTTTGTTTGTTTTAGCCATTATTTCAGAAGTTTTATGGATTATCTGTTTGTTTTTCCCCACAAAGGATAGTACAGTGTCATTTCTTTATGTAGCCAGCATAATAAATGGATGGGATAAAGCAGAGGAAGGAAAACCTTGCCAGCATCGAAGAGAAAGCCAGTTTTCACGAATTAGAAATTTCTCAACTGAGATTTCACCTCTCAACCGTGTAACATGACAGTCTCATGGGAATGATTTTCATGTACATTTCTCTTTTAAACCTAGGATAATGGGATTAATCTGGTGGACTACGTTGTTAAGTATTACCTGCGTTACTATGATCAGGTAAGAAATGGTATTACGTGGAAAAGTTTCACCTCTTACTCATTGTTGACATTCATAAGTTGGATGATGGATAGATGGATGAACGAACTGCAAGCCCAACATAGAATATGAGAGCTCTCCAGCGTGGTTTACAGATGAGCACACTGAAACCAAGAGAGTTTAGTTGACTTATGAAGAGAAGCATTATTCAGTGGTGTAAATCTACTGAGTCTCAATCGACTATAACACAGCTTCAGAGAGACCCCTAGCTGCCTCAGTGCTTTATGGCCAGATTGTGAGGTTCTCTGTGAAATCTAGATCCGCTCAGTAATTGGTTATAATTGAAACTGTATTCTGATGATGCAAAGCAAAATTTAGGAAAGTAAGACTCAGTAATACCCAATATTTTATCAGTAATGAATCTATGAACAGACTGAAGATGTAGAATTTGAAAAATCCATCTTTTCTGCTTAGAGGGCATTTGCAATTAGAAATAAACATTTCTGTGTGAGTCCATCTGAGCAGAATTTTCTATTTTATTCCTTCTTGTTAAATTGAGAACAAGGAGTTGTAATTTTGAGAAGAAAAAGGTATTGTTGTAAGATGTTAAGAAATATAGCAATCGATATGAATAGTAAAAGTCTCAAAGTAAATGCTGTCAGGACTTCTGCTTAACCATCCATGTAAGCATAATTGTTCCTAAGCATCGAGGGAAGAATAGTAGAGATCTCAGGGCCTTTCAATAGGCCTGCAGTTTCATCCAGAAGACAAGTGAGGCACTGATGAACTCCATAATACTTTCTTCTACCCTCCTGGTGGGCTTATCTAACTATTTTCAATATACCTACAGCCAGGCTCATCGTTTCCCCGCCCCCCAAACTTTTCCCTGATTTCTGTTAAGAATATCGTAGTTTTTGATAGTTTTTGGCTATTAAGGCATGAAACCTTGTCCTTCTCTGGCTACTCTCTGTCCTTCCACTGAGTTGTTTCTGATGTCCTTCCCTGTTTTGTTTTTTGTTTTGTTTTCCTGCCGACCCCAGCTTACCCAGGTTTTAAGACCACTCACTTGGAGAATTTCACTTGCTTTCCAGCTCAGCTCTCTATTTCGAGGTTCTACCACTCTAAGCCATCCCACACCCTCTTTACACAGCTCTGATCCTATTGCTTTTCTACTCAAAACAGAAGTGGCTCCCCATTTTCAAGTGAATTAGGACTCTACGAATTTAATTCCAATCTTTTACAACCTTGCTTTTATTACTTTCCCTCTACACGTATTCTGTGATCCAACTCAAGACCTGATGTTTTCCACACACACCCTGTGCTTTCTTACTAATGTGTTTTTACTTCTGATGTTCTCCCTCACTGAAAGTATCTTTGTCTCTAGCCTTTTTATAAAACTTCCTTTTTTTCTCATTACTCCTCTCTGGAAATAATAAATTTAAAGATTTTTTGGGAAAAAGTCTCCCAGTAACATTACCAATATATGTGTTACAGACTTAACCAGACAAGTACAGACCTTTGTGAATACATTCACGTAATTTTACTGAAAGCCATAAAAATTTAAAAACAGACTGAAGAAAAGAAAAACCCAATTTTAAAAATTGGGTAATGGGCTTGAATAGACATTTCTCCAAATAAGACAAACAAATAGCCAACAGGTGCCAACATCACTAATCATCCAGGGAAATGCAAATCAAAACCACAGTGAGATAGCCCATCATGCCTTTTAGGATGGCTGTTAATAAAAACTAAAACCAAAACCCTACCACATGGAAAATAGCAAGTGTTGACAAGGATGTAGAAAAAATGGAACCAGTTAGCACCATCAGTGGGAATATAAAATGGTGGAGCTGCTATGGAAAACAGTAGGGAGTTTCTTCAAAAAATTAAAAATAGAACTACCATATGATCAGACAATCTCACTTCTGGGTATTTATCCAAAAGAATTGAAACCAGGATCTCAAAGAGACATTTTCCCTCTCATATTCATTGAAACATTGTTCACAATCGCTAAGATTTGGAAACAAATCTAAATGTCTGTCAATAGATGAATAGGTAAAGAAAATGCGTATATGTACTAGGGAATATTATTCAACCATAAAGAAGAAATAAATTCTGTCGTATGCTGCAACATGGGGTCAGCCTTGAAGGTATTATGCTAAGTCAATATAATCCAGTCACAGAAGGGCAAATACTGCATGATTCCACTTAAATAAGTATCTAAAGTAGTCAAACTGAAAGGAACAGAAAGTAGAATGAATGATGCGGGAATGGGGAAATGGAGAATTGAGGATACGGCGTTTCAGTCACGTAAGATGAAGAAGTTCTAGAGATCTGTACAATAATACACATGGCTAACAATACTATACTGTACACTTAAAAATTTAAGAGAACAGATATCATGTTATAGGGGGTTTTTTTTGTTTGTTTTTTACCACAGTAAGGAGTGGCATTATGTCCTCTGTTGGAAGTACCAGTCAAAATTCTAATCAATCTTAGAAGTTTACAAAATAATTTTAAATATTATGTATAAAAATAATTAGACAAAAATTTGACCAGGATTTAAAAATGAAGAGAGAATCATTCATTTATATATTCTAATATATTATAGAGCTATAATAATTAAAAGTGTAGAATGATAGACTAACATCACAAAACTTAAGAACATGAAAAGGAAATCTCAGAAATGGATCTAAATAAATATGTGTCAAGTATGTGATAAAAGAGAAATTTCAAGTAATTGGTAAGAGGAAGAAATTGAATTATCTCCTAGATCTCATACCAGAGACCAGAGCAAAGTTTTAAAGAACAGAAGAGATAAATGTAGAAATAAATGAAAAATAAAATCAATAAGACATGACAAAAGTGTAGGTAAATAGTTTACTGATTTTGAAGTAGCAAAATCCTTTCGAAGTGTTCAGTCTAAGACACAAACCATAAAAGGTGAGAATGATGACTTTCAATGCATAAAACTAAAAAACTTCAATTCCTAATTAAAATTTTAAAATACTGTAGTATCTCAAAAATGACTTAAAACTAAATTCAAAATAATGTACTGGTAAAATGTTTACAACATAATAGACAATGAACTCGAGAATTAACAAGAAAAAAAACTTTCTTCCTTATTTTTAAAAAATGGCAAAATATATCACAGGCAATTTACAAAAGACATATAGAAGACATAAATTGCCAACTAGATATATAGAATTAGCACTGTAAATTGATCAAACCTTTCTCAGGACTGTCATGTATGGTAAATCAATATATTCTCTGTTTAAGGTCTCTAAGTCAAATGGGACTCATATTTAGCCTGCCGTTGATTCACCAAATTATACATCCTATAAAGGGCACACTTTAAAAAATTCACATAAAGATGCCATGTGCTTGTCAAGCTGTTTGCCCATAAAGCTGTTCCTACCTACAGGAACACATTTTCCTAATTTATACATGTATGCTTTATGGGCAAGCAAGGTTGTGTTTTTGTTTTTTTTTTTCCTTCCTCTTTTTGTTTCCCTTTTTTCCCACATTTTTTCATTTTTTCCTTTTTTCTTCATGTCAGACAGGTAATGTGTCCATATCTTAACAAGGTTCAATGGTGGCGCATCTCACACATGCATACGAACACCCAATCCATCACACTCATGAATCTCAGGATCATAAGCAAGGTTTTCAACCTTTCTGTATCAACAGCCCTAGAAATACGTGTAACCTTTTAAGAAATTTCTACCCTAAGAAAACAACTAAGGATTTAATGACTATTTACTTATAATAGCTTATGATAGCAAAATATTGGAAAAATTTTGGTAGGTGTACAATGATGGAGACCAAGGTCAAATAAATTATACTAGAGTCACACACTGGAATAATATACTCTTATGGAGAGTGTATAGGAGAGAATATAGTGGTATTAGAAAATAATTTTGATCTGCTTTTAATTTACAAGCAGTGTTTCAAAATAACATATAGTATAATACCAAATATGTAGTAGATAAATATAAATACACAGAATAACCTGAAAAAAATACATTAAAATGTTTCTGAATATTAGGATTGTAAGCGTTTTTTTTTTTTTAACTGTCTTCTCTCTTTCCATTACTAAACATAATGAACATGTATCACTTTTGTAAACAGGAAAAAAGATGTAGTGAAAAATAACTTAGTCTAATCTTACATGGCCCTTTTTTGAGGTCGTTATTAACATCCTGATCTTTGAAGGAAGGCTTTGAAGCCTGAGAAGTACTTTGTTTGAATCTTTCTCAAGATGCATCTTATTCTGCCTTGTATGTATATATGAGGAATTACCTATTATCTTGGCATTGGTTTTTGAGGTTCAGAATTCATTGTTGTCTCTCTTTTTTTTTTTTTTTAATTGAGATGGAGTCTCGCTCTGTCACCCAGGCTGCAGTGCAGTGGTGCAATCTTGGCTCACTGCAACCTCCGCCACCCAGGTTCAAGCAATTCTCGTGCCTCAGCCTTCCAAGTAGCTGGGACTACAGGTGTGCACCACCACACCTAATTTTTTTTGTATTTTTAGCAGAAACGGGGTTTCACTATGTTGGCCAGGCTGGTCTCGAACTCCTGACCTCAAGTGATCCACCCGCCTTGGCCTCCCAAAGTGCTGAGATTACAGGCATGAGCCACCATACCTGGCCATTGTCTCTTTTTTACTGCCTGTAATACAGGTGTCTGATAAAACTTGCTGAACTGGATATAATGTTAATATTCACAAACGTGTAATAAGTGGCATCTGTAAAGAACTAGATATGAGGAGATGAGAGCTGTTTTCTGGTGGAGTGAGGAAGGCATGTTTAGCTTCAGGAAATTAAGAAGCAGCAGCGGGCACATAAGCACATACCCTAGGTTTTGACAGCAGGTACTAGTGTGGCAGAAGAATTATCCTGAAGAATCTTTGAGGGTGACATTTCTAACCCTAGGTTGGCATGGGCAGATTTATTGGTAGTACCTACCCCAACCAAGTCAAATGCATTGTGTGGGAAGGCTGAAATATGCCTGTGGAATATAGTTGTGGTTGAAAAGAGCTGAACCCAGTGGAATCAACTTCACAGAGGAAAATCTTACAATGAGAACAGTTTCAAACATGGGATGGCCCAGTCTAGGAAAAATAAGCCCACAGTAGTGTGGTGCTCTTCTGGCTTTTACTGTGCAAAATGCATTTCACTCAACAAGAGGGTAGAATTATGTGATTTATGAAACTGGCCCTTTCCTCTAGGAGCCTAAGTGATGACTTTTTTGGTTAGTGGTGATGAGCAATTAGCTAAAGAAAGATGACTCCTGCTCCCTGCTTCCTTATTCTCATGCCTGGTTTTTGGTCCAAGTCTTGGTCTGTGAAATTTAAAGAAACCCATGTAGAGTCATGCCTTTTTAACTCTAATTAAGCAGCTTTCATAAGAGCTGCTACCAGCCTGATACACTCAGCAACATTTCCTTTTTTCTAGCGCGCGCACGAGCGCGCACACACACACACGCAATCAAAACCAGGACTGAATCTGATAAAGTTTTGGAAAATGGAAAGAGATACTATGCCTGAGTTCTTCCAGCATAGATTAGCATGGAGCTTTGTAGTGAGGATCTTAGATGTTGTTCCATCTTGGCACTCAGATGAGAGTACTGCTTCCATTTTAAAGTAGTAAAATAAGTATATGAAGATGGGGGAAAAAAGTACATTGTGTCTGATAAAATGAAGAAAACTACTGTATCCTAGTATCCCTAACAAAGCTAATGGCCTTAAAGAGGAAGGGTCAAGAGGATTCCTGAAACTACAAGAAAACATAGTGATAAATTAGATGTCTCCTGCTAAAGGTACATACATCTCAGAACCATGTTTTACAAGCCCTCTGTAGTAGTGCCCATCAACCAAAAATAAAGCTTATTGATATGCCAGATGTTGTTTACCATACCAAGAACAAGACACAGTTTCTGCCTCTGAGGTGTTTAGAGTCTAGTGGGGAAGATGTACAAGATAACATGGCAATTTAAAAATTAATGGTGATACATAAACTAGAAAACCTAGAAGAGATGGATAAATTGCTGGAAAAATACAATCCTCCTAGCTTAAATCAGGAAGAATTAGATACCGTGAACAGACCAGTAACAAGCAGCAAGAATTAAATGATAATTTTAAAATTACCAACAAAAAAAAAGGTCCAGGACCAGATGGATTTACAGCAGAATTCTACCAGACATTCAAAGGAGAATTGATAACAATCCTTTTGACACTATTCCACAAGATAGAGAAAGAGGGAAGCCTCCCTAATTTATTTTATGAAGCAAGCGTCACCCTAATACCAAAATCAGGAAAGGACATAACCAAAAACGAAAACTACAGACCGATATCCTTGTTGAACATAGATGGTAAAATCCTTAACAAAATACTAGCTAACTGCATCCAACAACATATCAAAAAGATAATCCACCAGGATCAAGTGGGTTTCATACCAGGGATGCAGGGATGGTTTTAACATACGCAAGTTAATAAATGTGATAACACCACATAAACAGAATTAAGAACAGAAATCACATGATCATATCAATAGATGCAGAAAAAGAATTCAACAAAATCCAGCATTCCTTTATGATTAAAACTCTCAGCAAAATTTGCATACAGGGGACATATCTCAATGTAATAAAAGCCATCTATGACAAACCCCCAGCCAACATAATATTGAATGGGGAAAAGTTGAAGGCATTCCCTCTGAGAACTGGAACAAGACAAGGATGCCCACTCTCGCCACTCCTCTTCAACATAGTACTGGAAGTCCTAGCCAGAGCAATCAGACAAGAGAAAGAAAGGAAGGGCATCCAAATCAGTAAAGAGGAGTTCAAACTGTCACTGTTTGCTGATGATATGATTGTTTACCTTGAAAACCCTAAAGACTCCTCCAGAAAGCGCCTATAACTGATAAAATAATTAGCAAAGTTTCAGGATACAAGATTAATGTACACAAATTAGTAGCTCTTCTGTACACCGACAGTGACCAAGCAGAGAATCAAATCAAGAACTCAACCTCTTTTACAATAGCTGCAAATATATACATATATATATATGTGTGTATAGTAATATACCTAAGGAGTCAAAAGACCTCCACAAGGAAAACTACAAAATATTGCTGAAAGAAACCGTAGACAACACAAACAAATGGAAACCTATCCCATGCTCATGGATGGGTAGTATCAATATTGTGAAAAGGTAGAATTAATATTGTGAAAATGACCATACTGCCCAAAGCAATCTACAAATTCAGTGCAGTCTCCATCAAAATACCACCATCATTCTTAACAGAATTAGAAAAAAACAACTCTAGGCTGGACACGGTGGCTCACGCCTGTAATCCCAGTTGGAATGCCGAGGCAGATCAAGAGGTCAGGCGATTGAGACCATCCTGGCTAACATGGTGAAACCCCGTCTCTACTAAAAATAAATTAGCTGGGCGTGGTGGCGGGTGCCTGTGGTCCCAGCTGCTTGGGAGGCTGAGGCAGGAGAATGGCGTGAACCCGGGAGGTAGAGCCTGCAATGAGCCAACATCGCATCACTGCACTCCAGCCTGGGCGACAGAGCGAGACTCCGTCTCAAGAAAAAGAACTCTAAAACTCATACGGAACCATAAAAGAACCCACGTGGCGGGAGCCAAGACTAAGCAGAAGAGAAATTTGGAGGCATCACACTACCTGATTTCAAACTATACTATAAGGCCATAGTCAGTCACCAAAACAACGTGGTACTGGTATAAAAATAGGCACATAGACCAATGGAACAGAACAGAAAACCCAGAAATAAACCCAAATACTTACAGCCAACTGATCTTCAACAAAGCAAACAAAAATATAAAGTGGGAAAAGGACACCCTTTTCAACAAATGGTGCTGGGATAATTGGCTAGCCACATGTAGGAGAATGAAACTGGATCCTCATCTCTCACCTTACACAAAAATCAACTCAATGGATTAAGGACTTAAATCTAAGACTTCAAACTATAAAAATTCTAGAAGATAACATTGGAAAAACCCTTCTAGATGTTGGCTTAGGCAAGGATTTCATGACCAAGAACCCACAAGCAAATGCAATAAAAACAAAGATAAGTAGTTGGGACTTAGTTAAACCAAAGAGCTTTGGTACCTCAAAAGGGGCAACCTAAGAGTAGAAGAAAATCTTTACAATCTATACATCTGACAAAGGACTAGTATCCAGAATCTACAGTGAACTCAAATCAGTAAGAAAAGAACAATCTCATCAAAAAGTCGGCGAAGTACATGAATGGACAGTTCCCAAAAGAAGATATACAAATGGCCAACAAACATGAAAAAATGCTCAACATCACTAATGATCAGGGAAATGCAAATCAAAACCACAATGCGATACTGCCTTATTCCTGCAAGAATGGCCATAATCAAAAAATCAGAAAACAGATGTTGGCATGGATGCCATGATCAGGGAACAGTTCTACACTGCAGGTGGGAATGTAAACTTGTACAGTCAGTATGGAAAACAGTGTGGAGACTCCTTAAAGAACTGAAAGTAGAGCTGTCATTTGATCTAGCAATCCCACTACTGGGTATCTATCCAGAGGAAAAGAAGTCATTATATGAAAAAGATACTTGCACGTGCATGTTTATAGCAGCACAGTTCACAATTGCAAAATCATGGAACCAACCCAAATGCCCATCAGTCAAAGAGTGATTAAAGAAACTGATATATATATATACAATCGAATACTACTCAGCCATAAAAAGGAATGAATTAACAGCATTTTCGGCGACCCGGATGAGATTGGAGAATATTATTCTAAGTGGAGTAACTCAGGAATGGAAAACCAAACATCGTATGTTCTCACTGATATGTGGTAGCTAAGCTATGAGGATGCAAAGGCATAGGAATGATACAATGGACTGTGGGAACTTGGGGATAAGAGTGGGAGGGGGATGAGGGATAAAATACTACAAAGAGGGTGCAGTGTATATTTCTTGGGCGATAGGGGAACCAAAATTTCACAAATCACCACTAAAGAACTTACTCATGTAACCAAATACCACCTCTACCCCAATAACTTATGGGAAAAAAATTAATGGTGATAAATGCTGTGATAATGTAAGCGTCATAGGCCTTTGGAGAACAGGGGAGAAACACCCACGTGCTGGAGGTTAGGGGAAATCTTTAAGGAAGGACGTTTGTTTTAAGACTTAAAGGATGAGTATGAACAAGGAAGTGTAAGGAGGCACTAGGGAAGGGTCGGAAAGGGACCATTTTATAGACAAAGGCCTAGAAGCAAGAGATTGTGGTCTGTTATTTCATGAAGGTCTAGAGGGAGTTGGAGATAGGGGGAAGGTAAAAATGAGGCCAGAGATGTAGACAGAGGCCAGATCATAAAGTGCCTTGTAAAGCAGTTTTAGAGTTTGGAATTAGTCCTAATGGCAGTAGGGAAGATGGAATGTGAAGGAAAGCTGGCAAAGTAGCCTGTGCAGAGAGAGGAATAATTGAAGACGGCCTAAGACATGCAAGATACAAAGCTTACGTTAAACAACTCAGGGAGAAAGCTAGCTAGACTGGAAAAGATATTTGAGGCTCATGTGCCTGAAGCTTTTGTCCTTCAAGATGTTTCTCAGCTGAGAATTCTCCATTAGCTATAGCAGTGGAGCTTGTTAAAACTATACTTCACCCTGCCCTCGGTCTCCTAAGATAAGCCAGACAACATTTGCAAAAGCTTTTCAAATATATGAAGAATTTTGGGGAAGCCAAGGCTGGAGGATCGCTTGAGCCCAGGAGTTAGAGACCAGCCTAGGCAACATGGTGAGACCCCCGTCTCTACAAAAAATTAAAAATTAGCTGGGTATGGTGGCACGTACCTGTGGTCCCAGCTAATAGGCTGAACTAGAAGGATCGCTTGGACCTGGAAGGTCAAGGCTGCAGTGAACCGTGATTGTGTCAGTGCACTCAAGCCTGGGTGACAAAGCAAGGCCCTATCTCCAAAAAAAAAAAAAAAAAACCTGTGTATATGTGTAGATACACCCATATACAAAGAATCTGATCATGCATGCACACAGAAGAGCTTTAAGCCACAGAGAAAGGTGAGGAAAGGTGATGGGAGGGTGATTGTATCTTCCATTGCAGTGCCTTCTTATCCAGCACCTTCTGATTCACACCCATTGGTATGCCCCAAAGATGACTTGTCTAATTGCTAGCATGTGTAAATCAAATGGGGACTTCAAATGTAAGTACTTTCATGTGTTCCCCTCTTCCATTTTTCATGGGAGTGGAGTGTCCAAGATCAGGACGACCTGACAATTTTCTCTTTGATTCATGAGGCAAAATAGAACCTGGCCCATGCCATAGCCGACCTCATTGCCAATAAGTCCAAAAAGAGATTGTGAAAGACAAGAAAGCACTTCAAAGTCACAAGTCCAAATTTAGGAATAGCAGAGGAGCATTGCTATGATTCTTACTCAGACATCCAATAAAAAAGCTTTTTTTTTTCTCATTGATGCTTTGGAATTTCAACTGAAAGTGACAATTGGGAAGTATAATGTACTTTTGTTTACCATATCTCTTAGGAAGCTGGAACAGAAAAGAGTGTTTTCCCCTTGCCGGAACCACAGGATTTCTTTCTGGCCTCCCAAGTCAAGTTTGAAGACCTCATAAAAGATTTGAGAAAACTGAAGAGGCAACTAGAAGGTAATAGGAACTGTTCTGCTATTATGATAATAGCTAAGATTACTTTTAAAAAATGTTTTAAGAGGATTATTTAGGTCTGGTTCATAGAGTGGGATTGGTGCAGAGTTCAGCAATGGTACACTACAGCTTTCAGGAAACTTTCCTTCTCTACACAGTGTGTAGAGGCACTGTATTTTCAAATTCTTCTCTTTTATTAGTGTTGATCATTTGTTTCTTATATCCATATCTCGTTATATCTACATTTTCTAACATTTAGTAGTTATAACATTATTAATGATAATAGCAGTAACCATTTACTAGATGCTTACTGTTGTCTCATATAACAATCTTAATAAGCTGGAACTACACTAAACCCATTTTACAGATGAGAAAAATGAGGCTTAGAGAAGTTAAGTTCACACAGCCAGTAATAGACAGATTTACTGAGCTCTAATCAAGTCTAATCAAGTCTGTCTAATTAGAACTCACATTTTCTAGTTTCTAGTTTCTAGAACTTACACATTAGCTAGTTTACTCTGCTGCTTTAAATATATATGTATATCATACATATCGTACACATACACACATGTTCCTGTATGTTTGGTTTATATATGAGTCTAATAATGATGGTAAGGCCCACAGTAAACATTCCATTTTAGTTTAATTTACATTTTTAATTAGTCAAAAGAAAATGCTGAAAGCCCCTTTTTGGCTTTTTTAAAAGGTGAAAATATGTCTCACTTGGGCAGGAATTTTCCTTTGGCATTTCTAGAGTCTCGTGTTTTTACTGTGGAGACATCTCCTTGTCCAAGAATATAAATACTTGCCTTGGAGCTTGTATAACTCCAATTGAAGAGCTCTGCGGAGGATTTAGAGAGCGTGTTAATGTGGAAATGGAGCCCAGAGTGCCAGAAGCAGAGCTTGAGGAAATGAAGGGCTTCAACCAGGAATATTTTAAGACCAAGACATAAAGTAAACATTTTTAAAATGTTTATTGTGAAAGAGTACTCAGAAACCTAAGTCTGAGGCTGAGAACAGCTTGGAAATGGAAGTAAAGTGGGAAAGATCTGCTCCCGGTGGCAAAGAGAGCCATTTATTTTTACTTTGGGCATAAAACTTACATGGAAAGGATAATGGTTACAGGTGAATATTTTTATCTTGTATATTATTTTTAAAGGAACGTGGGTTTTTTTTCTCCCATTGATGTGGTTGAATGAATTCAAACAAATGGATGCTTCCTTTAGAAATGCGATATGTGAACTTGCGGTCGTTATTTTCTGTCTCCTGAAGAATTGGCGGTTGTATCCTTGTTGAAGTTGAGGAGCTTGATTAATATTGTAATAAAGCGTAGTAAGCTACCAGCTAGCATTTTTGTCTGTCCCTCTCCACTGGTAGAATTAGGGCCCAGGCTGGTCCTCAGTGTGGCAGCAAGAGTTAGCAATGGCAGGGGAGCTTGTTTGCTCCACGGCTGTTCCTGAATGCCCATTCCCTCTTGTCTCTTGGCCCCTTGTGAAACCCTTGGCCTGACCTCTCCTATAGTCTTTGAGCCGAAACCTGATCCCTGTTTGATCTTTTCCCTTCTCCTTCCAGGGGCTGCCTCACTTTGACGTCCCTGTACGTTTGATGATAAATAGCAAGAGGATAAGAGGAGTGAACTGGGAGGCGAGCAGAGAGACAAGGGTTCCCCCATAGCGCCTCACTTTGGTACACCTTCTTTTGTCTAGGGAGGCTCTGAATTGTCGTTCCGGATCTCTCAGTACTCAACTGACACTTTCCTCAGCCGATTTTAGGAAAATACAAGAGCTTTTGAAGCAGGTAGAGCGGCCTTAGGAAAGAAAACTGAACATTGTCTCAGTTACTTTTCTTCTTTGTACCAGGCTTCACCAAAACACATGAAGTACCACAAAGGCAAATGAGGAAATGACTCCCCCCACCTCACACACATGGAATATTTAAACAAAAATGCCCTGCTAATCTTTAGAGATGCCAGTGTTTTCAACACATGAAAGGTACCCAGTAAATATTTAAAGAAAATACACACCGTAGGTTCTCTAATGAATTTCTTTTTCTTCTAAATACCATCTGGCAAGATGGCCAGAATCGTGGCGGTCCGTTTCATCTTAACGTTTCCATTCAGGTTTCACCTCCTTTTCCATAAGGCCTTGGTGTGAGCTGAGATTGAATGTTTAATTGAAGAGGACATAATTTTCACACATACAGCAAAGATTTGATGAGGCTTTGAGGTTTATTGTAGCCATTAAAGTGTCGTAGCTGCTGGCAAAATCCCAGAAAATGTCTAAAGCTAAACCAGATGTGATTAGCAAATTTCAAGAAGTATCAGGCCCTAGATCTCCAGGCAGGCAGAGTCTTTTAAAAAAAAAAAAAAATAGTATTAACACACCTTAACCTAATGTGAATTAACCTATGGTTATTGGTCATACTAATGTCACTGATTTAAGTAGAAGTTGTCATTAAGCATCTTTCAGAGAGGCAAGAACTTTGAATGGCATTTTTATGCAGGTAAACGTAGCATGGAATTGATAATAGTATCAACTGCAACTTATTGTGTCATTATTATCTATCAAGTGCTTTATCTATATCACCTCTTTTAATTCTGCAGTGACCTTGTGAGGCAGATACTATTTTTGACTTCTCACAAGATAAGAAAGCTGAAGTTTGTGGTGCTCAAGTAATTTGCCAGTGTTTCAGAGGTGATGATCTAGTCAAGTTTTGAAACTAGATACGACTTCTAAGGCATGTGTTCAATACATATCACGCCTGTGACCCAGAAGTCACCACATCTGATTGGAGATCAGACAGAAAGTTTTGGCATTCAAAATGTGAAGCCTCATGAAGAAAAAAATTAGAGTTACTGAACATATATACACAAGCATGCACACGTGTGCACACACTCCCAAAACCACACATGTAGACTGTCAGATCAGATAGAGTCACAGGAAGGAACTTGCTTTGGGTTGGAATTGGAAAGGGGAAGAAGTCCAGGTAGATGGATTGTCAAATAGACATACAAATAGGCACATTACATAGGACTAAGATCAGGCTTTGAGTTCAGATGTGTATGTTTTACTGGTTCAGTGAAAGTAACAGCTTGTCAAGTAGCATAATCGTAGAAAGTATTCACTTTCTCACCTGTAAAATGGGACAGTTATAGGACCTGCATCATAGGAAATAATGTCTGCACAGTTTCTTAGTGAGGGCAGCTTCAATAAAGCTGATTAAGGGCATGTACCTTTCACTGGAAAGTGCACAGCCTGTATAATCAGCCGGTGTTGCTGAGAGGCCAGCTGGCTATGTTTGTGGAGTATCTAATTCACAGAGCACTTGTGCTTGCTTCTCTACATTGTAAAGAGAGAACCAAGTTCTTGGTGCTTGGGAACATGTTCCATATTTTGTTTATTGTTCTACATCCCTTAACAAGACAATAATTTCAATTTCCCTGATACTGTGAAGTTGTAAGCAATAATTGAGAAAACACAAACAATGGCAATAGTTACTTTCATTCTCCCTCTTTGTCCTTGCTGGCTGGAACTCTCAGGGTGTTCTTACCCACCCATATGTGGTAGGCAGAATAATGCCCCCCAAGGATGTCCAAACCCTAATCCCTAGAATCTGTGAACATGTTGCCTTACATGGCAAAAAGGGACTTTGCTGATGTTGACATGGGGAGATTATCCTGGACCGTCCAAGTGGGCCTAATCTAATCACATGAATCTTTAAAGTCAGTCTTTAAACGCTGAGGACTTTCCCTGGCTATGATCAGAGGGAGATATAACGACGTAAGAATGATCAGAGAGATGTAATGTCGCTGGCTTTGAAGATGGAGGAAGTGGGCCGTGAGCCAAGGAATGTGGGAAGCCTCTAGAAGTGGAAAAGGCAAGGAACAGATTCTCCCTAGAGCCTCTAAAAGGGAGTACAGCCCTGTCAGCACCTTGAGTTTAGCCTGTGAGTCCCATGTCAGACTTCTAACATATAGAACTAAAAGGTGATATATTTCTGGTGTTTTAAGCCTCCTAAGTTTGTGCTAATTTATTATAGTAGCAATCAGAAACTAATACACCAAGGAGTGGACTCTTCTTTCTGATTGCACCAGTTAATACCAGAGACAGACACACACACATACACAAACACACACATGCGCGTGCAGCATTGCTGAAACTATAGATGTAGGATTCGTCAAATAGTAGCACCTAAAAATATTACCTGAAATGTGAACTGGAACTGTTGTTCTCTGAAAGAGTCTATGATCAAATAAACCTGGACATGCTCTGTACGAAAATCATATCCTAGGGATTCAAAGCACATGAGCTTATTAAAGCCTCTGGGAAGTTCTGTAGTTAAAAAAAAGTTTAATGCTGTTTAAAACAGCATTTCCTAACTTAAAGCATGAAACATTGGCTTGCTTTCTTTTCCCTTTCATTGTCTACTTAGTAATATTTTTACAGAGCATAAGTTGTGTAAAAGGTACTTTAAGAAGAAAGGATATTGATTGTACTAGCAACACGGTTGTTGGTGAAATGATATTACTGGGTCCTGCCTGCAGGAGTCAGGATCTCTAGTAACGTAGGGGAGGGCAGGTCTGACTTAGCAGAAACAAGGCCACATGTCATTACTTACCGCTTGATCTCATTCTTTTTTTTTTTTTTTTTTTTTTTTTTTTTTTTTGAGATAGGTTCTTGCTCTATTGCCCAGGCTTGAGAGTAACAGCACAATCATGGCTCACTGAAACCTCAATATTCTGAGCTCCAGCAATCCTCCTACCTCAGCCTCCTAAGCAGCTGGGACTACAGATGTATACCACCACGCCCAGCTAATTTTGTAAATTGTATTTTTTGTACAGACAGGGTCTCACTGTGTTGCCTAGGCTAGTCTCAAATTTCCTGGGCTCAAGCGATCCTCCGGCCTTGGCCTCCCATAGTGCCAGGATTACAGGCATGAGCCACCACTGGACCTGATCTTACCCTTGATCAGTTTTGTTTTCATTTTCATTTGGGGTTATGTGTGATGTCCTTTTCTCTTCCTATTACTGCAGTTGATCAAGAGTTGACTATGAGTAGGAGGGAGGAATGCTAAGAACTGGTTGCTAATCTAATGGATATTCAACTTTGTGTTACTGTGGGAGGGGAAACGGTTCCTCTGTCCCTGCTCTTCAGCAGCTTTTAATGCAAGTTTGCCTCGTCACCATCCTCTTTGATTCTGGCTTCTTACAGCCATGCTGGCTCTTGTTCTGTCAGGAATCAATGTATCTGTCCACTCCGATGAAAGTGTGGCCCTTGCCTGAGTCAGTCAGTGCTATTGGGCCCCAAAGAGAATTTAAGAAAGTGTTTCCTGTTGATATTATCTTAGGAAGCAAAATGGTTCTTCCTTACTCTTAGGGTTGTCAAATTTATTAAATAAAATTCAGGAGGCCCAATACTTTTCTTTCAGGGTTTTTTTTTAAATGTAAGTGTATCTCAAATATTGCATGGTACACACTTACACTAAAAAATTTTTTCTTATCTGAAATTCTAATTTAACTTGGTGTACTGTTTTTTATCTGGCATGTCTGTAGAGAATCTAAAAGCAATAATAAAGTCAACTAGAAGTCAGTTCGTTTTTTATTATCATTATGCACTAGCAATTCTAAACAATGGCAGCAATAAAATTCTCCTCCCTACCAGTGTAGACAGTGGACAAAGGGTCTATAAATGTGGTTAAGGGTGTGGCGTGTGTCCATTTCCACCATCACTAATGACAACACTTACCATTTAATGAGCACTTAATACCAGCAAATTTGCTTACATCATTTCTATTTCTTAAAACTCCTTCAAAGTAAGTGTTATTACCTGTGTTGTTACAGTAAGGAAGTGGAAGTTACTTTGCTACTACTGGCAAAGCTGAAATTTGAAACAGGTTTATCTGTGCCGTACTTTGTTCCTTTACAGTTTGCAGGCTCACCCTAAAAGCACAAAAAATGTGATCCAGAATGATAAAGTTTGAAGAATAAGCCCCACTTCGTTCTGTGGCTCATCTTCTAAAGGGACTACAGATAAAAATTGGATTGAATTCAGGCTTTCTCTTGTCTCTACATACAACCACTCAACCAGTCTGCCTATTGTAGTCTCTCTCCTTCCACCTCCTGCCTGTCAATATTTTTCAGTTTCTCTGACTCCCTCTCTGTCTCTCTGACATTGACCTAGCCTCTGTTTTATTCCTTCGTGACCCAAAAGAAAGCATACTAGTCTGATGTGGCTAACTGAACTAATAGCAGAGGACTAAAGGGCCATCCCTGGGCAACCTGCAAGGTTTTGTTATCTCTTCCATGTGTGGAAGTTAGATGTATTGGGCTCCTGATGTAGATGAGAAGGTAAGGGAATTTTCCAGAACTTGTCAAGTCACATAAGAGGGTGAGCTATGCTTCCTGTGCTCAAGACCAGCCCTGACCCTGCAAAACGAATGACCTCTGCCACCTGGTGTCTTCAAGTGGCTTTCCCTCCATGAGAGTTTAAATGCTTCTTGTAAGAGGAAAAAAGACAAAAATTAGATCTTGTCATGAGGGTGAAAATTTTCTTTAATTACTAATTAAAACATGGCCCATAAACAACAATATGGTTCTAGTAAGGGGGAAAAGTCACTTTGGAAACCTTTTGGAGGACTTTGGTGGAAACGTCATTGATTGAACACTCATCAAGGACTGAACACTCATGGAATTTCAGTTCCTTTTGAAAATTTCTAGAACGATAGTAGAATTCTTTAAAAGCATCAATTTTAAAGCATAGAGAGAACCACAAAATTTTGGAAACTCAAAAACAGATGTATACATGATAAATGAATTAATCAAACAAGAAAGCTGAATTCTAATCCAGGAGTGATAGGAGGTGAGAAGCAATCCAACTTTTACTATAAGACTTACATGTACCACAAGTTTGTGCATATTTATACAAACATGCAGAAAGTCATACATATTTGTACATAAATTAATACAGTCATTTAAAATGTCTAAAAATGTTGGATGAGTTCCTAATTTTAAAAGGCCTAAAAAGTTTTAATGTTTTAATAATAGTATAAATCTGTTTTACTCCCCCGTATTTGATTAATATACAAAATATACAAAAAATATGCAAAAACAAAAAACCCCACAATGAAATGAAGCTTTGTGAATGGCAGTTAAGTTTCAATGGCATAGGCTGGGGTGTTGACAATAGCACTGAACTAGGATTTAGGAGACAAAAGTTTAAAGTTAATTCTGCCACTTACCATGTGATATTTGACTAATATGGGGGAAGTAAAACAGATTTATACTATTACTAGAACATTTCAGAATACTTAGGACAAAAAGAAAAGCTCACCCCCTTCTAGGAGTAGGTGGGATGTGGGGATGGATTACACACACAGTCAGGAAACAGAATGACTTCAGACTTTTCAGTAGCATTACTAAAAGCTACAAATGCATCAGGATTCTGAAGAAAAATTATTCCCAGTCCAGAACCTTATATCCACCAAACTATTAGTCAAATATGAGGACAGATTAAAAACATTTTGAGACATGCAATTTCTCAAAATACTTATCTCCCATACAGTTATCTTCAGGATGCTACTAAAGAAAGTGCTGTCCCATTAAAGAGGAAGACATAGGTCACAGGAAATAAAAATTCAGTGGAGAAGGAAGGTGAATGGAGCCTCCAGCACAGAGAAAAAGCCCAGGATGGCAGCCAGACATTGAAAGAAAACATTTCAGATTTGATTAAGTCAAAAGCATCATGGAGAAGGTTCTTAAGGAATACACAATTAATACATCTAATATATCTGAACGTTTGGACAAGAGATTTTATACAACTAGTAACAAGTGTGAGGTTCATTTAACGTTAAGCTCATAGAAAACAAACTAAATCAGAAAAAAAAATTCTGAGAGCAAGTGTGAGAGAAAGAGGAAATGTGCGGGAAATGTGGAATAATCAGAGTTTCCATATATCAGCTGGGACTGCGAGTTGTTTTTGCAAAGTCATAATAATGTCAACACCAAACGCTAGTCTAACCAAGTCATGGTACCGTGTGCTATATTGGGGTGATGGAAGTGAAGAGGCGGGAGTGAAGGAAAGAACTACATCATTTATAGTTGATAAAGAGAAAAATAAAAAAAAAACAATAGAAGCTTGTTAGAGACATACTACTAAGCACCAAATAATCACATAAAATTGGTAAAAGAGGTAGCCTCTGAGGAGGAAGAATTGAGGAAATGGTGGGGTGGAGATGGGGGACTGCTGTTCTTAAAGTGCATAGAATGTACTGATTCTTTAAACTGCGTGCACGTATAACTTTGACAAATACATAAAAACAAAAAATCCCACAATGAAACAAAGCATTTGTGAATTTGTTAAGTTTCAATGACAGAGGCTGGTGTGTTGAAAATAGTACTGAACTGAGATTTAGGAGATGTAAGTTTAAAGTTAATTCTGCCTCTTATCACATGATAAACCATGCACTTTGCCACATCACTTAGCCTCTGTGACTCTCAACTGAAAAAAAAAATGGAGCCGATCATACTTCTGGATTCTGCCCAACACAAAGGGATATTGAAAGGGTCAGATGAGGCGATGCCTGAGGAAGTACCTCAGGAGGTGTGAGGTAGTACTTAAATTCCTGAGAGGCCTTGCAGTCTGCACTTTACTCAATGGATGCTGGTGTGTTCTAGAAGGGAGAGCAGGGTATTGATCATTAGGACAGGTCTGGCTAATTTATCACCTTTTGGGAAGCTCCAGAAGACATGACTTGAATGATTATTGACCATGTCTAATTTATTAGCTCTTTCCTCCTTCACAGCCCATTTGTCCACAGCAGTAGTTTACTAAGTCTGAGCTCTGGTACGAGACTGGATACATTAGCCAGAGTCCTGACCATGTTGCCATGGTGTTAAAAATATTTAGTTTTGCAAGCAAAGTTTTAGAAATAATAAAAAAAACTTTGATATGATTTATTTTTGTAAAATGATTTCAACAAAACAGACCTAAGGAACTGGGATAAGTATTTCAGAAAAGCAGTGGGTGTAAAATGTGGATCGGCATGGTGACTTTTGATGCAAAGCATTCAATTAATTGAGCATGGTGACTAAAGGTCACACATTTCCCAAATGAAATGCCTTCAAAGACAAGTTGTACAGAAAGGAGAGAGGAAACTGAAACTTGATTCATCCGTTTAATTAATGGAAGAAGTTTGTGTTTTCCTTTGAAGCTGTGATTGTGACATTTCTAGGTGGGAAGGATGAGTTATGTTGTCCTGGTTTCCTCCTCTCAGTTTGCACCCTCTATTTCTACCCTCTATTTTATAAAAACACGTGGTTAATAGAATGTGTTTTGTTGAGTTTTTTTCTTTGACAAGAAACATAAAATATTGAAATAAAAGCTGCAATCATAGAAAAGTCTGGGTCAGAAGTCCTGAATTCAAATCCTTGCTTCACAAGCTTTGTAACCCTTGGCAAATCATTTCATCCCTGACATTTCAGTATCCTCATATAAAAATGAGTGTAAGGCTACCTGCTCCACTGATTGTTTAAGAGGATTTACTGGGATCCCACAAAGGAAATCCCTTTTCATAGCATATGCCAAATGTGTCATACTTTTCCTTGATTCCTTTTGTGCTCTCATGTCTGACAGCTAGTCCTGTTGACTCTTAACTTCAAAAAGTGTCTGGAATCAATTCATTGCTCTCCATCTCCACACCTACTGCTTTTGTAATCCAAGCTACCACCTTCTCACCTGGCCCATATCAAGCAGGTTTCTCTGCTTCCACTCTTGGTCTTCCTTTGTCTCCACCTGCCGCATAGGTCACAGCACTCTGTTATTTCATCTTCATTCCTCTTGGAATCAAATCCAACCTCATACTCATGCCGTACAAACTGATTTAACCACTTCTGCCTTTCCAGTCTTCTCTCACACCACTCACCCCTCCTGCCCACTAAACTCCAGCCACACGGGCCTTCTTTGTGTTCCAACACGATGTACTTGTTCCTGCTCTAGGATCATTGCAGTAGTGGGTCCCTCTCCTAGAAAGCCCTTCTGCCAGATAGGCCCATGCTCTGAGCCTTCCTTGCCCACCCACTCTTCAGGAGGCACTTTGAATAGGCACTGTCTATTACAGCCTTCGTTTTTCATATTACTTTCACATATTCATATTTCATATTATTTTCTATTTATTTGTTTGTAAATTTTCTCTTCCTCCACCAGCTTCATGAAGGCAGATATATGACCTTTTTTATGTTTATATTTACTGTGCTGGTCAGCACTTTCCACGTATTTGTTGTCAATATTTGGTAAATGGGTGAATGAATGAGCAAATGAACAATGGAAGAAATGACTCAACTTCAGATAATCGCTGACTCTGCTATTAGTGAGAAATTAGATCACTTCCTTATGGCCAAAGATGTCAGATAAGCATCCGTGAGTAGAATCTTTTAGAGGGACAGATTTTAAAGCTGTCTGAAGAGAAAACTGATGGCCTTGAGCAGTAGTGGGTTCCTCACCCACTGCTTGCTGGAAGATTGTATTATGTGGGTGGGTAGAGGAGGTACCATTAGACAAGTAGTTTGCTAGATGATTTTGAAGGTATATTCCAACTCCTGAATTTCTGAGATGATTATTCTTACTATGCTATTTCAGTGCATTCTATAATTCTCCTTGTTCATGAAGGGTTACTGTATTGAATTCCTCCCTAGACTGACTTAATTAGAACAACTGAAAAATCCTAGGAATTCTGACCATTTGCAAGACTTTTTTTTAAAAAGTCAACTTTCAAATTATATCAGGCTTGCATCTCAGGTATTCTCTTTGTAAATGACTCTGAACAATCTCTTGAATTAATTCATGCCTCAAAAATTCTTGTGTTGATACCATCTATCCTTTTTTTTTTTTTTCCTGAGACAGAATATTGTTCTGCCACCCAGGCTGGAGTGCAGTGGCACAATCTCGGCTCACTGCAACTTCCGCCTCCCGGGTTCAAACGATTCTCCTGCCTCAGCCTGCAAAGTAGCTGGGACTACAGGCACCCGCCAGCATGCCCAGCTAATTTTTTGTATTTTTAGTAGATACTGGTTTTCATCATATTGGCCAAGCTGGTTTCAGACTCCTGACTTCAGGTGATCCACCTGCCTTGGCATCCCAAAGTGCTGGGATTACAGGCATGAGCCACCATGCCCAGCCGATACCATCTGTCTTTATAGAGCAGAGCGCTTATCCAGTGTGGTAGGTTAATGGAAAAAAATTGGCCAAAATTGGGAATCATGGAAAATGACACTTGTATCCCTTAACACTTTAACTTACAACAAATTAAATGTTGTATCCTTTGTCTGTATTCTGATGCAGGGATGAAGCTTTTACTTGAATTATGAATCTGTCGAATGCAGTCCTATAGGTCTTCCCTACATACTCCATAATGACAGCATCTGTAATTTCCCTACTGTATTTTTAAAGTTCAGTAAAGACTCTTGCAAATATCACCATAGAATCTTTCTAGATATTTATAATTGTTCTCAATCTTTTAAAACTGTGTTTCCCACACTTTTTAAACAATACACTTTAATTTTTATTTTGGAATAATTTTTAAATTGCAGAAAAGTTGCAAAGAGTAGAGAGTTCTCATATAGCTCTTCTCAGTTACTTTCCCCATTCTTGGCATCTCACACTGCTGTGATCCATTTGTTAAAACTGAGAAACTGGCAATGATACATTTAGATTGACTGAATGCTAGTTTTTATATGGATTTCACTGGTTTTTCCATTTTTGTCCCCTTTCTGTTCCAGGACCTAATCCTGACTACCACATTGCATTTAGTTGCCATGTTTCCCCAGTTTCCCCTGGCCTTCTATACCTACATTTAACAGCAATATTTTAGCTTCTTTCATTAAAACTTATAGAAATAGTACCTTTTGACAGTCATATATCTGGTTTACCATCAAGTCATTAAATTACATAATTTCAATAAAAAGAACAACAGGAATAAACAGGTTTAGAAACAACACAAGTGCTTTTGATCAGGATTCTGCTCGATAGCTGGAAGACTGAATCAAGTATGAGGACTGGAAAATAGCATTAATTTGGCAAGTTCATTAACAAAGTATCCTTGATATTTCCTGTTTTTTTGGTTTTTTAAAGGTACTCTTGTAATTATAATGGTGATACTTTACCTGCCTATGGTGCTTCATCCTCCCAAGTGAGTAGGGCAGGCATATGCAGCTTGGAAAACAGAGTCTTCGAGATAGGAAGCAGCATGGCCGGGATCACCCAGCCAGGCACAGAACTCAGGTCCTTGACTGCCAAGCCAGCGCCCAAGCTACCATACCATGAGCTTGTATTGGGTCAAAACATTTTCTTTACAGAAATAGAGTAGTGGATAGTTTTGTGAATATCAAAATACTTTTTCTGCCTAAGTAAGTTGTATATCTTTGACTCTGTGGAAGATTCACAATCCACAGAGAGATTCTTCTCATGTCAGTCAACCAAATGAGTGAAGTTAGAGGGAGACCTCCTTAGCCCCTGCAAAGGGGACTGGAGTTTTTGCCAATATCCTTATCTCTCGTAGATTCTTTCCCAGATAGCTCAACCTCAGCGTGGCTCCTAGGTGGATAGGGGCCATGAACTGTGACTCTACCTTTTAATACTCCTGGAAAGATCACAGACCTACCAGGAAATTGACAGCCCTGGTTCCAGTCTCTGCCATGCCACTTACTAACCTAACCACCTGGTAGGCCTTTTCCCCATTTGAAATGACAGGATCCCAGTGGTGGCACTTGGTGATTTTTTTAGCTTTTATTAATTCCTTACAGTTGACAAAGCATTCACATAGGTGTCCCATAGTTTTTTCTAGAACTTTCCTGTAGATGGTGAAAGTAGGAGGTGGCATATTATAAGGGCAGGGGGTCTGTTACCCCTGGATTCAGATCCTGACTCAGCTACTTACTGTCTGTGTGACTTTACTAATACTCACCAAAAAGGGGACAATAGCAGGAAAACTTTCATAGGGTAAGATGAGATAACACATAAAGCAGGCTGAGGGCTAAGACACCCTTGGCCATTTAAGGGCCATTTGCTTTTGATTATACAGTTTGAAAATTTGTTGTTGTTTTCAAGGAATTACTGAGTGAGAGATAAATGGCAATATGTCCAAGTCAGCATGGAGGACCAGGACCCGCTGGACCAGAAACTTTTCCTCTGCCATAGTAAACAGAAAGGGGAAACGCCCAAGGAACATTTATAATGGCTAATGTACTAACAGTGCTAATTTGGTTGTGTTTTTAAACCTTTTCTGGACCATTTTGATGGTCTTTAAAAAGTGTCATCAAATCTCCGGGTATCAAAGAAAAAACTACAGAATACGAGACAGATCTTGTTTGACCTTTTCAATCAATTAATTTGTTCAGCAAATATTTATTCTTAGCACTGAGTTCACTGCGAATTTTAAATAAACTCACTGAAAGATCAAGTCCTTTATAAACACATTTTAAGGGTAAGTTTTATCCCCATTTTCTAGGGGAGAGATTTATTCCTACTTCTGATTTCTCTTCTGCTCAGGAACAGGAATCTGACTGTACCTGAGAACAGAGATAATACTTGTCAGTCTGTTAGAGGGTAAACAGAGGGAAGGTATATAGAATTTTCCCTCCAGCTGTTCTGAAGATTCATAAAAACATCTGCAAAGCCCTTCCTGACTGTGATCCTGAAGAGAATCAACTAATACTTGCCACCTTGGTTTCAAGGCATTATATACCTTGGAATTACAAACATCTAATTTTTTTTTCAATCCATGACATACCTTTTCCTAACTCCACCAAATCCCAAAGTTGAGTGTTTAAGCTGGGCTTGATATTCGCTATATATAGCTAATATAGGCCGGGCTTGGTGGCTCACACCTGTAATCCCAGCACTTTGGGAGGCCGAGGCAGGCAGATCACGAGGTCAGGAGTTTGAGACCAGCCTGACCAACATAGCGAAATCCCGTCTCTACTAAAAGTACAAAAAATTAGCTGGGCGTGGTGGCAGGCACCTGTAATCCAAGCTACTCAGGAGGCTAAGGCAGGAGAATCGCTTGAACCCAGGAGGCAGAGGTCACAGTGAGCCGAGATCGCGCCATTGCACTGCAGCCTGGTGACTGACAGTGCAAGACTCTGTATCAAAAAAAAAAAAAAAAAAACAACTAAAATAAAATTGTGAATCATAACCAATGGCGTATTCATTAATGAAATGGAGTAAAAATAAAAAGGCGGCTAATCTAGGAATAATTGAATGATGGAGCGGTTTTGCTGAGTCATATTACATATACCTGACTCATCCCAAAGACAGAGACAAATTCCTTGCGCTCCCCAGGCCAACAGGAGATAGCTTGGAGGGGCCTCCATGACTTTAAGTTTTATCACCTAGTCTTATTAACATCAGGGCTGAAGATGTTAGAGAGTTTAATAGGCATTTCAGAATCTGTGACACCTAGCCTCTCAGTGGATACTATTTATTTGTCATTTCAGCCGTCTTGTTCTTCTCAACATCAGCCCTGCCCAGAACTCCCCCTCTCCTCTAGCAGTCCCCCATCCTTCCTCAGATGCTTACACACACTCACTTTACGTATAACCACGTAATAGCCTCCTGTTAAAGGCTCCAGCAGCTCATCATCTCTAGCCTGACAGGCCCTAGGATGCAGACTACCAGGGGCTGCTGGACCAGAAACTGTCCCTGCGCCATAACTCAAGAGAGAGGTAGGATCAATGACAGATTTACAGGAGAGCACAGTTTTAAATAGCTGAGATCAGTGTCTGGAGGCTTCCCGTTAATACCACTAACGGCGTCCAGCAAGCGAGACTATTGGCCACTTTGTTACCCACTCTAAACTGTTTCTGATATTCAACTCTATTTTCAAACACATCCTAAGAAATCCCTACTCCCCCAAAATTGACAATGCAGCCTTCTTTATATGAAACCTTGTTTATAGGCCACAATTCTCCCGACAGATTTACAAGTGTCTGTGGAGTTTTAAAAGACGATTGCTTAACAGGCATTAAGTGAGACACATAGGACTGTGTAAATATTTTAGCTGGAATAGGATTTTTTTAAATGTCTGAGCCAAATATTGCATTAAATCTGAAGACAGTGGCAAACTGATTAGCAGTGGCTGCCAGCTCCATGCTTTGCCAGTGATTCTGGAGCCAAGACTAGATACCAGAATTCATCCACCAGATTAGGTTGTGTGTTTTAAAAATAACTTTCCATCCTTTTTTTTTTCCCTCTCTTCTCTTTATGCCTTTCTGTCATTTCTCCTTTATTCCCTCATGGTTCATTTAGATGTAAACACTTTCCAGAGTAGAAAATTACAGTTAATGTGACTAACCAGCGAGGGCTGAAACGGGAACATGGGCTCAGAGGTCAGAGAAACCGTGGAAGACTTGCAGCTGTCCTGGTGGAGCAATGTGGGGACAGGTTGCTTTTTACTAATAGGCCTTGTGTATCTTAATCACTGGCCTCTTTGTAGCCAGCTGTTGCACTGCTGGAAGGGGACTAGTCCTAAGACCAGCATTGCTGTAATACCTCTTCCTCTTACTGATTTCCTTGATTCATAAAGAGGCTCAGGCCTGTGGCCTTCAAGACGTGTATGTGTGAGAGAATCCTCAATTCTAGTAAAAATTGCCACAAAATATGCATTTTGACTTCAGAGGACATATTTAGTATTTAAGCATTCCTATAGGAGTACTATTTTCCTGATTAGAGCAGTGGATAAGATGTGTTGCTATAATTTTGGGAGGAGTGAGGCGTTCTAGCTAACAACTTTGCTCTGCCTTTGCTGACTTTTAACCATTGTCTTGCACTAATGATACCTGTATGCTTCTTGAAGTACTATTCAATGGGAGTGCCCCAAAATATAGGCTCTATATGTTCTTCACAAATGACTTGAATTGCAATCGTATGTCCAAATGATTACTTGATATTGTTGATTGGAAAGTCTGAGCATTTAAAATTTTGTGTGCTCATAATTATATAAATGTATATTACAAAACTCTGAGTGTTTGATGTAAGTTTGCTGTACACTTCCCCCAAGTTCAGACAGCTTTGCTAGTGCTGACAGTAGCATAATTTACATTCCAATTAAACGTGACACATTAGGGCCTTTCAAAAAAAAAAAAAAGAGCTACTTTCATGCACAGGCCTCAAACCTAGTTTTATGCTGTGATTAATCCCCAATTTCTATATCAACTCTCATATATCACCAGTTATGGTCTTGTGTTTGAGTAAATTACTTCAGTGGATGGATGGTCCTCTTACTGTTTTCCATTCCAGAGTTTTGCACTTCCAATGTGATGACCGTAGTCCCTACATGACAGTGACAGGCACCGTTCTAGCTTGCATGGAGCCAGCCACCTCTGCAGAGTGGTACAGAAAATGGTTTTATTTCCAAAATCTCTCCCCTTCATCTCTCCCATTGTGGTACAACCCATTTTGTACCAAAAACAGTTTGACCACTAATATCAAGAATTCTACAAAGGTTTTTCCTTTTTACCTATAATTTCATTTCTTGTATCTTTTATCTTTGTATCTTGTATCTTTAGGTCATTTCCTAAAGAAATGACCCTCAACCTAGAATAAGTTTGTATGGACACAGATGTGGCTCAAGCCTGACTCCCCATGAGAATAAGGTAGAAAGGATTTCACTATCCAACTACAGGAGAATTAAGTGAGCTATGGCATGCCTACCTGATGAAATTTTATATGGCTGTTAAACATGCTTGTGGAGTTTGTGAAATAACAGGAGAATGTGTGCATGATATGTTAATAGAAAGAATCAAAATACAAAAAAATTCTTTATCAAATATAAGTAAGGCAACCCCCATAAAATGATGGAGGGGCAAGGAGCGCGATACCGAGGCCCAGACCCTGAAAGAGAAAGTATGCAAGTCTTAGATGGTGACTGTGTTTTGGTCATGGTGTCATGACCGATTTGTTTTTTCTGCTGTTTTAAAAATGTTTTTCAAATGTCTTTGTGTGTATATGTTACCTTCCTAATACTTTTTAGAAGTTAGTCGCTGCTCTCCTCCCGAAGATGAGTTCCCTTCCCCTTCAGAGGCCCGGTACCTCCATGCCTGGGCTGCCTGCCTAGGACCCCTGCCACACAGTCCACCTCGATGCCAGAGCTTGCAGTATGTGCCTTTTTCTTCCATGTTAACACAACTTTCCTACCTATTGTTTTTGAAATCCCCTACCTCCTAAACCAATCTTAGAAATACATTTCTACTAAAGCATTAAATTATTCTTGACAATGTTTTCTTTTTCAACGAATACATATGCATTTCTAATGAAATTTCTGGAGTTACCATCTTTAATTCAAGGGAAGGCTTCTCATGGTGGCGATTTTTGTGGGGACCAGTGAAAGGGATGTTTTTGAATAAATGTTTGAATCGCTTAACACCCTATAAATCAAATCATGCCCAATCCATCTATATTTAGGCCTCGTCATGGGTAGGTGATTAATGAATATGTTTCATGCTAATGTCTCGCAGACCGAGGCTGCGTCCGTAACCACATAATCATCACAGTGGAAATTCTGACTCAGCTGTGACGTTTGGTAGGCGGGACCTTTGAATGGTGCTTTAGACAATTCCGTGCAAAGGCTGTAGTCAGTGGCCCAGCTTTGCAAGTCTTTCCAAAAGTCCTAAAGCGCACTAGCATGTCCTCACTTGGCCCTGTCACCTCTGCTTAAATTTTTTCATGGAGAATACTCACTCCCAATCATGGTACATTAAGGTGAATTTGATCTTGGGCAGCCTCCCTCAGTGGAGTGAATCAGAATCATGGGATTCCCCTGGACTCCAGCTTCCTGGTGGGTTTATTTTTATGGAACATTCCTCTGGAGAAAGAGGCAGCCGCTCTGTAAAGGGCTAGACCTCTTCTGCACGTGATCAAAGTAGCCCTAGAGAATATCTTCTTGTATGGAATGATTTTTATGACATGATGGCTTTGGGAGTTTTCTTGAAAAATTAAAGGAAGAATCTTTCTAAGGAGTCCTACTACCATGAAAGGAAACTATCAAAAACATCCCAGGCAGATAAGAACTAAATCAGTTTTAAAGTCACCAAGAAAACAACACTTCCATGGCCTCATTTGATCTTTAGCACTTGACCAGGAAAACTAGAGCTATCTTTTAGGCTTAATTCCAACGACTTCCCCATTTTGGCGTTCTTTCTGTAGCTTAACTTCTTAAACAAGTGGCTACAGAATCTTTCTCCATTTACCTCACGCCTCTCCAAGCTGGCTTTTTCCCCGCACCCCCAACTTCCCTGGAACTGCTTTTGAGATTACAAGTGACCTCTGTGTCACTAGAATCAGTGTTATTTCTCTGTCTTCATCTCACTTGATCCTTCTGCACAGAGCTGACTGCTCTTTCTTTCCTGCAATTCTGTTTTCTTCTCAGGTCATGTAACTCCAGACCTTCACTTTCCTACTGACCAGCTCTTCTCTGTTCATTGCTGGCCTCTCCTCCACTGTGCACATGCCCCAGGGTTTGTCCTGCAACACCTTCTCTTCCTTGGCTGTATTCTCCCCATGGCAATTCATATTTTGCTATCACTTTAAATACCAATTTTATACCAATGACTTCCTGGCATGTGTGTCTACTCCAGCCATGAGTCCCAGACTGCAGACTTTTATATATACTTGAGTGTCTAATTCACATTTCAAACTTAATGTGCTCTAAATAACACCTTTGATTTTCCACCTCGAGCTTGCTCATGACTCCCTCCCTTACTCTGATTAAATCTCTAGTCAAATAGCTTCACAGTGAGACTTTTCCTAACTACTTTAAGTAAAATTGCAAGCCCCTTATGTCTGTGACACTTTTCCTAACCAGGCTGGTCACCAGCCTTTTCACCGTTCACCTGAGTGTGTAACCTGGGATACCTTTGGGGCCCAGAAGCTTTTCTCCCCTACGCACACTCTTTCCTTTACACCAAAATCTGAATGCAGAACACCAGTGATCTGAGGAGAGAAGGTCCCACAGCTCCAGACATGCTACACCACTTAACTCATTCAAATGGCCCGTGCGTTCTCATCATGTATTACTTTTATTCATGACATTTCACCTTAATTCTCTTTCCTCACTGTGGTTGAGGGCTAGCTCCTCCTTGACCTTTGCAGTTCAACTCATAAGTTTTCTCTCCTGGAGAGCCTTTCCTGGCTACTAACTCCTGGCCCAGTCTGAAATAGAGGCCTATACCCAGCGTTCCATCACACCACACTATATCACAATTTGTTCATTTCCTTGTTTCTCATTGTTGCTAGACTGTGAATGTTTTTTAGAGGAGAAATGACCAGTAGGTCTCATTAAATATTTGTCCCCAACATTTAGCTCAGTGGCATACAGCAGATACTTGGTAAGTATTTTGAATGTATGAATGTTTATGGAACCCGGACAGGGATTTAAAAAAAAATGTGTATCTCGTATCT
This sequence comes from Homo sapiens, assembly GCF_000001405.40. Classification (NCBI taxonomy): domain Eukaryota; kingdom Metazoa; phylum Chordata; class Mammalia; order Primates; family Hominidae; genus Homo; species Homo sapiens. Next base: position 32,868,729 of record NC_000015.10, on the reverse strand, counting down.
GAATGAGTGAATGTGAGTGAAAGTGGGTGAATGAGTGAATGTCAGTGTACTTGTGTCTTCTCCAGCCCCTGCCTCCATCTACATGTATTATACAAATGAAGAGAGATGTTTTTCACGTGTCGGTGTATGTGCATATGTCTGTGTCTACATATACATACATACAGTCATGTGTCACTTAACAACTGGGATATGTTCTGAGAAATGTGTCGTTAGGCAATATCATCATTGTGCAAACATCATAGAGTGTACTTACACAAACATAGATGGTGTAGCCTACTTCACACCTAAGCTAGATGGTATAGCCTATGGCGTCTACGCTACAAATCTGCACAGGTTTCTATACTGTTACAGTCCCCAACATTATTCAGTAGAATACTGAATATAGTTAACAGTATATTACAGTACTACTGGCTGTACTATACTGTAACTGTATTCAGTATTCTGCTGAATACTGTAGGCAATTATAACACAATGGTAAGCATTTGTGTATCTAAACAAAGGAAAGGTAATGCCTTGCTCTACAGTGTTACAAAGGCTACATCATCACCGGACTATCAGAATTTTTCAGCTTCATTATAATTTTATGGCACCATTGTTTTATATGTGGTCCATTATTGACAGAAGCATCATTCTGAGGTACATGAGTGTACATGTACTACAGCCAAATTCTGTCAAGACACTAATATCCATACTGCACATGTGTAAGTTTCTCCCCTTTAACTGGTAGTTTATTCATTTATTTAGCAAATACCCATGGAACAGCTTTCACTAGATAGACATTACAGTAGATGCTGGAGATTTAACAGTAAGAAAAATACAGTTTCTGCCTAATGAGGGAGACAATCCAATAATCATGAAAAGGGGAAAGGTATACAGTGCTATGACTTTGTAACAGAGGGTCTCTCATCACAGAATGGAAGGTGGAAAAGAAATCCTGATGGCCGGGCGCGGTGGCTCACGCCTGTAATCCCAGCACTTTGGGAGGCCGAGGCGGGCAGATCACGAGGTCAGGAGATTGAGACCATCCCGGCTAACATGGTGAAACCCCGTCTCTACTAAAAATACAAAAAATTAGCCTTTGCACAGGGAGCGGGGGGCAGGGGGCTGAGGCAGGAGAATGGCGTGAACCCATGAGGCGGAGCTTGCAGTGAGCCGAGGAGATCACACGACTGCACTCCAGCCTGGGTGAAAGAGCGAGACTCCGTCTCAAAAAAAAAAAACCTGATGAGACTTCTGAGCTGAGGTCGTAATGATGACTAAGCACTGACTAGGTCCTGGTTACTAGGAAGTGAAGGAGAGTGGCATAGCAGGAGAACACCATAATGGGAAGAAGTGAGCATGTTTGAGGAATGGAAAGAAGGGCCACTGTGGCAGGGAGAGCAGGGTGAGGCTGGGAAGGCAGGCAAGACGTAGCGCATGGAGGGCCTTGCAGGCCAGCTTGAGGGATTGAAGACAACCTCTCAGAGTAATAGAGGTGCCTGCAGGTTTAAGCAGGGGACTGGCATAATGAGATTTTATAAAGGTCACTTTGACTCAGGTATGGAGAACAAATCAGAGAGAGGCAGGGTGGATATGGGAAGAACAGTTAGGCTGAGACTATAGCAGCCTGGTGAAGAGTAATGAATTCAGGAGTTCCGTAGGAGGTGAAACTGTGGGCTAGCTGTGTAAACTTGGGAGACACATCCCAGATATGGTTACTGAAATGTTTACCTGGATGACATTGTCTAGACAGAGAGCATAGCATGGGAGGAGGAGCAGCCTTATGCCAAACCCTAGAGAACTTTAACGTTTAATGACTCTGTATAGGAAGATGAGGCTGCATAGGAAACAGGGCAGGCAGAAGTAGGAGGAAAGCCCACAATGGGGAACACAGACGCTAAGGGACAAAGTGTTTTACAAAGGAGAAGTAGTCAAGATGCAGAATCCTGCTGGGTTGTCAGCGAAGGAGATACAAAATGAGGACACTGCCCACAGGATGGGTTAATTAGTGACTTCAGAGTGCTTTCTCAGTGTCACAATGGGGAGGAAGTAAATTTCAGTGGGTCATGAAACAAGAAATAGGAAAAAGTGAGTATTGCAAATTTTAAAAGACAGTTGGACTGGGAAAATGATTAGACTGTAACATGATTTGTTTATTAAACACACAAACATTAGGAATGTCAGTTATTCAAAGAGTTTGTGAGGTTGCTGTTATTGTTTAGCTCTTCTTGGAAACAAAGAATAAAGCCGCGTACAGTATGTTATCTAGCCAGCCTTTCTACTGTTTGATTATTTAAAATAGCTGAAGAATATTTTGGCTAGCGTTTTACTATTCAGCATACAAAATGCTTTTTTTTCACATGTTTATTTAGTCCTCACAAGATTTTATGTATCAAGAAACTAAGAGTCAGATATTAAATAACTTTTCCAGCCAAATAGAGTGTATGAAAAACTAAGAATAAATGCATCTTTAAATCAAGAGTAGTTCAAAGGGGAAATTTTTTTTCTTTTTTCTTTTTTTTTATTATACTTTAAGTTCTAGGGTACATGTGCACAACGTGCAGGTTTGTTACATATGTATAGATTTGTCATGTTGGTGTGCTGTACCCATTAACTCGTCATTTACATTAGGTATATCTCCTAATGCTATCCCTCCCCACTCCCGCCACCCCACAACAGGCCCCGTTGTGTGATGTTCCTCAAAGGGGAAATTTTTCTAATGTACCAATTGTTGGTGTATATGTGTAAATATATATACATAGCTGTATGCCACAATTAAGAATGTGCGAAAGCTATTGTTTTAATTTTCCAAAAGTTAGCACTTTTAATTTAAATGCTTTACTTGTATTTCTATTATTGAGTTCAGTTATTTTTAGTAGGTATTTTATTTTATTTTATTTTTTTTTTTTTTTTTGAGGTGGAGTTTCACTCTTGTTGCCCAGGCTGGAGTGCAATGGCATGATCTCAGCTTACCACAACTTCCGCCTCCCAGGTTCAGGTGATTCTCCTGCCTCAGCCTCCTGAGTAGCTGGGATTACAGGCATGCGCCACCACGCCTGGCTAATTTTGTATTTTTAGTAGAGACAGGGTTTCTCCATGTTGATTAGGCTGGTCTCGAACTCCCAACCTCAGGTGATCTGCCCGCCTTGTCCTCCCAAAGTGCTGGGATCACAGGCGTGAGCCACCTTGCCCGGCCAGGTCTTTTATTTTAATAACGTTTGTTGCTACTTTTTGAAGATTGACTAATATGTTTAATTTCTCAATTACATGTGCATCTCAAACTCATTTCCCACTTTTGATTCCTAGTTTAGTAATATTGTAAGTATTATAATGAAGACATAGTTGCACCTAAGATTTTTAAAATTATTTACCTTATATAAAGAAGTACAGATGAGGCATTCTTCATTTATCTGTTCATTATAGTTCCAGTTTAAGGCTGACTTTCTAATTAGCTTTAGGCAGCTTTATTAAGATGAAATCACATTCCACATAATTCACCCATTTAAAGTGTACAATCTGATGACTTTTGGTGTATTCACAAAGTTGTACAACCATTGCCACAATCAATTTTTTGAAATTTTTATTACTCCAAAAGGAAAACTTTTCTCCCTTACCCCCTTAGCTGTCACCTCTCTCTCTCTCCCTCTTTCTCTCCTAGTCCTCAGCCACTACTAATCCGCTTTGTCTCTATAGATTTGCCTACTGGGACATTTCATGTGAGTAGAATCATAGGATATGTGGTCTCTTGTGATTGGCTTTTCTTACTTAGCATAATGTTTTCAACGTTCTTCTATGTAGTAGTATGTACTTGTACTTCATTTGTTTTAATGGCCAAATATTTCATTCTGTGTATAAAGTATATTTTATTTATCCATTTATCAGACGATGGATGGGCATTTGGATTGTTTCTACTTCTTGGAGTATACTAAAGCTCTATTCACTAAGTACAATGTTCTAATTAGCTTTTGAGGCATAGACACTATGTATGTGTAGATATAAAAAGGCACTTGTTTGTCTATAAAAAGGCACTTGTTTGTCTAAGTCCATGTATGTAGCTACATTATTCTGAGATAATATTTTGACCTGGGTTCCATGTGTCTAAAGCCTGTGTTTTAACTTGAATGGACAACTGGGAATTCGGAGTTTTTTGACCACTTTAAATATAGTGTCTTGCCTTTGGATGAATAGAGTCATTAGGAGGAAAAATTTGCATATGATGTCAGGTGAATCCCCAAACCAAGGTTAAAGAAGGAAAACACCTTTGGTTACATATAGATTTTCCACATATGGGTCATTAATGCACAGTTGTCTGATTTGAGCTGAGAAATGTGGGCTTTGAAGGGCTATTTAGTAGAAAATGGGTGTAGCAGTCCCTTTCAAAATCTAACTTATGTCGGTGTCTCCTTGAATAGATTTCCCCTTTGCCCTCTCCTAGTTATCCTCACCCTGTGATTTCCAGTAATACCACTCCCTACTCTTAACCCTGCCAAGATTTAAAATACTCCTGCTGTGTAGCATCAGACCTCAAGAACATGAAATAGGTACTTTTTATTGCAGGCTTCTGTCATTTGTTTTTGGCTTAAATCAACTTGAAACCTCCCTTTGTGTGGCCTTTTCTATATGGCCTTATAAAAAAGTGTGTACAGTAGATAGCCACAAAATAGTACCTTCTCATTTGTGCCAAGCTTTAATAAGCAAATGAAAAAATATCTAATATTTTATTAATTGTAAGTATGATTTTCCCCTTTCATAGAAGTCCATGCATTGCTGCTAGCCAAAATAAAATATTACTGTTCTAACTTTAGTATTTTATTACATTGCATTTCATGTAATTCCTTAGTCAGTTTAAGGCCAATGCCATAAGAAGAAAATTGTGCAAGTTAAGCTAATATTGAGATTCTGAGTTCTGAATTTGTTTTTACATTTGTTTTGATAAAAGTGTGTTTGGGGGCAGGAAGCTAAAAGGACATTCACTTTTTCTAACCACGTCCTCCCACCCCACCACCAGGAAGTGCACTAGACGGTCCTGTTCTTACTAAAGGGATTAAAGTAGAAAAGATGAACATGGAAGGAAATAACTCGTAGGTTTGCCTGCAGTTCAAGTTACTAGAAACAATAATTACTGCGTGCCATACCCATTAAGAAATCTTAGTTGGTGACCCATTCACTATAATGTCTGAGGGCAGAGAATTTAGTCTGTTTCTTTTGCTGATGGAACCCCAATATCTGACACAATTTATGGCACGTAGTAGGTGCTCAGTAGACATGTGTTGAATTGATGTGTTTATTTATTTTATTTTATTTATTTATTTATTTTGAGATGGAGTCTCGCTCTGTCGCCCAGGCTGGAGTGCAGTGGCACAATCTCGGCTCACTGCAAGCTCCGCCTCCCGGGTTCACGCCATTCTCCTGCCTCAGCCTCCCGAGTTGGGACTACAGGTGCCCGCCACCACGCCCAGCTAATTTTTTGTATTTTTAGTAGAGATGGGGTTTCACCGTGTTAGGCAGGATGGTCTCCTGACCTCGTGATCCGCCCGCCTCGGCCTCCCAAAGTGCTGGGATTACAGGCGTGAGCCACCGCGCCTAGCCGAACTGATGTATTTATTGAATGGATTCCTGTATGATAAACTCCTTAACCAAGCATTCTAGGCTTTTGATCTCTGGCTTCACTTTATGTCTCTCATCTAAGCCCCATTGATATAATACAAGAATTTGCTTTAGTAAAAAAATTCCATATGTTGCTGCAGCCATTTTCTATGGCGGTCCTTTGAGCAGGGAGCTTGTGAACAGGACATGGATCTTGTAAAAGTGAGGAAGAGGCAGAACTGGCGCAGGACTGTGGAAGGGTGGGGTAAGACTTAGGTAACCAGACAGGGAAGAAGAGAGAACTCTGGAAAAGCAGATAGCCTGATAAACCTTTCCTTTCCTCTAAAACTGTATTCTGACTTAACTAAGCCCACAGGTCCTTCAGCTCATACAAAAAGAAACAAGTTTCATATCTTCATACCAATTGCCCACATACATTTGATTTACAAAGCAATTAAACGTATTTGATTTTGATGAATTATATCTGGGTCTTACTGCTACATTTTTCTAACCTGCCTAGGCTTTTTAAGTGGCTTAATAAGCTTTATTCCCTTGTTCTTAGGGGTGAAAAACAAAAAACAGATAATTCTGACCTTAACAGCCTAATATCTGAAATATTAAAATAGTCTAGGCCATATCTTTCCTTTCACTAAAATACTCCACCAGTGTTTAACCTGTAAGTGAAAATATTCTCCATGTAGTCTCAGTTATTTCACTATGTATTGGTTTTTAATATTTCATCTCTGTCTCACAGTGATCACTTAGTAGTAACTAACTTCGGAAATTAATATATTTTTAATTGCCAAAAAATTGTGTAAAGAGAAAAATAACAGAAAGAGAACCTGGGGTGACTTTGGCTTTTAACTGGAGCTCCTGGCACAGCCCACGCCTGAGGCAACCTTGGTGGTCTAGCAATATCGTATGCGAGTCTTCCGGTTGAACAGTGAAGGACATTTGTGGATCTGTCCATGACCTCTCTCCTTTATGCACTGCCAGTCTCCGGTGTCATCATTAATTAGCCTTCAGGTCTCCCATTTGTCTGCTAGAAAGCATCTCGGATAAGCCAAGTCAATAAATTGGAGCAGGCAAGCTGCCTGGCCTCCGGGGCGCGTGGCTCTGTGGGGACCGTCGGAGGGCAGCCCTCTCCTTTGATCATGTGGGGAAGTTTAATTCTTACAGGCCACGTGGGAATCCCAGCCCGTGGGGCTGCAGAGAGGGCCTTGGAGCACAGCAGTGGAGCTGCTCTCGTTTGTACTGGTTTCAGTTTCTAATTTCAAAACCGCGAAGCTCAGAGGCCTAGGGGAATTGTTTCCCATTTTGCTTCGTCTTTCCCCAAGACTTCGCCTGCATTCTTCAGTGAATTCTCACAATGGGTGGTGGAACTTCAGCACGGGAATGAAAATCATTATCCCTATGTTCTAAACAGGAGATTTGCACCGTGGCATATTTCCGTAAATACAGTGCCCAGCATCTGTAGCAAATAATCCCCAGCCATGACTCTCTTGCTGTTCTGACCTTGACATGTTTCCCAACCAATTTTAGTCAAACATAAAAATAACAAATAATATTTATGAGCCTGCTTGTGAGTGCCAGGCATTCTGCAAATCACTATGTATGTATTATCTTAAATATCATATCATGCCTGTGTTGCGGGAGGTCCCCATTTTGCAGATGAGAAAAACAAGCCACAGCCCACCTGAGTCCTAGTGGGTCTCAATCCAAGCACAAGCTCTTTACCACCCCCATGATATGGCCTCATAAAATTGGAGCAATTTGATGGGCACCGCATGGGCTCTGTCACCACATCTAGCACAAAGGGAGAGCTGCAGCGATCAACCCTGTGAATTCAGGCAAAAGAGAAAGTATTGCTTTTGTAATTGGGGAAACAAGCTCTGCCTTCAGCTTTGCTTTCACCAGGGAGAAGTAACCTTGAAGGAGTTATTGTCAGGCGTTCGATTATATCCTATTAGTAAATTGCAGGCATGTTTTATACTACGTTCATGAAAAACAATTCTATATAAATGAAATTGTTGGAATTTGAATATAGTAGAGGGTTAATTAAATAATTTAAGGAACTCCTCCCAATTTATATTGTGGGAAATCCTAGCTTTTCTTTAACTGTATTCTCAGAATCATAGCTGGAAATAATCAGGAAAGTTTATGTGGCCACAAATGTTCATTGAGAAATGCTGATTCCTTAAAACAGATGTCTTTCCTGCTTCCCTGCCTACCTTGAGAACTACCCAATCAGGATAATCATCTTTGTTACCTTTGTTACCTTGCTTATGACTCATGGGATGAGGTGGTGGACATTTCTGGGGGTCTTTAAAATACACTCAAACCTTAGATCATCTTGGGACACCTCACCATGTTTGAGGAGTACAGAGACACAGAGACGGTGACCCCTTGGTGCAGGGGAAGGGCAAGCAAGTCACATTGCATCTCTGGAAAGCCCACTTGGAGTCTGGGTCAACATTGCTAATATGTATGTATATATATTTTTTAGACAGGAGACAGGGTCTCACCCTGTGAGACTAGGCTGGAGTGCAGAGGTGTGGTCATGGCTTATTGCAGTGTCGACCTCCCTGGGTTCAGGTGATCCTCTCACCTCTGCCTTCTGAATACCTGGGACCACAGGTGCACACCCCCATGCCCAGCCAGTATTTGTATTTTTTGTAGAAACAGGGTTTCACCACTTTGGCCAAGCTTGTCTCAAATTCCTGGGCTCAAGTGATCCACCTGCCTTGGCCTCCCAAAGTGCTGGTATTAGAGGCACGAGCCACTGTGCCAAGCCAACATTGCTAATTTTATTTAAACTTTCCTACACGTGAGAATCTAGTTAAGATGAAGAAACCTTTTTTCTTCATCTACTTTTCCCTTTCTTCCTTTCTTTCTTTCCTTTCCCCTTCCTTCCTTCTTTCCTTCCTCCCTCCCTTCCTACCTCTTCCTCTCTCCTTTCTTTCCTTCCTTCCTTCCTTCCTCCCTTTTCTTTTTTCCTTTTCCTTCCTTCCTTCCTCTTTTTCTTTCTCTCTTTGTCTCTCTCTTCCTTCTTTCCTCCCTCCCTCCTGCCTTGCCTTGCCTTTGCCTTTGCCTTTCTTTCCTCCTTTCATTCTTTCATTCTTTCTTTCCTTTCTTGTCTGTCTGTCTCACTCTATCACCCAGGCCAGAGTACAATGGTATGACACTGCAGCCTCGAACTCCTGGGCAGAAAAAACCCTCCCAGATCAGCCTCCCATGTAGCTGGGTCTACAGGCATGCACCATCATGCCTGGATAACTTAAAAAATTTTTTTTGAGAGACAAGGTCTCACTGTGTTGCCAGACTGGTCTTGAACTCCTGGCCTCAAGTGATCCTCCCACCAAGGCCTCTCAAAGCACTGGGATTACAGGTGCGAACCACGACATTCAGCCAAGATAAGGAAATCTGATGCTTTCGCCAGATACATGGAGCTCTCTAGAGAAGTTTGGGGAGAAGTAAATGAATCCTGCATGATGACTTCTCAGGGATTAATGTATGGACTTTTACATAAATATTAAAGGTAAAACATAAACACTGTGCAGACGGTGATAGATATGTTTGAAAGATGCAAAAACATTGGATTGAAAAATGCTTTGTGGCAATGTTGGCATCTCAGAGAAGCTTTTTAGGATGAACAGGACTTTGTCAGATATTGTTGAAAGAATGTATGGCATGAGAGCAGAGCAGAGAACCACATGAATGAAGACATGGAACTGGGAATGCCGAATAATGTAACTGGAAAACATTGAACAGCTTTGGTTTGGTTAGTCAAATACATGTGGGAAATAGAGCTGAAATATGCCATAATGGAAAAGGCCTTAAATAATCCAAGTCCCCGAAGTTTGAATTTAGTTGAATTTGTGATGAGAACCCATTAATAGTTTTATCTTCTTTTGTACCTTTCCCCCTTTGTTTTCAGGGGACAAGATTGCCTTACAATTTATAGAGACTAGAGAAAACTTAAGCATCAAATTTAACTCTTGATCTCCTCTGTCTCTTAAAAAAACATAATCCAACAAGATACTTCCCCACTATTCTCTATCTCAGCAAATGGCACTTCCAGCAACCCATTGCCCACTCCTTTACCCTTCCATCTGCTTCAACCCTACCTTGACTGAATCAGCAAGACCTATTTGTTACACCTGCAAAATATATCCCAGCTCTATCTACTCTCTCGCTCCTTGGACACTACTCTAGCGCAAAGTGTCCTATTTTGAGAAAAGAATGGTAGTGGGAAGGATATACTTACCATTTGGCCACAGATCCATCTATTTCAAAAGAGGTGAAGGGTAATCTCATAATAGCAGAGAAGCTATAAAGTAGTTATTGTAGAGAGGACAAAAAGGCTTACAAAGAAAGGAAAAAAATGTGGAAAAAATGAATGTTTTAAATGATTATTTGACTGGATTTATAGAATTTGTTCTAGTTGTTTCAAGGTAAGATTTGTATTTTTTCAATAAGATAAGTCATTTAAAAAATTAGTCTTTGCCTCCCAACGGACAGGATTTCCTAGATAGCCTTGGAATGGTTGTCAGAATAGCTAATAGCAGATATTCTAGATAGCTCTATAAAAACTCTTTAAGAAACAATGTCAATAGATAGAGCTTGAATTTCGGTACCCCTGTCCTGTGACCTAGCATCCCTGTATCATGAGAAATCCCTAGATACCTCTGAAAATGTAGGTGATTCTGACCTTGACTCAGAAAATGACAAAGGGTTCCCTCAAATTGTACTTTCATTTTCAGCACCGTTTTGTAGTCCCCAGGGTTGTCTAGGATTTCTGCAATCTAGTTGGCAATATTGCAAATGAAAAGTGTCAGATAACTAATTTCAGAGAACATTTAAGTGGTGTCTTTTGCATTTTCTCTATTTCTGAACTGACATGTTTATTGCTTTGCCTGCAGTATACGTTCTGAGATGCTAGTTTTAAATATGCCAAATTATTGGATAGGAATTTCCCAATGTAAATAAAGATCTCCTTCCCAACCTCCTTCTTCCAAAATACCTTACCTGTGTGTTTATAAATTGCTCCAAGATCTGTAGTATATGTTTCTCTATTTTGTGAACCCCAGGTGGCATGATATCTTTATGGTGAAATCCAGTGCTTTATTAATAGGCTTTTGGACAAGAACATATCTAATTTCCAGCCATGGTCAACAGATGAAAGTGATCTTGACTCAGCTCTAGCTTTGTAGAAACGAAGCCTTTCTTTTCCCAGTGCATGCTGTAACTGGCACAAACACATAGGAACCTTGGGGAGATGCCTCTTGGCTGGGTTAACTGCCTTTTGTGATGGTGAACTATGATTTACTGTGGCTTCCCTGTAGACAAATCGTAACTATCCAATAAGGTAGGTCATTTTTAAAAAGTCAAGTCACCTCAGACCTGATTATCAAAAAGTACTCTATTACAAATTTTAGATAGTCTATCTGAAGTAAATTATGTAAAATTATTTCCCTTGTGTTAGTAGAGGATTAAAAGGAAGGGTAGGTGAACGGGAAGCATGAAGAACTGACAGGGTCCTCCCCGACCTGGTCTTAGTTCTCATGTTGGGATGCGTGTGTCACCCTGGCCAATCACTAGGTTGGTAGTTCTAGACAACTTGGGTGCCTGAGAATTTCTGCAATATATTTTTCAAGCTCTACTTTTGGAGTGTGAATCTGAGGAGGGCTGAGGCCCTTAATTTCGTGAGACTAATCCTCAAGTAGTTTTTGCCTCTCTTTATCTTTGGGAGAACACAAGCAGAATACTTTACCTATCCCAGGTCAGAGACTTTTCTGGATCTCTAGAAGAAAAATGGAAGGATTGTACATTGCCCTGTTCCTCAAGAGTGGTGTAGAATGAACTAATTATTTTTGTTGGTTTGTTTATTATTTCTGGGTTTTGTTCCCCCTGCCCCCCAATCCTGGAATTTGGACCAACAGTGGTTGACAAGGAGTGTGCACAATTGATAGCCAAGTGCATAGCACAGTACCTGGCCCATAGCAGGAGCTCAGCAAATCTGTGTTCCTAAGTCTAATTCTAAATTTCTCTTCACAGCAAGTGAGAAACAGATGGTGGTGGTGTGCAAGGAGTCCCCAAAGGAGTATCTCCAGCCTTTCAAGGACAAACTAGAGGAGTTCTTCCAAAAAGGTAGGAAGCTTTGTCAGCCGCACATACACGTGGCCCTGAAACATCCTTCATTCCATGAATCTTTCTCTGAGGCCCACGGCCCCTGGCATCCTGGCTGACCACAGGCAGCTCTGGTGATTTCATTAGCCCATCTTTCCATGGTGGTTACATACTCACGGTAGATAAAGTTGTCCTGTAGCTTTCATATCACCTTTCAAATCCAGTTTAATATTTTAAATTCTTGAATGTTACTCTGGCTTTTGTAAATTCTCTGAGGACAAACTTTTTTGTCTCTTCATGGGGCTCAAGGAATTCCTTAGCCCGTGTTTACTGACAAATGACATACATGTAAGGCAGATGTGGTCATGCATTTCACATTTGTGGTCAACCTGGACAGGTGGATGGTGATCACCCTCCTGGTTTTATGAGTGTAGCAACTTGGAAACTTGTGTTATATTTTCCATTCCTTTTCAGATAGGAAAATTAGGGCCAAGTGAATGTCACCCATCAATCACTTGCTACCTATCAGCCCTCTGGGGGTTAGTCAGTGAAAGTGATGTGCTGGTATGCATGAGACTCCACACTTTCTTTGAAATCTTAACAGATTTCCTTCCTTCACAGTTTTGGCATGAGTAGGGAACTTCTGTTTATCAGGGTTAGTGAACATGGAAGTATCATGTCTTTTAGATAATTCCTATTCTAATTTCTCAAATTTAACTTAAGATGTAAAACAAAAATAAGTGTGGGGTTGTTGCAGGCAGCTTTTTTCCCTGCTGGAAAGCTAGAGGAAACACACATAGGAGCCTTTGGGGGATATCTCAACATGCTTTTTCTATTACTGAGTAAGGCCACTTGTTACCACACCATCAACAAAAGACTGTTAAGCAGGGTGAATGCATAAAGTGTGGCCAAACCAGCTTGAGAATCAGCAGGGAAATTCTCAGTCTATGAGTCAGAGGAACTCCATTCCAGCTGCTGTTCCCTTGGTGCAGAGACCATTGCTCCCTTCTCCATGATGAAAGGTTGTCTGTATTGAAGTAGGAGAAGTCAGATTTCTCTCTCAGCCATTACAGAACCTCATATATGATGGAAGAAATGCTGTCAGACAAAGTACCATCTTGAGAGCAAAGATACCAATACTTGTGTGCTATGTGACTATAGGAGATGGATTTTATAAGTGACTTATCAAAAAATGCATTGCTGTATAATTATACTGTGTAAATATAACCTAAGTAGCCTGAAGAAAACCATGAACTACTTCCCTTTGCTGACCCCAGTTAATAGTATCTGCTTTTTACATATGCAGAATTAACTTGAAATGAGGCTCATTTGTACTTGGATTCCATCTTTATTTTTAATTGCTATTCTATTTCTAGAAAATTTTGCCATGTGCATGTCAGGGTACTATTTACCTGCATGCTGTAATGCTCTTAGAATCCTGCGTCTGCAAAGCAGCCAGCTTATATTGTGAATTTTATTCTTTTTGTTGAAAAGACATAAATATGAATAGATTTAAAACCTTGAGAATCTTCTTTGGTACCTTGGAAAAGCAATTTGCAAATCCCCATTTGGGATAATGTGTTAGCCTCTTCTCTACTAGGGCTCCCAAGACAATTCTGGTCTATTCAGAGAAAGGGAATTTATATGAGGGAAACTGGATCTTATGACAGGGAAGTAAAGGTATGGCCATAGGAAGCTGTTCTAAGAAAGTCCTAAAACAGTGGTTCTCAACTCTCTTGCATACTAGAATCACTTAGGAGATTTTTTAAAATCTTGATACCCGGGCCCAACTCTAGACCCATCATCAGCATCTCTCAGGGTGGGGCCAGGCATCAGATTTTCTTTCTTTTTTCTTTTTTTTTTTTTTTTTTTTTTTTTACTCTCCACGTAATTCCAGTGTGGAACCCAGATAGCCAGTACTCTCTAGCTTAGTTCACCTTTTAATGTGTATTCAAAGATTTATTCTGAGCCTGCTATAGGTTAGGCTCTATGTTAGAGACCAAGAGTACTAAGATTAATTGTATACTCCTACACTCTGTCCCAAGGAATATCTTAATGGGAAAAGATCTATAATTGAATACAACGAGCTCTTTTTTTTGTTTGTTTTTTGTTTTTTTTTTTGAGGTGGAGTTTTACCCTCATTGCCCAGGCTGGAGTGCAGTGGTGCGATCTCGGCTCACTGCAACCTCCACCTCCCGGGTTCAAGCAATTCTTCTGCCTCAGCCTCCCAGGTAGCTGGGATTACAGGCGCCCACCACCACACCCGGCCAATTTTTTGTATTTTTAGTAGACATGGGGTTTCACTATGTTGGCCAGGCTGGTCTCGAACTCCTGACCTCAGGCGATCCACCCGCCTCGGCCTCCCAAAGTGCTGGGATTACAGGCGTGAGCCACTGTGCCCGGCCAATCAGCTCCTGACTTACAGATGAGGTAAAAGTGACAATCAGCTCATCAGCTCCTACTTTACAGATGAGGTAAAAGTAACATTAGGAATAACATCAAATCATGCTTAAGACAAAACCAGCCAAAATATGACACAGATTGAATTTGAAGGAAACATTACCATTCTATTAAAAAAGTTAAGAATATAAAAATATATATACTATTGTAGGAATCTTAAACATTCCCAATACCGTATGGTAGAAAAGTCTACTGTTGAAATAGCTTGTTACAATTATTTCATTACTTAACTCATTTTGTCAAAACAGTCTAGAATTGTGCTGTTCGATGTGGCAAGCACTAGCCACATGTGGCTTTTGAGAAGCTGAAATGTGGCTAATCCAAACTGAGATGTCTTATGAGGGTAAAACACGGGGTTTTGAAAACTCAGCAGAAAAAACATGTCAAATATTTTATTGCTGATTTTTTTTACTGATTGCATGGTAAAGTGATAACATTTTAGATATGTTAAATAAATAAAACGATTAATATTCATTTATAGGTAAGTTAATAAATATGTTAATAACCTGACAAAATATATTAGCTAAATTATATTTCTTCTACTTCTTGAGTGTGGCTACTAGAAAATCTAAATTGTATTAGTGGTTCACATTCTATTTCTATCAGAAAGTGCTAGTCTAGAGGCATGTTCCGTAGGCTTTCCTCAGCTCATTCCTACACTCTCTTCTCATTGTCGCCCTGCCTTCTCAGCTTGAATCCTAAGTTACTGGAATGCAGAGTTTCACAAGCTAGCCCCCTGCCCACTCTGGGCCTGGCCCTTGTTTGGCTCTCAAGTGGGGCTACGTAACCAAAGGAGGTGACAGCATGCTACTTGGTCAGGCTGTTACCTCTACATTTCTGAAATGTATGGTTTAGGGTTTGTGGTTAAGAAATACATTATAGTTCACAGCAGTATGCTATGATGTAGGGGCTGGGTTTTTGCCAAATTGCAGTATATACAAATGGAGTATCTCCTCTCTACTGTGTAGAGTTCCAAATAGTACTTCATTTATTGCGTAGATATTTCACTGATTCGTAGAAAATGTAGGATTTTCCATTTGCCACAGATAGGCACTATTCACCATAGATAATCAAATTTCTATGACAATTGTCATACAGTTTATAGTATTTCATCTAATACGCTATTTATTGTAAGAAATACCATTATTACATGTACTACAAAAAAAGAAAAATTACTGCCATAAGCCACAACATGTAGACTCTTAAGATGTACCCCAATATCAGAGGCTCTAAAACGTGAAAATTCTATCAATTTTGGAGTTGGTGTAATGTGGTACTATAATTAGGCATATAGAATCAGAGAGGAAGAATGCCCAACACTTTTAGGTAAGACTTTCAGCAAAGAAGATATTTTTGTTTAGAGTTGAAAAAACAAAATAATAATGATGGCAATGATAATGTTAATATTTACTGAGTGCTTCTATCTGCTAAATACCATGGGGAACAAATCACCTTTTTACTTAGTCACCATGACAGTCCTTTGAAGTGAGTACTGTTACCGCCCTGCTATACAGATGAGGAAATTGAGGATTAGAAATTCTCAGCAGACAGGCTACAAAGGGCATTCCAGGCAGAGGAAAACACTGCAAGTCTCAGAAGGATGAAAGACATGATGTGTTTGGGAAATGGCAAGCAACTTGGTGTGGCTAGATCACAAGGCAAATGAGAAGAACACAAGACCAAAACGGTGATAAGAGTCACAATATGACTTGCTAAAGAATCTGAACTTTGTCTGACAGGCCGCAGATAATATTGAAAAATAATGTGTACAGGAGTGACATGATCATGTTGGATTTGTTTGCATTGTTTTGGTTTGTGCAATTATTTTGCAGGGGGTATATCTCTTTGCTTTTTGTTGTGGCTGAGAAATATGTTAGTTATAACTAACAGTAATATAAAAAAATATTGGACAAGTAACAGACTAATTAAGAACTTGAGCAAAAGCAATGGCAAAGCCGAGGTAGGAGGATCACTTGAGGCCAGGAGTTTGAAACCAGCCTGGGCAACAAAGTGAGACCCCATCTCTCCAAAAATTAGTTGAAAGTGGTGGCGCCTGTAGTCTCAGCTACTTGGGAGGCTGAGGTGGGAGGATTGCTTGAGCCCAAGAGTTCAAGGCTACAGTGAACTATCATTCTCCGTACTCCAGCCTTAGCAACAGAGCAAGACGCTGTCTCAAAAACAAACAAACAAAGCAATGGCAGTAAAAATAAGAAGGAAAAGACATAATTGTAAACAGTAAAGGGCTGTTTTAGGCATTACAGGACAGGTTAATAAATTGGATGTACAAAATGAAACAGAGGAGAATAGGGTAACTCCTTTTTCTTGCTTGGATAACTGGTTGGATACTGATAAGACTAGATTTGAGATGGAAGACAGTGAGGTCAACTTTAGACAGGTTAACTTTGTACATGTGAGACGCGCAGGTAGAGATGCTGGGCTCATGGGAGAGAGCTAGATGAGACAAAGGTTCAAGTCATAGGAATGAATGAGATAGCCCAAAGAAAAGAGTGTAGAATGAGGCGATACCTGAAGTATCAGAGTATCTGAGCACAGGATATCATATAACAAATGTAACTGAGAAAAGATACTTCTGTACTTCTACAGCACAGCTTATACAGAGTGTTTTGCAAGAAAGCTAATTCTCTATTAGGAGTCTTATCACTTATAAAGTTTTAAGCAATTGTGTTCTGTATGCCTGAGAAGTCACGTGCGTTGTGACTCAGGATTATTTTTATATCAGCTGCAATTCAGCTCTAACAATCATGATGATTTAATTTTTCTTCTGTAAATCATATCCTGTTGCCACACTCAGATGGAGATGATGCGTTTATCCTTATGTCTTTTTCATTCTTCCCTTCTCAGAATGTCCTTATATAGTGTTATTTGACAAAACTGTGGTACTTTTTCTTAATTTCATTTTCTGAGAAGAATTGAATGTAATTTTAATGGCACCACTTGGCGGGGTTGCAAACTCCATGATATCCATGCCTTTTTTCTTACGTGTCTTTTTTCTTTTCCACACTAGGCTCTTGTTGAAGCTGGTTTATAGCTCAGTTCAGAATAACCTTGTGCAGGCATTTTGTGAGCTCCTGCTTTCCCACCCTCAGATCAAACATGGTCATAATGATATGGCCTTCAAAACTGTGATGCTCACATTAAAAGTTCCCATAAACATGGCAGGGATCCTATAATTAAAAGAAGGCACAGAGCAACTGATTAGATCCCAGGTATAGATCTTGTAGGTGGTCTTTTCATGCTGTTAAATTGGTCATTTGTATTTATAGCTTTGGCAGGGAGGGCTGGAACCTAAACTAGCTCTAATCCCAGCACTCTCCCACACTTGGCCTTATCTCATTCTCCGTTAATTTCGCTTGGCATCCATGAATGGAGCCAAATTCTGAATGATTCTGCATGAACCATTCTAGCCCTAGTCTATGAAACTATTTTCTAAGTTCCTTTGACCAGCTGAGATTAGAGATACTGTTTTTTTTGTTTTGTTTTGTTTTGTCTTGTTTTTTGAGACAGAGTCTTGCTCTGTCACCCAGGCTGTAGTGCAGTGGCGCGATCTTGGCTCACTGCAAGCTCTGCCTCCCGGGTTCACGCCATTCTCCTGCCTCAGCCTCCAAGTAGCTGGGACTACAGGCACCTGCCACCACGCCTGGCTAGATTAGAGATATTCTTAATATCAAAAATTGTTTTAGTTTACCTATGTAACAAACCTTCACATGTACCCCCAAACCTAAAATAAAAGTTAAAAAAAAGAACTATTTTCTAGTAAAAAATAGATAAATTTACCAGGTTTAAAATAAACAAAAGCAGTAATTCTGATTTTCAACATTGAATGCAAAAGGAATTATATAAATAGATGGGTATTCCATGACAGCTGGGACTGTGTCTGTTTTGTCCTGTTCACTCACTTGTCCCAACATCATATAGGCTCAGCCTGTCCCATGATAGGTGTTAATAAGTGTTTGTTGAATTTATGAACAAACAGCTTGAATTGTGTAATGTACCTAGAGGCTATTTTTTCCTCCTCCTTGGGTTTTCTGTTTAAATCCTTTCAGAATTGCTGAATCATCCCAGAATCTGAAGAGGTACATTTTTGGTCGATAATACATTTCTGTGGTCAGACCTCCTGGATATAGAATCATCTTTCTATGTTGGGCATATGCACGTAATCTATTCTTAGTAAATACTTTGGTCAGATTAGATTGACAAAGGCCATACTTAAATCTCTAAGTTGCAAAATAAGAGCAGGTTATTACATAATCTCTTCACTTCAACCCCCAGAAATAAAGAAACAAAACTATCTGAATCACCATATTCAACCACTAAGGTTACAGAGATCAGGAAAGGTCAGTAATCTGAACAATGTAACCTGTGAGGGAAATAATTCTGACGTCCTTTACAAAGCTTGTGGAAAGAAGAAGTATGGCTAGAGAACATGAACTCTGCCTGAGCCAAAATGGGTTCTTGTGTACTCCACTGCTACTCAAGAAAATACCGACAGGCGTGGTTCCAAAGATCATTAAATGGCCAAGAATTAAGATAATCTCTTGTGACTTCCGGATCACTTAAGTAACAGAACAGTAATCCTTGGAAGATGAAGAAAGCTATTTGGCTAGGCGCAGTGGCTTAAGCCTGTAATCCCTGCACTTTGGGAGGCCAAGGCAGGCGGATCACCTGAGGTCAGGAGTTTGAGACCAGCCTGGCCAACATGGCGAAACCCCATCTCTACTAAAAATACAAAAATTAGCCGGACATGGTGGTGTGCGCCTGTAATCCCAGCTGCTCTGGAGGCTGAGACAGGAGAATCGCTTGAACCCAGGAAGCAAAGGTTGCAGTGAGCTGAGATCATACCACTGCACTGCAGCCTGGGCCACAGTGAGACTCCTCCAAAAAAAAAATAAAGAAAAGAAAGCTATTTTATCACAGGTCTATTAGGTAGGCTTTTATCTAAAAGGGCTAGAGGGGATTTTTTTTCCCAGAAATTCCTGCAAAGAGCGTATGTTTTCCCCCGAAGTCGGTTTCTAATGACTATCCAGTAATGGAGTTGTGAAATTATGGTATTTCCATACATTGGAATACTAAGCATCTTTTTTAAAAAAAAAGTCTGTATGTATTGACCTGGAGGATCCCTAATGTATATGTTTAAGTGGATAAAAGCAAGGGTCAGAAGAGTAGTTATGTTATTATTAGGTATATTATTTTATCATTCAGATAAAAATGAAGCAAAAAATGAATACTACCTAACAGTGAGAACAAATAAGAATTAACCTAAGACTGGCCGGGCGCGGTGGCTCACGCCTATAATCACAGCACTTTGGGAGGCCGAGGCGGGCAGATCACGAGGTCAGGAGACCGAGACCATCCTGGCTAACACGATGAAACCCCGTGTCTACTAAAAATACAAAAAAAAAAAAAATTAGCTGAGCGTGGTGACAAGCGCCTGTAGTCCCAGCTACTCAACAGGCTGAGGCAGGAGAATGGCATGAACCCGGGAGGCAGAGCTTGCAGTGAGCCGAGATTGCGCCACTGCACTCCAGCATGGGTGACAGAGTGAGACTCTGTCTCTGAAAAAAAAAAAAAAAAAAAAAACAAAAGAGAACTAACCCAAGACTGATATTCAGCTGGTCCTCACCATAACACCCATACAGGTTGCCTGTTCTGCTAGTTAGTACCTATGTTATTGTTAAATATTTAGACTATTACTCCTAAAACTAATCAAACAGGTTCATTGCTGCAGCAGGTAGAAAATAGGCAGATGAGGTTCATAGGCGTATGCAGATTTGTTATAAATTTGGGTGTTTTAACCAGTGAGTACCTCTTAAAATAGTAAACAAATTTTTTTTGAAAAACAATTTTCTATAGTACTTCGCACTTCACATTTTTCCCTAAGATTCTGCTTCCTATTCATTGCTTCTCCATCATTATACCAACTGGGGTCCCTTAGCCACCTGAACCTAGAATTGGAAACCAAATGGTCTTACTCACAGTCTCATTACTTTCATTGGGTGCTGAACTGGACAACTTAAAAGGAAATCTGAAGGTCCCTTATCAAGCAAGATCTATGAGCTAGTACCTTGGTTTGTTTCCTATGGCTGCCTTCTTCAACATCGCTCTAGATGGCTCTATCTAATGGAAGCCTCCCAGTCAATGAGAAAATGCAAGGAAATGTTTAAAGGCATTGAGAGCTCAAGACAGTCTAATACACACACACGTGTGCACGCACACACACGTGCACACACATGAACCTGCTGGAACCCCTCCGTTCTTTCTCCTTGACTTGGATTGACTTCACTTATTTTGCTCATGCTTCCATCATCACTTCAGTTTCAGGCGTCACACTTTTGTGATGTTATTATTAGGTATGTAACATGAACCCTAATTTACATTATGGTCAAGAAGAGGCCTCTAATATGTAGGGTGTTTTACCTGTTCCTCATATTTTTTTTCTTATTGCCATAATCCTGTTCTTTATTTCATTTGGGCTCTTCATTACACAGGTGCTTCAATGTACACTTTTATGAATATGCCAAAATGAGAGAGTAAAGATCTTCTCTCAGATTACCCCGACACAGACCATCCTTTAAACCTAATCACAAACATAGAACCAAATCTCAGTCATTTATATCTTGAGATCATTGTCAGGATCTGACCTCTTCCGTGGGTATTTGCATTTTAGGCCTTAACTCTAATTTTTTTGTTTGTTTGTTTTTTTGAGATGGAGTCTCGCTTTGTCACCCAGGCTGGAGTGCAGTGGCGCGATCTCAGCTCACTGCACGCTCCGCCTCCCAGGTTCATGCCATTCTTCTGCCTTAGCCTCCCGAGTAGCTGGGACTACAGGTGCCCGCCACTACGCCTGGCTAAGTTTTTGTAATTTTTAGTAGAGACGGGGTTTCACTGCGTTAGCCAGGATGGTCTCGATCTCCTGACCTTGTGATCCGCCCACCTCGGCCTCCTAGAGTGCTGGGATTACAGGCATGAGCCACCACGCCCGGCCTTAACTCTTAGTTTTTTAAAGAGTTTGTCTCCTGTTTTTCTGGAACTCCTGACCTCAAGTGATCCACCCACCCCAGCCTCCCAAAGTGCTGGGATTACAGGCACGAGCCACCACGCCCAGCCTTGTCTTCTGTTTTTAAACACTGTCTCAGAACTACATGCTAGTGGAAGAGAGATGGTAGTGGTTGGGTTTGGAGGTAAGATATTATTTGTCAGATAAGTATCATTAACTCTTACAGGGTCTTTCCTAGAGCAGCAGCAGATATTTACACACACACACACACATACACACACACACACCCCTACATCTTTTCAACGTTATGGAACCAGTTTATTTGCTTGCTTTGGTAGAACAGGGGACTATACCTTAAACTGATTTTTACAACTTTGAGTAGGCCCTCAACCATGTAAGAATTGAAGTATTACTAAGGACAACCTCATGATGGTGTTATTGGGTAATCTCCTCATTTCCCTTTCATCATGGCAGAATCCAAGATAGTTTGATGAGACTCTGGAGCTGCAATTGCATTAACCTCTTTCTGATGATTGGAAATGTCCCCAGGTAGAAGTAGAGGATGGAGCCAAGTCAGTCAGGCTCTTTCTTTCTATGTATAGCCCCTTGTGAATTCACCCTTTTCACATTTCATTAGTTTGTTTTGGAAAAACTAGGAGGACATGAACTCATCCTTTTTTATGGTTGCATAGTATTCCATGGTATATATGTACCACATTTTCTTTATCCAGTCTATCATCAATGGGCATTTGGGTTGGTTCCAAGTCTTTGCTATCGTAAATAGTGCTGCAATAAACATACGTGTGCATGCATCTCTATAGCAGAATGATTTATAATCCTTTGGGTATATACCAGTAATGGGATTGCTGGGTCAAATGGCATTTATGGTTCTAGATCCTTGAGGAATCGCCACACTGTCTTCCACAATGGTTGAACTAATTTACATTCCCACCAACAGTGTAAAAGCATTCCTGTTTCTCTGCAGCCTCACCAGCATCTATTGTTTCTTGACTTTTTAATCGCCATTCTGACTGGTGGGAGATGGTATCTCATTGTGGTTTTGATTTGCATTTCTCTAATGATCAGTGATGTTGAACTTTTTTTCATGTTTGTTGGCCGCATAAATGTCTTGAGAAGTGTTTGTTCATCTCCTTTGCCCACTTTTTGATGGGGTTGTTTCTTGTAAATTTAAGTTCCTTATAGATTCTGGATACTAGGCCTTTGTCATATGGGTAGATTGCAAAAATTTTCTCCCATTCTGTAGGTTGCCTGTTCACTCTGATGCTAGTTTCTTTTGTTGTGCAGAAGCTGTTTAGTTTAATTAGATTAAGCAATACTTTTTTCTACATACATACAACTTTTATTATTTTAGTAAGAATACTTAGCATGAATTCTACCCTCTTTAACAAATTCTTAAGTGTGCAATACAGTCTTATTAACGATAGGCACAATAAAATGTTGTGTTTTTAAGTGATCTGAATGTAGTGAGAGAGCTTTGTGCTTGAAGTCAGAAGACCTAGGTTTGAACACTGGGTTCACCACTTAACCTTTCTATGTGATTTTGCAAAGGATTTTAAGTTCTTGGGGCCTTTTTTTTTTTCTTGTCTGTAAAATGGGAATAGTAATATCTAGTACACAGTGTCATTATGAAGATGAAATTAGATAACATACATGGGAAACCACCATATAAACTATAAAGCTTTAATAAATACAATGTGTTACATTTAAGGCATTCTTATTGTCCCACTTTGACCCTCTGTGAGAAACACCAATATACTGAAAATTTCCTTCCTGAATTGTTAGTTCTGGTGTGTGTGTTGGGGGGTGATTGGGGAGCATGCTATACTTGACTTCAACAGGTGCATAGCACTTCATTTAATTTTGCAGCAATCCTTTGAAACTGATTTTTTTCATTCCTAACTTTCCAGATAAGAAAACTGAGTCTGAGGGTCTTGGTAACTTACTCAGGGTCAGGGTGAGCTCAATCCCAGCGTTGTTACTGTGCCATCCTACTAACTTAGAGAACCACTTGGTTTCTTTTGAGTCCCAGGACCCTAGGGGTAAATAGAAATAAGCATATTTGTTTCATCATCTAAAGGAGAAAAGTATCAGAATAGTAGATTTGCCTTAACCTTGGGTAACAGCTTAACCTCAAAGATTCCTTTTCTGAGGTCTTAATAGAGGTCCTCTTTTACCTTTCCCAACAATAACAACAAAGTTTCCATTGTAATTAGTAAAGAATTGCAGTGACAAGTATTTAAGTATTTTATGGAATCAGTATTGAGCTCTGCATCTTGCATAATGGTTGTTCTCATGATAAATTGCCTCACGTAATTATTGGCCTAGCCACCACTTTCTCTTTGGATTCTTGACAACTATGGCAAGGTTTTCATCAGTGATTGATCAAAGATGCTATCACAAGACTTCTCTTTGATTTATACAGTTATTGTCTTCTTCATAATGAAAGAGCTTAACACCTGTATTGCCTTCTGGGAGTTATTGTGCATAATACATGTTATATAATACATAGTTTCGCAGACAATGTCCAATTCTGGAAAGATCTTTTCATTCCTTCAAATAATACGGGTATGTTTCTTCTGCTGAGTTCATTTGGCCTTAAATGAGTTGTGGCAGCTCTAGTAGGAACGCAGGACTAATGTATGTGGAGCAGTTAGCTCAGAACCTGGCACTATGTATATCAGCCGCTGCTGTTGTTACGTGATTTTGTCAAATCTTATCAGATGCTTCAGACAGTGGGTCTCAGAAAGTTAATCACAGAAATTTTACTTACCCAATGGTGCGAATAGCAGTGGTTCCAAGTTCAAGTGGCAAATAATTATTTACTACAGAGGACGGCCATAATTTTAGAAGGAAAGTTATGTGCATCTTTTTCATCTCTTCTAAAAATAAGCCAGAAGCAATGAATATAAGCTGGATTTCTGTTAAGACCAGACACTTTATTTTTGTTATATGTATAATTTGAAGATAGTCATGTGTATAATTAGAATAAAAGGTAAGTAGAATTAGCATAAGTTTAAAAGGTACCAGATATGCATGGAACTTTTATAAGGGATTATATTTTTCACAATTAAAATATTTTACATATTTTAAAGTATAATTATTTCTATAATTACATCTTGATGATATAAGGGATGTACATAATTCCATTTAAGAGGGCAGGTCTGATAGATCACACTTCATGGCTACCAAAATCAACAATATTACCACCTAGTGGCTGCTGAATTGAACTGCAAACACATGATCCTTGGGATCCACAAAGACCCTGTCTCAATAGCTAAAAATGATGGAAAAAGATAGTGAACGCCACTATAATTAACAACTTTAATGGGCCTTGATAACTGTTAATCACTGTAACACCCCAGCTCTGCTTTCAAACAGATTGGGAGAATAATGAGAATTTGCTTTTCCATTTATTGAGAAACTGAGCCTTGAAAAAGTCGTGAGCTGAGGCTAGAGAATGTGATTATTTAATTCCTTAATCCTTTTATTAATCTTCTGAATTGAGAAGTAGATCTACCTTTCCCTCCCAGTTTTTTTATTTAAATTTTGATTTATTTATAACATTTTTCAGTGAAAATTAAAAATGTGTATTTGAGTAGATCAGAACTGTTTTAAACAGAGATAAACTGGTCTTCTCGTTAAGGAAATATGCGATGTTAGTTAGTTCATGTGCTTTTATAAATTTAGCAAAACCTGAGTGCTCAACATTTAGAAGTGAAGTGCCAGTCCTGATAGCTCATCCTTACTCCATCTCAGAGTCAGGCATTGAGACCTTTGCTATTTACTACTTCCCCTTTCATCTTAGCATCCACCAACTTGTTGACATTCAAATTATTCATTGAAATAACCAAACCGTCTGCCCACTGAGCTCATTGCACCATCCCATTTCCTTGCTGAAATAAATAAAATGTGGCGTGAGTAATTGTAATATAGTAATTCTAGGGGAGCATAATATATTCAAGTAAGTAATGTAGAAAGCCACTAAAAAGTCTATTTGAAATTGCTCTTCTTCCCAGGAGGGCACTGTTCTCTCTTTAATATATTCTCTTTGGCTTCACGATTCTAGGATTAAGCCTAATTGCTAACATAATATATGTGCGTGATCGTTGCTTTCTTTAACTTAAGCTTCCTCTGGCATTGGTTTCTAGTTTGTAGTCATGACTGTGGCATTAATTGTAATTGGTCTGAGCTTCATGTGAAATAGGTTCCAGCGTGTTGACAGCAATTAATGGAGCTCCATAGTCCTGGGTAAGATTCAAGGGGTGGGTTTTGCATCTCTTTCAAATTGTTTTCTCATTGTTTCTGTTGTAGTCTCCTGGGAGACTATAATAAACAGGCTGGCTTTAGAATTGCACAAATCTGAGTTCAAATCTCTCCCCTACCTTTCTTTCTTTTTTTTTTTTTCTCTTTTTGAGACAGAGTTTCGCTCTTGTTGCCCAGGCTAGAGTGCAATGGTGTGATCTCGGCTCACCACAACCTCTGCTTCCTGAGTTCAAGCGATTCTCCTGGCTCAGCCTCCCAAGTAGCTGGGATTACAGGCATGTGCCACCATGCCCGGCTAATTTCTTGTATTTTTAGTAGAGACAGGGTTTCTCCATGTTGGCCAGGATGGCCCCGATCTCCCGACCTCAGGTGATCTGCCCGCCTTGGCCTCCCAAAGTGTTAGGATTACAGGTGTGAGCCACCATGCCTGGCCCTCTCCCCTACCTTTCTGAGCTTGGGAAGCTTACTTCCTCAAAAAAAAAAAAAAAAGCTGAGGTTCCCTCATCTCAAAGACAGAGGTAGTAATACCACCACCATAAGGTTATTGTGCCCATCAAACTTGCTAAAAAATGTCAGCCGTTTGACTATGGGTCTTTCTTTCATACTAGTACAGATAAACTTTTTCAAACTTTTACGTATTATTAGTTTAGGGCTTTCTGTGTTCTAGGCACTGTGCTGCATGTTATGAATACAATGATGAGCAAAAGGAACACAGTCTTTGCCTCTGGAACTTATATTTGCCAGTGGATATTTTATAATTATAGCCGATTGGTAATAGGAATCCACAGTGCATAACCAACCATCTCAAAACTTAGTAGGCTACAACAATGTATGCCTATCTCTCACAGTTTAATGAGTTGATTAGACTTAACTGGCTAGTTCTTGCTTCAGGTCTCCTGTGAAGTTGGAGTTAGATTATGGCTGGAATTGAAATCATCTGTAGGCTGCAGAGCCTCGGCTCGGGTGGATGGAGGGTGGGGCTTGGCTGGGCATCTCTGAGAGCCCGTGCAGTCACTCCACATGGCTTGCGCTTTCTCATAGCATGGTGGTCTCGCAGTAGTTAGCCTTCTTACATAGTTACTGGCTTTTTCCTGAGCAAATGTTCCAAGGAAAAGAAATTAGAAATTTCCTATCCTCTCAAACACTGGGAATGAAACATCACGTCACTGTTGTTCAGAGAAGTCACAGTCCAGTCCAGTTTTAAGGGAGTGAATAGACGCCACCGTTCAACTAGAGAACAGCACAAACATGCAGGGAAGGAAAGAGCTGATGATGGACATCTTGGAGACAAGCTACCACGGTGTCCTAATTGATCGTTCCTCAGATTTGTGTCTCTCGATATCTGGACTCTTAACTAGTGGGCTTTTTTACTTGACTTAGTCCATCAAGATTTATAAAACTGACCATTTGTGCTTGCCCTAGGAAAATGGATTGTATAATCTTTAAGTGTGAGATAAATAGCAAAATACATATCTGTTCTGGTTCTCGTAACTCCTTCAGGATGGATGGTATTTCCAGGAAACAGGATTTTCTCATTCTCCTGAATCACTCTCTGTGTTACTACACAGAAGGAAATATACAGCTTCATAAATACTAGCCTCACGAACCCAGTTCCACAAAGCGATTCACATGTTACATGCCTACTGAAACACACAAGAACCATCACATCAGCCAGAATATATTTCCTAGGACTTTAATATAAAGTCCCATTTGCTGCAGTTTTCTACTCCGCTTCTTCTGAGATGGAGTGATGGAATGTGTAGAAATAGTTAAAAGCCATTTCTAAATCAACATTGAAAATATTTTTTTCAATTAGTTTATCTACCAATGTTATGTTCCCAAAAATATAGATAAGAAACCAGAATCTGGAATTTATATTAAAGTTCATGAGTTTTGATTACATGTTCCAGGTGGATCAATCTGAAATACAAGCCTTACTTTAAAATAATGGAATGATTCCCTTGGATATATGAGACTTCTTCTCCAGGGACACACTACATATACTCTGAGATTAAAACACTGTGTGTTTTGTCTCTCTATATTTCTCAAACATATTAAATGGACAATATCCAAGAGGCATCTAAGAAGGAATAAGCTAGAAAAGTAGCCTGTATTGTTTCCCACGAACTGTGATGATCCAACCCAAGATCAATGAGCTGTCAGAAAAAGTGGGGGAGAAGTTCCAAGCAAAAATATCTAAAGTAATAGCCAAGGGGATAAAGAAAACCACTGGCTGGATAAACGGTGATAAATGCTGGTGGTTTGTTTGTTTTTAAATTTTGTTTCTGTCTGTAAGTCCCTCTTTCTGTGTAATACAAACTCTTGTACTGTGTGACACTCCTGTGTCTATCTTTCAAAGACTGGGGAGGGTGGAATGAGCAATTATCTGTTCTTCTTTAAACAACGATTCTCCCACTGTTTAGAATTTAAACAGTGTGTGCACATTTTCTTTTCGGTATTTCAGTTGTCCACAGTTACAGTCCACTCAATGTTCTGTACAAATGGGGCATGATGACCCACTGGCACAGCTTCCTCTCATGTTTGTACCATTTCCATACCCTCCCCTCCCTCCTGGACACCTGTGCTAATCATCCAAGGACTGCCTCCCACCCACACGACTGCCTGTCCTCATCTTTGCCTCCTTGGCACTGAACGAAATAGCCAAGCTTCTGAGATCCCTGGAACTTGCCTGTGTGTGGAATCCCACATGCTCTAAAATGCCTTTCACACAGCTACTCTGTTTTTGAAGCAAAGTGATTTTAGTCATTTGTACGCAGTTATGTGCAGAGATGAGAGGTTTTGGGCATGCTGTTAGGTCCTCGGTAGTATCTTGAATGTGCTGATACCGGGTGATTACAATCTTCTAGTAGTGAGAAGGGAAAAATAGAGCTGCGTGGAGCTAGATATTCAAATAATATCATATCATGGCTCCTCCTGGGAATATGATCATCCTTGAAGTGACTTAGTCCTCACTCCTCTCCAGAAAAAAAGCCATTTCTTCCTCCAGCTTTCTCTGCCCTCTCACCACCACAGCCCCTTTGGTCTGGTTAAATCTGAGCCACACAGATGCTCACTAAGGGCTAAAACAACAGTGGCAAGAGGAGGCCAAGTTAATGGGTGAGCAGCACCCTAGACTGGGAGTGCTGAGTTTCGCCCACAGACCTCAAGCTGCCCCCAGCCCATTCTGCTTTGGATTTCAGGGCTGCAGCTCTCCTCCCGGGGAGGATTCATCACTTCTTAGGTTTGTTCAACGCTAGTTTCTTATGTTGCCAATATGTGGCTCTGCAAATAAATGCTCACAGGGAAAAATCGGAAATTGGTCTTATTGACTTAGCGGTGTAGATCTCCCTCCCATCAAGTATACAGTTCTTCAGTGTACCTGTAGTTAGTTCTGGATAATTATAAGCAAATTAACAAGGATTTTTTACATTGTTGTTCCCCATTTCATGACTAAGTTGCTGCCATTAGCACCATACCTGTGAGCTAAGCAGTGGGGAGGTTGATTTTTTTTTTTTCAAGCCTAATCTTATTTTGAGGAGAAATCGGTTCTCAAGAGAATCTTCTCTCTCAATCCTACTTCCAGGACACTGATGGGTGCAAGCCATTATTGATTTCCACAGTCTGTCAAGAGTATAAATGAGAAGTCTGAGTCTCTTGTCTCAAGAAGCCAAGCTTCTGATGTAGGCAGATAAAAGAAACTATGTTTGGAGTAGCTTATCATCATTAACAACCATAAGCATTTCCTGGCTAATGGCTCTTCACATGTAAAGTGCCCTGCTGTGGAATCCGGGGGCTTCAGGTCCCTGGTGCTCAAGTTGTTTACAGTCCAGTCTACGAGACAAGCAGAACACTAAAATGGGAACTAGTGTAGCAAATGCCAAGCATCCAGTGAAGTCTGAAAGGGCTAGAAGTTCACCTGAACACAGTTGTCCTTGCTGCCAACGCCTGAAGGGTGGGTTGGTGCTGACGCTCCGTGGTTGAGACTTTTACGTGAATGGTTCAAAATGTCCTGTCCTCAGGGAGAGGGGTTCCAGTTCTGCTGGGAGTGGGTGGGCAGGGTGCAGAAAGCGGTAGACCCGAAGCTGCCTGTGAGAAGCCAGCCGCTGGAACCCATCTTTGCTTGGCTTGCTGGTCCTTGGCTTTGATCTGGGGGCACTTTCTCATGAGAGTTCTTCCTAGTCCTCCTCTGTCCCATGTGACAGGCTCCTCCCAGTTTGGTCCCGTTTCAAGGGAAATGAACTGTTTGTCCAGTCACCATCTCTGGGCTGTGTAAACAAGCAGATGGGCAATTAGTGGCTGTGTCAGGGCCTTGGACTGCTGCTGTGCTTGCACAAATGGAGACTCATCACTCATCTTTTGGACTATCGTCGTGCAAGCATGAGATAATGGGGACTGCTGGGCTCTCGAGATTTCTTCATGTTGTTTAGATTTCAGTCTTCGTGTCACAATCCTATTGTTCAAGCGTTCTGGCAACAGCCACTGTCATTCAGCTCATTTGGGAGAAAAAATAATAATTTGGATTCTGTTGCCTTGATTTTTTTCTCATTAAACCATTTTTTAATGAGCAGGAAGTAGGACCAAGGCATAGAGATCTGTAGGGTAATATCTTTCCTTAATTAGCCAAATGCTGACAACAGAGGTCACCCAGTTGCAGGAGATTTTTGCCCTCCCGCTTTAAGCGGGGCTTTAAGCGGGCATGTGTGTTGTACACACAGGCTGGAGGCCAGGAGAGGACAGAGCCTGCAGTCAGGTCACTCGTAACCCCACGGCTGCTGCTGTTTGTGTTTACTTGAGCATTCACTGCGCCTGCTATGTTTTCCTCTTGGATCCAGAATGCCAAGAGGGTCCCTTCAATCTGCCATTTATCTCCTCTTGAGATGCACAGAAATCGGGCACCAGTTGCTCAGTCTCCAGACTGTTCTCAGCATCAGACAATGGCCCTGTGTTTCCTTTGCTCTTTTTCCATACATTGGCCTCACCTCTCCGATTTTTTTTCTTTCTCCCCTTCCGCTTTTAATTTTTTCTCTCTTACCTCGGTTTGAGCGTCTGCCTTCTTTCATAGCTTTCTGTTTTCTCTCAGCATCTCCTCCACCCCCTTATGTTTTCAGTTTCTTGTGACTCGCTCTCCAGATTCCTTCATATTCAGGAATCACTGTCTTTGCCCAACATTGTTGTGAACGTGCCGGCCTTTTATTGTGGTTGTTCATCCCTTTCCCTCTTGCCTTCATTGCTCCCCGAGCCCTCCACCTCAGCCTCCTAAAACCTTTGAAGTTCTTCAGACTGGAAGTGTCTCTGGATCATGCTACATAAATGAGGCAATAGCACTTGGGATCCATTCAGCATGAGGACTGTGGAAATGATAGTCTTTCTCCCATTTTGCCCTAGGATGGGCATCTGTTGATGGGCAAGGAATTAACAGAGAGCACATCCCATTCTCTGTGACCAATCACTACTATTCTTTTTCAGTTGTTCATTCAGCATTTATAAGTTATCTACTATATGTGAGACTCTGAGGAAAAAAAGAAGAATCAGACACTATTCCAGTCTAAAAGACCCTATATATCTGACGCAAAATCTTACTCCACCTTTCAGGAGCATTAGATATAGCTGATCAAATGATGGATTGAAAACTCCTTCTTGCTTTAGGTCCTAACCCTCTTTTGTCTTCTCTCTACTTCATGGGCATTCCTCAATCTCCTAAGCTGGTTCTTCATCTTCCCAATCTCTAAACACAAGAGGGCTTCAGGACTCAGTCCATGAACCCCTTGCCTTATCACTGGGGTTGCTGAGGTGCATAGAACCTTGAGACTTTCTGATGGATCAAGCATATAATAAAGAGACTGAGGGAGACAAGAGAAGTCACTGTCGCCAGAGTTAGATTCACTGCCACCGCCACCCCCAGGAGCCGCCAGAACCCTTATGTCGCCACCACCACCCAGATCCCTGCACCATGACATCAGAGAAGACCTTCAGGCCACACCACACCTTTGAACAAAGAGTAGAAGTTTGACTTCTCCGAGAGCAGCATCCACCCAAAATCTTGGTAGTAACAGAACGATACAAGGCTGAGAAGCAGCTTCCCGTCCTGGATAAAGCAATGTTCCTTGTACTGGACCACATCAACCTGAGTGAGCTCATCAAGATCATTAGAAGGTCCTTCCAGCTCAGTGCTAATCAAGCCTTCCTCCTGGCGGTGAACAGACACAGCATTGTAGCAGAGTGAGAAGGATGAAGATGGATTCCTGTACATGGTCTGTGTCTCCCAGGAGACAATTGGAATGAAATTGTCAGTGTAAAACTGAAAAAAAAAAAATGCATCTATTTTAGAATTTTTAAACCTTTACCAAGGAAAAAATAAAGGAATGTTACCCACTGAGATCGATCAGTTCATCTAATCACAGATCGTCAAACAGTAGTGTTCCCACCTAGGAGTGTCAGGAAGTTGTGTTTGTATTTGAAGCAGAAAACTGGGCTCCAAGTGAGCACGTTCAGCTTTGGAAACTATGTTATTTAACATAGGCTAGCTTGTTTTCAGATTTTAAAAGTTTAAAAAGAAAATACTTTGCATTCTAAAAAAAAAGAGAGAGACTGAGGGAGATGTATGCTCAAGCAATGGGTGTATCCTCTTGTTCTTCACCAAACAAGGGGAAAGTTTTACATTCATTTACATTCATTTTACAAGTTTGTAAGACATATACAGCTTAGGGAGAAAAATATGAAGGCCTCGGTTCTGGGGAGAAAGCATGCGGGCATTTGTAGTACTGAGACTAAAAGTAAGGGGAGAAAGAGTTGCTGAGGTAAAGCTAAGTTAGAATATGAATTATTGCTACTATAAATGACACTAAATAGAACCTGTGAAAAAGGAGAAAATGTGAACTATACTATCCTCCTAAATAAAAGTAAATTATGATACCAAAAGCTTTTAAAAGTTTTGCCATTCCCAAACCGCCATGCAGTTGGCTTTGTGACTTTGGACATTCTCAGAGGGAAGGCATCACCTTTTAGAGTTTGTGAATTTGAATGAGTTTGGGTTTGTTTGGAAGCAGAGCTACATCAGAAATCTAGTCCCTTTCTTCCTAAAAGCACAAGGCTGCTAGTGAGCAGCCTTGTAATCCCAGCTGTGAGCAGTCGCTCACACCTGTAATCTCAGGACTTTGGGAGGCTAAAGTGGGAGGATCACCTGAGGCCAGGAGTTCAAGACGAGCCTGGGCAACATAGGGAGGCCACATCCTACAAAAAATTTTAAAAACTGGCTGGGCCATGATAGCATGCATCTGTAGTCCCAGGTACAGAGAGGCTGAGGTGGGAGGAACACTTGAGCCCAGAAGATTGAGGCTGCAGCGAGCCATGATCATGCCACTGCACTCCGGCCTGGGTAACAGAGTGAGAACCTGTCTCAAAAAAATAATAATAATAAAATAAAAACAGAAAAAGAAGAACAGTGTGAAAGATAATGCATGAAAAGCTCTTTCTTTCTTATTTTCATGACTTTACAAGCTTCACTTTCTGCCTTCCCATTTTGTACCACACAGACATTTACCACTGGGAATCTTCCTTGTCTGTGTCCCAAGGTTATCTGAACACCAAAGTTACACTTAAGAAGGAAAGGTTGTCAACTCAGGAGGATTGAAATAGAATTCCCTTGGAATCACCCCATAACATCTATTTGAAAACAAACCCTTCCAAACCATCACATCATGGAAATCACAGTCCATGGTGAGAAAACTGCCAAGTTTTTGAGGTTGCAACTTAGAACACACACCAAAAAAGTGTGTCTTCATCTCCAAGCATCTTTGGTTTGGAAATTGGGATAATAGGGCATCTGATCAGGCTTCCTCAAAGAATATCCAGTATTTTCCCGGCTTCCGGCAGCAGAAACCTGGTTGGTGGTCTAAGCCAGGAAGAAAAAGATATTTCACTTTGGAAGAGGAAAATAATTCTAAGTTTATTTTTTTAGAGCCACGATTTAGAAAAAATAATAAAATAAGAGATGCCTCTTATTTAAAATCAGTTTTCATTGTATCTGAATAGTCTGCTTTCCCTTGTTCATGAGTATCTGTGATTACGTGGTCAGGCCTGACACGTATCCCAGCTAGGCTGGGTGACATCCCTGTGTCCTGCCCTCTCCTCCAGCTCTTCCTCATGGGCCTGCTCACTAGCAGCCTTGTGCTTTTAGGTAGAAAGGGACTGGATTTTCTGATGTTGCTCTGCTTCCAAACAAACCCAAACTAATTTAAATTCACAAACTCTAACAAAGGTGATGCCTTCCCTCTGAGAGTATCCAAAGCCACAAAGCCAAACTGCAATGGCAGTTTCAGAACAGCAAGACTTTTAAAAGCTTTGGTGTCATAATGTTATCATTTTGAAGGGTTCACCTGAATAAAAGCCTTAGATTTCTCTGTGTGGTGAATATGAAGCACCCATTCTAAAATTAACCAAGGTGATCAGAGGGAACTAGGGCTTCTCCCCTTTAAACAGTGATTCTGTTTTCAAGATCAGTGGAAATAAGAAAAAGATGGAAAACTATTTGTTCAAAGAAAGGTACTACCTAGATTACCTTTATTTTCTCACTTCTTGCTGCTGCTGCCTTGTCTTAGGGAAAAATTGCTGAAAATAATAACGGTGGGAGTAAGAGAAGGCTAAAAGGGAGATGAGTTTCAGCCACATTTGGAGAAAGGAAGAATTAGATGAACAGAGCTTGGATGATGGCAGTCGGTTTCTTTGTTTGGAGGAACTATTAATAGTCTTGATTTAGCCCTTGAGCTCCTGTTTTCTGTCTTTTGTTTGTGTTTTATCTGTCTGATTTTTTCCTCCTTGAGGCAGCTTGAAATGTGAAAGGGCAAGGGAACAGAGCTAACGTAGGGTGGAAACATGGTTATATGTAATTAAGGTCTTACTTCCTCAATTTGCTACTACTGAAGCCCAAGGGAGACCAAGTTCTGTTCCACACACCATGTGAGAGGAAGAGGTTGACTAAGATGAGCTAGGCAGTTTTATCAGCTTGTTGGTCAAGGGATGTAGGATCCTGAGATGGATTCAATATTTTGGTTGATATTAACAGAAATATAATTTTTAATTTTTTTCCAAAGAACCAGACAGAAGTTTAAGAAAAGAGTTTACCATCCAAGAATTTAATTTGCTTTTCATCAGAGTATGACAAAACAGGCATGCTAGGGTCCAGCCTCAACTAACCTGAGTTGGTGAAAGGAAACAGAACTGAATTGGAAATAAATGCCAGGAGGTTCTGAGAATCAGAAAAAATGATGAGAAGGGTCAGGGTGAAGATGACAAAGGGCGATGGTTCTCAAAATCCTGCTGCAGTGTGAGAAGTAGCTGCCTTTTAGTGTAAGGTCTGGGCTTATGGAGGAACCCAAGAGAGTAAGAATGGAGTCAGCAAATTCATATTTAAATGAATATGCCCACATTCCTTTGCCCTATTGATTCCAGAAGTTGAAATTGTGGCCTTTAATGTGTTTAAGCCCTTAGATCATTTGCTAAGAGTTCAGGGGGAAAAAAGCAGCTGGTTCATCTCTGGTATTTTCAGATGGGTTTTCTTTACAGAAGTTACTCATAAGTGGTATTTTCAATGGAGACCTTCAGAAAAAAGATGCTTGGATATCTCATCAGGTTTCAGAGAAGTGTTCAGACTTGTTAACCCTTTTAACTCAGCTAAATGTCCATTAAACCATAAAACAAAGTCCATTACACTTTTGGGCCGGGGACTTGAGTGACTGACTCACTCACCCTGGGATGTTGCTCATCTCCTGTATGGACTAATATTGGGGCTTATTAGATCATGGGGGTCAGAAGGCTCACTTCCTCTGTGCTTGGATGCTGGGGCTGTTTTGATGCTAGTTGGCTTTCTGTGGGTCTTCTCCCTTATCAGTAGAGGATACACCCCACTTCTCCAGATGAGTCCCTTATAAAACAGCTGCTGCTTCATAAGACATTCCCTTAACCCAAGCCCTTTCCTCCCTATCAGTTACACTAATTGAAGATCAAAACCATTTCCCCCCACCTCCCATTACGTATTTTCTACTTATCCTCTAAGAAAAGAATTACAGGTTAGGATTACTCTAGAAGTGGTAGCTGTCAGTAGAGGAATGACATCCTAAAATATGACCATTAGAGACAAGAAGAAATTAGAAAGCTAGCATGCAGTGGGCATTTAATAAACAGCTGCTGGGAGTGGTGGCGGTGGAGAAGAGCAGAGCAGAGGAGGAGGGGAGAAAGGAGGAGTTGTAAAGTGGGAAAAAGGAGCTAACACTTTAGAAGGACAAAATGGCGGCAAAAAAGTCTGTCCCTTGGTTTTCTCCCATTGACAAATCTAAGACTGATGATGTCTACCCTACTTCCTACCTCTCACAAAACAACATTAGAAGGCAACATATTTAGGTAACCCGGGGTCATAAAGGAGAGTTGAAATAGAAGCTTCAGCAAATAACCCCCGTATCATCAGGCCTTGGATTATCAGCAATTCCAAGCACTACCTGAGTCTCCATCTCAAAAAGCTCTTCCTTCTGCTGGCTGGAGTGCAGTGGCGCGATCTCAGCTCACTGCAACCTCCACCTCCCGGGTTCAAGCGATTCCCCTGCCTCAGTCTCCCAAGTAGCTGGGATTACAGGCACTCACCACCATGTCTGGCTAATTTTTTGTATTTTAGTAGAGACAGGGTTTCACCATGTTGGCCAAGATGATCTTGATCTCCTGACTTCATGATCTGCCCGCCTCGGCCTCCCAAAGTGCTGGGATTACAGGTGTGAGCCACCGCACCCAGCCCCCTCTGCCTTGAAAATACTCACAGCATCATCTCAACAGCCAATACACTGAAACCCCTCTCCACACTGAAGCACAGTTGTCTGTGAAGAAAAATTAGGGAAGCCATAGAGGAACAATAGCTCCTTTGCAAATTACAGCTTCATCAGAAGGAAAGTTGAGGCAGGCATATAGTATTTTATTTTATACACCACAAACAGACAACCCCTAGACTTGGAATTCAGAATTAACAAAAGCATTAAATCCATCGGGCTTTGAGAAGGGTCAATGTTTTTTCATATGTCTTCCCTGCTACCATTATTTGCATAACAAATCGCTGCAAAATGCATTCATGTCAGATGTTGGAAATAAACTCTTTGGGGTATAGCTATTTTTAAACAACCCATAGTTATACGGGTGTTTTTAAAACATTCAAAGCCTGAGTTTATGTTTCAAATCATAAGTGATCACAGGAACTCTATATTGTTGGTCTGGTGCTGACCTACAGAACAGAGTCTGAAGTCCCTCAGAAATGATGATGTTTTAAAGAGTTACAAAAGTTCACATTGGCTGTAGATTAAAGCCCTGTATTTCTAGGCAGGTACACAGAAATCCCTGGTGCCAGTTTCTACCTCCACTTTGGAGAGCATTGAACTTTCTTTGCAAATATTCAAAATACTTCCCCACCAGAAGATTTTACTTACTGACACCGGGAACAGGCATCCCCACCCACATTCTTCATCCTTAAGAATCAGAAGTTAGAAAAAAAAAAAAAAAGGCTGCATTCTTTGAGATTATTTGCATGAGTGGATTATTTGTGTCAGTCTCTGAGAGATTATCTTCATAGTCTCTAGTCTACTTGTCCAAGCTTACTATTCCCACAAAAGATTTTTCCTGTGGTCTAGGGAGTCTCATGATTGCCTCCCTGGACCTATGCAATACCAACCTCCCCACCCCACACACACTTTCCTCCCCTGCAGCCTCTGCAAAGCCCTGGCTCCTGGGGCTCCTTGAGCTTGGACTGCCAGCTCCACTTCCCGTGTTCTAGGCAAGCAGCAAATACCCTTCAAAACTGCCATCAAGCCCCACCTGTTTTATAAAAACTTCCCAAGCTTCCATGATATGTGCGTTATATTATTAGCAACGGTATTAGCCAGGTGCCTGTATTCCCAGCTACTCGGGAGGCTGAAGCAGGAGAATCACTTGAATCCAGGAGGTGGAGGTTGCAGTAGCCGAGATCATACCACTGCACTCCAGCCTGGTTGACACAGCGAAACCCTGTCTCAAAAAAAAAAAGTAAAAATAATATTAGCTAACATTTATTTAATACTCTCAGCCAAGTTTGATACTAAGTAATATCTCATTTCTCATTGAATAAAAAAACCCTTGAGGAAAGCACTATTATTATCTCCATTTTACAAAGGAGGAAATTGAACTCAGATGGGCTGGATCTATGTGACTTAAAGGAGGACCTCAATCAGGACAGGTTAAGAATCCAGCATGGGGGTTTGGTGCCTTGGACTAGAGTGGTTGAGTAAGTGGCGGGAGATTATAGTGGTGGGGGGTGTTTGGAGGATACAAACCACTAGACTTTTTGGTGGCTTGGATCCTGCCCTCCCGATCTGAAAGGTTACATTTCATCCCGTCTTTAGATGTCATTTGCACTACTTGAACACTCCCCAGGGCCCTCGCTGCTCCTACCCCTAATTGATTTCCACCTTTCTTCATATGTGAGTTCACATGATGACGTCTCCTCGGACAGGGAGGGCTTTTCTTACATATACTCCTGGGAAAATTAGGTTTCTACTCAATAATATAACTGCCCCTCTTTCTGTTACCTCTGTGGCACTTCTTTCAATTTTTAAATATTTGAGAAATTACTTAGCTGATACGAGAGGGAAGATGTCTATTTCACACTTTATTTATAGTATCCTCTTTACTTACCATGCAGTGGTACTCAGTGAAATACAGGTTGAAGCTGTCCAAAAAAGGAAAGAATTTAAAGGAGTTCCTCCTCATTTAGATCATAAATGGAATGGAATTCCTTCATAAAAGCAAATTCATCTAGAGGTGAAAACAGGACTCAAAAAGGAAAATTAAACTATTTCAACCACTATCTCACCAAAAGAACAACTCCAAAAATGTGATCTGGAGGGAAAAACAATCAAACTAATGAAGAAGAGAAGACAATGAGTCAGGAGTGACTATCCCTTACAATAGGGGTGATTATTTTTAAAAATCTGTCTTTATCTAATGGTCAGTGGCACTCAGTTATATGGCCAGACACAAGAATTAGAAGATTTTAATCTCCTGTCATTTGTTATTTCATATCCAATAACTTCATTTACTTTTTTTTTTTTACTTTATTTTTGGTCTTTGGCCTTCCAGATCCCCCAAATTTTGGATAGCCTGAATGTGGGATGATCCTGTATTCAGAGAAGTGAATTTCCCTTCACTAGTCCATTTGCTTTTAAAAATAAAGAAGACATTAAAATGAGTTGCAGATATAAGTAATCCTTATTTAGTTATTTTGCTTTCTCAACCAGCATAAGGTCTCTACATAAGGACAAAATTTGGATTCAGTACCTCCTAACTCTGCCACGTGGGAGAAATGTGTCCCCCCTCATTTCTGTGTGGGTATTTGTCTAAATCTTGTCTCCCTTCCCACTACTGAGGTCTCACAACTTGAAGAGTTCTATCTAGATATAGAACATGGTTATATATGCTGGTAACAAAATAGTTGTAACTATTTTCCTCACTCACGAATCTTACCCTTTAAACAGGTAAAAGAGTGATTTACATGGATTGGCAGGAGTCAGAGAATCCTTATTGCTTTTGTAAGCTGAGACAATATGCCCAGTCCATACCAACACCAAATAAGGTATCTTGGAATGTGATTGCATCCATATGCTTTCAGCTCATGCAATATAGGCACAGAGAACCAATTTTAGGAAACTGGCCTCAAAGGAAGGCACGGGCTCTTGATTAGATTCCCACCATTCTACTCCAGCAGCCACATATAGAGCCCTTAATATTAATTTTAATGTAAGTTGGAGGAAATTTTCCAATCTTTGAAAACTATCTTTCACCCCCCTCTCCTGGGGGCCTGTGTTATTCACCAGCTAGAAACACTAGCAGCTGGAAGCAGAAGATGGCTTGTCTAGTCCTCCTGGATGCATGCATTTAAAGAGCTGTAAGGTTGACAGAACTTTCGCCGGAGCGCATGTTTTTAACTTAGTAGGAATAATAGCTTGGTCTCATAAACTGTTGTGCCATCTTAGATTATATATTGCATGGCAAATTTTTGTTATTGGGTATTTGTCTAGTTACATCAATATTAACTAGAGTAGACCTTGAGAAAGCAGAGAAGGAAATTTTGCTTCATTTGGGCTGGAGTTTTGCTATCCAGTTTCTGAGTTCTTGCACATTGCATTTTGAGTCTGTGACCAAATGACCTGCCTCTTGCTCCAAGTAAACAAATACTGACATTCTTGCCATCCACCAGTGTCTTTCCTCTAGGGGATGACAAAACATTCGATGTGTAGCAAATATACATAGGTGCCAGCAGATAAAGAGTTTTGCCTTAGGTCATCTACCAGGAAATATTATATTTTACCTACCTATCTCCCTGTTCACTGGGAGGAATTCTGAAATCCTTAAGTAAAAGACGTTGAAACTACTAACGTGTTCCTTTGTTGTATCAATATTTCTAGTAGTCGGAATGTATGCTTTCTATTCCCAGTAATTTTATTAGGTTACTAAAAAAATATGATTTGGTTAAGAGGGAACATGAGCCAAGTGGTAGGGCTAAATCCCTTCTTCTGTCTGAGTCGTGACAATATTTTAACCGCAAATGTTTATCTTTCATCCTCAGGGGAGATGAGTAGCCTCTTTTTTGAATCATCCTCTGCAGAGTGCAGTAGATGCAAAGCAGTACTATTATCCAAATTGTTAGCTCTTACAGCCAAGCTAGAGTCTATTCACTGTTACAAAAACCCAGTGAGAAAAAAAAAAAACATGCTAAATGATAAAGAATTACAAAATCACATTTCAATTAGCTCCATTAATTTGGAAAATGGAATTTCCCTTTGTACGACTTGGAGTAATCAAAATTTACCAAATTAAGAAGAAATTCTGACATTCTGCACTACAGAAAGGATGAACCATATTGGGCTTACCATTCTGCATCCTAATTTTTAATATCTATTGATGTTGATACATATGGATCTAATTACTTTGTCTCTTTTTGAAACAGAGTCTTGCTCTGTTGCCCAGGCTGGAGTGCAGTGGTGCAATCTGGGCTCACTGCAACCTCCGCCTCCTGAGTTCAAACGATTCTCCTGCTTCAGCCTCCCACGTAGCTGGGATTACAGGTACCTGCTACCATGCCGGCTAATTTTTGTATTTCACCATGTTGGTCAGGCTGGTTTCAAACTCCCAACCTCAAGTGATCCACCTGCCTTGGCCTTCCAAAGTGCTGGGATTACAGGCATGAGCCACCACACCCAGCCTGGGTCCGATTCCTTTTAACCACTATACATTATTCAGTTGTGTGAATAAACCATGTTTTTCTTTATCCATACCTCTTTCACTTCATGTTCTTAAGTTAGTCACATCATTCTGGACCTCTGCTATAAAGGAGAGCCAGCAATCTGTATGTCCTTTTTTTTTTTTTCTTGAGACGGAGTCTTGCTCTGTCACCCAGGCTGGAGTGCAGTGGCGCAATCTCCGCTCACTGCAAGCTCCACCTCCTGGACTCACGCCATTCTCCTGCCTCAGCCTCCCGAGTAGCTGGGACTACAGGTGCCCGCCACCACGCCAGGCTAATTTCTTTTTGTATTTTTAGTAGCGACGGATGTTAGCCAGGATGGTCTCGATCTCCTGACCTGATGATCCACCTGTCTCGGCCTCCCAGAGTGCTGGGATTACAGGCATGAGCCACCGCGTCCGGCCTGTATGTCCTTTCTTCATTGGGTCGTTAAAAAGATGAACAAGACAATAATGTGAAATGATTATAACTCTTTTGTTAGAAAGTGGTACAAACATGAAAACTAATGCTATTTTCTTATATGTTATGATTTTCATCTAGAACGACAAGATTCCTTGATCATTCTTTGTTTTATTTAAGTGAATAGTAGGTAATAATCCATTTGTGAAAGTGATGGGAATGTAAAATTAGACAAATGTGATTAGCTGGGCCTTACCGCCACAAACTCTGCTCAAGATAATGCTGCCGAGACCCAAAGACAATCATTTTGTTGCTCATAAATGACAGTTTAAGCTGGTGAGTGGCTGAGGTCCAGCATTCTCCTTGGTTCCTAGATGGACGGTAAAGCTGCTTGGACCATAATTTTCCATCTTTCTTCTTGGAAAGAGTGACTGGAGGCCACTCAGTAAAGTGAACCTTGGAAATAAGACTTCTGTCTCACACAACCTGTTCATGAAAGGGAGCTATAAAAATAAACGCATATTCAGAGCCTAATGGAGACGTGGCAACAGGCCTGAGGACATGCCATCCCTGAATCCCCTCCTCTGATTCTCCTGTAGTTCTACTTAGTTTCAGAACAAGATGAATGCATCAGTTGTAGGCAAACATCAGTTGTGTGTGTTTTCTCAGCTTGTTTATTTAGAAAGTAGTTGAAGGAGATAAGAATGAGTAGCTTTGGAAAGAGCCAGCGCTAGGAAAACTGGGAAGGACATAAGAGAATAGCATTTCCACAGCTAAGATGCTATCTGGAAGCCGCCTGGAATATTGTAATGATAGTGTGAGATCATGTAGTGTTCTAATAGAAGGTGGGTCTCTCTTCGTTCCTACATACAAACTCCAAAGCAAACTCCTAGGTGGGTATGACTTAAGAATGGAGCAAAGCATTAGCATTAAATGGCAAGAAGTCTGGATTAAACATAGATGAAGAGAGACTCCCTTGTTGTTCTCACTACTTTCCTGGTTTCTCATTAAATTGGTCTGCGCTTCCCTGGGGTCCTTTGATTCTGTTTTTGCCCTCTTTTCACTAAATCTTCCTTTAATTTCCTTTGGTTTGATCTGATGACATTAGCCCTTTCCATCAGTTTCTGAGCATACCCTTTTGGCTTGTTTCCTCTTTCTCCTTAAATCTCAGGGCAGCGTTTTTCCCCCAGGGAATTCGATCTCAGTGTCTTTCAACACCTTCACTGTTGGCCTGTAGCCTCTCAGGCTGCGCTAAGCAGGGCCCTGGAGAGTCTTCCACTCTCCCTGGAGAGCTGCTTCTCTATGGGCTGTGGGACACTTGACCTCACGTGTCTCCCCACCACCCTTGTGAAAGAAGCAGCCATTAGGCCCTCTTGACATGTGTGGGAAGCACTATTCTGAGAAACACTCTAGGGACCCCACTGCTAAGTCAGTGATAGATTTTGACATCCAGAGGGAGGGTCAGCTCCCTTGAGTCTCACTTTGAGTGATTTCTAACTACTATTTCCATCATTCGAGTTTTGTTATCCAAACAGCCTTATCCAAAATGTGCTGTTATTACTACCAGTGTCATTGTTGTTTGACCTCTCAAAACTACTTATTCTAAACAACATCTCGCACACTGATTTTATATGTCAGGTCTAATACAATTTGGGGAAAAGGTTACTGAGTACCTAATCTTAACCATTCATTCTTTATGAATAGGCCCACAGTGTGTCAGATATTGTGCCGAGCAAAGATAAGAGACGGTCTCCCGGCTTAAAGATCTCACAACGTAGTCAGGAGAGCCAATCCTAAACAGACAACTGTATAATAGGGGAATGGCAATGAAAAGGGTAATAGAGAAAATTTCTTCAGCCCATTTTTGAGAGTCAGCAGTGTGTCAGGTACTGTGCCAGGCATAGTTTATATAGTCATGAACAGGACAGATAAACTTATAATTAGCAAGCGCAAGAGACAAAAGAGCAAATAAGTAACCCATTGTATAATTACAAATTGTGGAAAGTTTAGGTTTGGCTGAAGAGGGCTGGTATTAAGAAACCTACTTTAAAAGAGTAGGGAGAGTAGAACAGTGATGACATTTAAGTCTGGGAAGGAGCCAGTTATAGGAAGCATAGAAGAAAAACACATCGTACGCAGAAAGAACACCATGATTGGCAGCCCTGAGGCAGCTGAGAGCTTGGCATACTGAGAGATTAAGATGGGCGAATACAACTAGAACTAGGGCAGACCACCTAGGCAGGGCCCTGAAGATCATGAGACGGAATTTGGATTTTATTCTACAGGAAGCCTTAAAAGAATTTGTAAAATGAAAGTAACCTGACTACATTCATGTTTTAAAAGATTATTCTGGTTGCTGTGTAGACAAATAAATGCACAGAGGCAAAAGTAGATAAGGAAGTTACTGAAGTAGCTCAGGTGAAAAATGAGCATCTTGGACCAGGCTGGTGGAAATTGAGATGGAAAAGTATGGATGAATTCAAGACTATGTTTTCGAAGTAGAAAAGACAGGAATTGGATTTAAACGTAGGAGTTGTACAAAAGGAGGAGCCAAATCCCAGGTTTTGATCATCTTAGTGAATGTCGATGCTATTTACTGAGGTGACTCAGACAAGGAAAGGAACAAATTTGTGTTATGGTAGACAATTCAGGGAATAATTGGAATTCCTGGACAGCTATTCATGTCAGGATGTTCAGCAGAGCAGGGGAAATGCAAATCTGATGTTGAGAATGTAGTTTGGAGTTGATGATAGAGATTTGAGATTCATCGGCAGAACGAGAGTAGCTGAATTTATAGCTAATTATAAAACAGAGGGCTGGGGCACGGTGGCTCACAC
Source organism: Homo sapiens (assembly GCF_000001405.40). Taxonomy (NCBI): domain Eukaryota; kingdom Metazoa; phylum Chordata; class Mammalia; order Primates; family Hominidae; genus Homo; species Homo sapiens. Next base: position 32,824,736 of record NC_000015.10, on the reverse strand, counting down.
CTGTAGTCCCAGCTACTCAGGAGGCTGAGGTGGGAGGATCACTTGAGCCTAGGAATTGGAGGCTCCAGTGAGCCTTGATTGCACCACTGTGCTCCAGCCTAGGTGACAGAGTGAGACCTTGTCTCTTAAAAGATAGAAAAGAGTCTAGAGAGCGGGCCTTGGAGCCTGAATATATTTAAGAGGGAGAAGAAGAGCCAGTGGCGGGAACAGAGCAAGTGATCAGAATGGGTGAGATAATTGACCAATGTTGAACATGACCCTACCTGACTTGCCACTGATAAGCATTTTTTCCTTGCAAATAAAATTTAAAAATACTGTTTCTGAAAATGTTCAAAAAACTCTAAAGCATTACCTATGTGTAATCTGTCAAATTCATGTGGATATCTATCCACTCTGTGAGGTAAGCACGCACTAAGAGGACCATGTAAGAATCTGAGCCTCTGAAAACCAGTGTTGGGCTCCACGCTCCAGCCCAGGCAGACTTGGCTTTCATGGTATGAAGGAAATGGGACGTGTTGCTTTTTAAATAGTACTCACAGTTATTAAATAACATGATTAATAATAACGTGACCAAAGATTTTTAAAAATTCCTTTCCCACCTTTCCCCTCTCACGGGGGGTACATTACACTATCTGTTGCTGGTGGCATTGCTGCCATCCCCAAGTCCATGTTTCAACTGTGTGTGGCTTCCAGCACTTCAGTGAAATCTTATTTAATCACACATGCCATTTTATAGACCTGTAAAGAAGGGAGCACATGGCTTTTGGCAGGGGCACACTGTTCCAATGTGGTCTTCCCTATGTTTGCAGTAGGATGTTACAGCTCCAGGCTCCATGCCTTCCACCTTGTGAGTTCGCAGAAGCCTGTTCTGTGAAGAATACTTTTCGAATATGAAAGTTACCCACGAAGCATTCTGGACCAGGGGTGTGACTAAACCTCCAGCATGAGTTGGAATAGTAGCTTTCAGGGGCTTTGTTTCCACATAGTGCCTTTAAAATTGGTATTTTAAAAATGGTTATGATTGTACCACCATGTCCTTATTTATGATAATAGTAAAATTGCTACTTTAGCATTTTGTTGGTTTACAAATCTTTAAAAATGCTCAAAACATGTAAGAACTGTCATAGAATGTATGTGAGAGGAAACTTAAAACTTTGAGTTTTGAAATTTAAGCAGTTTTCTTGGAATAACGGCATTTGTGAGAATTTTCTCATTCTGCAGAGATGACCTCTTTGGGCCCACCTTGGTGTAGGCAATAACGATAGAAACTCTCGGCCGGGCGCAGTGGCTCACACCTGTAATCCCAGCACTTTGGGAGGCCAAGGTGGGCGGATCACGAGGTCAGGAGATCGAGACCTTCCTGGCTAACACCGTGAAACCCTGTCTCTACTAAAAATACAAAAAGAAATTAACTGGGCATGGTGGTGGGTGCCTGTAGTCCCAGCTACTCGGGAGGCTGAAGCAGGAGAATGGTGTGAACCCAGGAGGCAGAGCTTGCAGTGAGCCGAGATTGAGCCACTGCACTCCAGCCTGGGTGATAGAGCAAGACTCTGTCTCAAAAAAAAAAAAAAAAAAAAAAAAAAACAGTAGAAACTCTCTGTCTTTGAGACAGACCATGAATGGGGGCTCGTGGGTAGGAGAGAAAGGGCGCAGTGCCTTGGGTAGCTCAGGATATGAGTGAGTACCCTGCCCCATGGAACATTCTGCCCTCCTCTGTTCTCCCCAAGATAGAGTAGCTGCAGCATATTGTCCTACTCTTGTACCCAATGGTGAGACTCAACTAGCAAGATTGGTTCCGTGTCCAGAATCAACAACAGAGGAAAGCCAAGAAACTCAACAAACAGGAGAATTTACACCTGAAAAAACATGCTTGTAGGCAGAACAGATATTCAGAACATGTGTGTTTTATAATCTCAGAGAACTATAAGATACAGACACCTTCATAAAAAAGAATCCAGTAGAGAATATAGAAATTAAAATTTGAGTTGATGAAATATTTTTAAAAGAGAGTAAGAAATACTCAAATAATGCAACATTACTTCCCAGAAATGAAAATACATTGCATCTCTTATTGAAAGAGCCAACAGAGGCAATGAAAAATAAATGTACACATATGTGCACCCTTAATTCTTTATAATGAACCTTGAGAAATCAAGGCTTTAGAAAAATGCTGAGAGACAAGAAGCTTCTGAGCAGCAACACTGGATGCAGGAAAAAAAAATGGAGTAATAAGTGTAAAGTTCTGAGGGGAAAAATATCAGAACCTAGAATTCTAAATTTAACCAAACTGTCATTAAAGTAAATGAGAAAAGTAAATTCTTTTGAGAAACGCAGAGCCTAGAAAGATTACTAATCGTAGATCATCTTTTTTGTTTGTTTGTTTGTTTGTGACAGACTCTCACTCTGTCACCCAGGCCTGGAGTGCAGTGCTGCAATCTCGGCTCACTGCAACCTCCACCTCCTGGGTTCACGTGATTCTCCTGCCTCAGCTTCCTGAGTAGCTGCAATTACAGGTGCATGCCACCACACCTGGCTAATTTTTGTATTTTTAGTAGAGGCGGGGTTTCACCATGTTGGCCAGGCTGGTCTCGAACTCCTGATCTCAGGTGATTCACCTGCCTTGGCCTCCCAAAGTGCTGGGATTACAGGTATCTCACAGATCTTCTCTTGAAGTTGTACTTCTTCAAGTTGAAAATGAATCTAGGAAGAAGTGGAGTAGCAAAAGGTATAATGAGCAAAGACATTTATAAAATAATGGTTAAAGCATTACTAATAAAATGTAAAGCATTTGTGTTTGATAATGTGGAAATAAAATTGCAGGTGATATCAAAATGGGATGAGGCATTGGATGTGACCGTAGAATTTAGGAGGAGAATGAAAGGAAAAGCAAGCCTCCCTTATATTGTTCCAGGTTAGGGTATTGAGATATAATAAGCTGTAGATAACCTTAAAATCACAGGTATAATGGGTGTTAAGATTTAAGTATTAGCCGGATGTGGTGGCTCATGCCTGTAATCCCAGCACTTTGGGAGGCTGAGGCAGGTGGATCATGAGGTCAGGAGTTCAAGAACAGCCTGGCCAAGATGGTGAAACCCCATCTCTACTAAAAATACAAAAATTAGCTGGGCATGGTGGCGGGCGCCTGTAGTCCCAGCTACTTGGGAGGCTGGGGCAGAGAATTGCTTGAACCCGGGAGGTAGAGGTTGCAGTGAGCCGAGATTGTGCCACTGCCCTCCAGCCTGGGGTGACAGAGCAAGACTCCATCTCAAAAAAAAAAAAAAAAAAAAGATTTAAATATTTATTAGTCAAAAAGTTAGAATTTATCATGTTCAAACCAGTAAAGGAAAAATGAAGCAAAGACAGTTTGGTGAATCCAACAAAAGTTAGGAAAAGGTGAAAAAGTAAATAGCCAGCAAGCTTGGTGAAGAAAAGTACAAAATAAATATGAGGATTAATCTAAATATATTCATAATCAAAATAAACACGAATGGACCAACTTTACCCAGGCAGCTGAAAGGAAAAAGAAATGACTCATTTAAACCTGAGAGAGGACAAGACAATCTGCCATTATTTGGATACTCTGATTATCTCTTAGAAAATCTGATTATCTCTTAGAAAATTGTATCTTAGAAAATCTGTGACATTTGAACAGTGTTTATCCATCTCCAACAACAACAACAAAACTGCCTCACACAATTTCAAATAATAATCTAAAGGACAAAAGCAAAACCAAAAATATAGACAGTATTAAAATACGAGACCTCTTTATTACCTTGGGAGTAGACGAGACCTTCTTGCAAATGATTTAATCAGCAAAAGACATGAAGAGTATTTATGAATTTGACTGTTTCAGATTTAAATTTAAAAATGATAAACGTTGTAAACAAAGTTAATAGACAAGCAAAAGCATGGGAAAATATATTTGCAAAATATTTAACCAAGGGTTGGTACCAAAATCTATGTAATTTGCAGAATTTTAAAAGTTTGACAAAACAATTATCAGCCCTTCGTAGTATTAAATTATACTATCATTGTGGAGGACTGACAGTCTCAAATAAATTAAAACTATGTCTACCTGATAACACTAACAAATCTACTTCTCTATGTCTGTCTTAGAGAAACCTTGCATGTTTGCACAGGGACACTCAGAAGTTCTGGAAGGATACTCCCAAAATGATAACAGTACTTGAGTTGTAGAAGATAACTATATATATATATGTGTTGGGGGAGACAGAGGGTGTGATGCAGAGGGCTATCAGGGGGACTTTATCTGTAATGTTTTATATTTTTATAAGGAGAATGCATATAACCTAAATTAGTTAAGGATTAATTTTGCAAAATATTTAAGAGTGGAAGTTTTATTTTCAGTTTCATAATAGAATTAAAGCCTCTCTCTTTGCAGTTAAAAGAAAAAGTGGCCTGTCTGTTAACGCAAAGTTTCAGGTTGAGCCCGCTTTTTATGTAATCATGAATCTCTGTTACTCAGTTCACTTTTTATAGTAGAGGGAGTTTTTAGATGAGAAGTTTATATACACCCTTCACGTTGTAATCATGAATCTTTGTTACTCAGTTGACTTTTTACAATACAGGGAGTTTTTAGATGAGAAGTTTATATACACCCTTCAGGTTGTATTGATGGATTTTGGTTGGAAGTCGTCTGCGTTTATCTTTAGGCATATCAGTTTTAAATGTTTAAATATCTGTAATTATTTTGTTTAACACTGATGTAGCTGGACTTATTATTCAGTCCACCATTTGAGATGGCAAAATCTTAAAAATACATCAAAGGCAGATTATTCTTGCCAGTCCTGTTTCAAGTATGCGAAAAATGGTAGGTAATACATTTACATTTTTAATTTCATTATATAAATGACATTAAACTAACCATAAAATAATTGCCAATAATAACAGCATTGTTTCACTGAGCTTCTATACATGACTGTGAGTCATTTTTCCTCGTCAAAATGAGAAGTGGTTTTTTTTCTTTCTTTTTTATAAAGTTAGATCCTAAATGCCCAACTTTTGACCATATTTTTCTTCTGCTTTGGAATTTTTTTCCTATCAGTCATTATATTTCTTTAGGAAACGTCTTTAAATTTTTTTGTGGGAAGGAACAAAGCTAGCAAAGAAACAGATGTGTCCCATATAAAATATGCAATAAATCTTGTCCCACAAATTCTTTGCTCTGAACTTTCTGACAGAAACTGTCAAATATCCACTTTAATTCAGGTATAAAATGTTCACTCCATGTCATGGCGCCAACCACCATATGCCAGAATAAAGTTAGTGACCAGCCATAAAAACAGCAGCATAAGCACCTTTGAAACGGTACAAGTCATCGTGGGTGAGAACGACCCATATAAATCCATAGGGAATTAATCTTGGCTTTGCTACTATCCTGCTGGGCATTTACAACAAGCTTCTACTCCCACACAGCAGAAGTAGTAATACTTTTTAAAAGGAGAGAGAAAATAAGAGAGCCGTATGTCCACCTAATAAGCTTGTTGGTTGGGGGGAAGGGGGTTGCATGGATCAGAAAGCAGTAGGTTTTCCTCCCCCTCCTCGGAGCTCTGGAATCCCCTTGAAGAGGCAGAGCTCAGCCTCAGTTGAACATGTGGGGTTCTTCTTCAGCTCGCCTTGCCTGCCTTCGCAGATCATGTGAAACCAATCTCCCTGAAGTGCAATCACAAGGAATGACTTCAGCTTCATAAATCATTGTTATCATCCCACAGGAGGAGGTAATGCTATGGTTTTTCTCCAGTAAAACATTTCAAGCCTCTGGTTTCATGAGCCTTTTTTTTTTTTTTTACTTTCTGAAATCAGCTTCGTGCCACTTGTACAATTAGCTTCAGGCTCCTGCGTACAGGAGATGGTGGCACTTCTCCAGTTTGCATAATATTTGAACATTTTACCCTCTCAGATTTCGAGGGAGATCTGTTTCCTACTGAATGCGTGCTTGTGTGTGTGGCTTGTCATATACACAGAGGCTTCACATTTGCTTCCAAGAATATACTGATCCTCAATATTTTTTGCATTAAGGGTATTTTCTTTATACTATATTTTTCAAATACAGAATAAGTAGTATATATTAGGTTTAAGCACAGGATAAAGAAATCTCAACTTACTTTGCAGTATTAGACACTATTTTAAAATGCACTGGTAGCCATGTAAAACATTTCTCTAAGGCGCAAAAATAGGAAGACTAAAGGGTGAAGCAATGGATGATTTCCAAGTTAAATCAAAAGATAAAAATCTGCCTTAATTCTATTTGGTAATATTTTAATAATCCTTCATAAACACTTCTTTCCTACAAGATCTCGTTTAGGAAGAACTGTCAAAAAATTATTCTGAAATGCTTTCATGAGTTTCTAGAAAATGTTTTGTTTGAATAGGTTCCATACTCACTTTGAAATAAAGGCTAATTTTTCAACAATTATTTTTAATAATTGTAAATTTAAATATAAATTCATTATAAAAGTATTCATTTAGAAGTTGACCTATACCTATACCTTTATGTTAAATAAAATGCAAGGGAAAAAATGAAAAAGCAAGAAAGGACATTACATTCAATATAATTTCAACTATATAACTAAAGCACAAATGAGTGTGTGATTATAAATATATACATTTATGAAATGAATCAGCATATTAATAGTGGCCATTGCTCAGAGAAAGTCTTATGCACTGCTTTTATTTTCTTATTTATATCTTTCTCAAATGTTCTACAATGAGGATTTATTACTTGTAAAATCTGGGGAAAATACAAAGGTTTGATAAAAAGCAGGGAAAAAGTGACCCACTGTAACATTCATTCTTATTGAATGTATTGTTAAATTGTTACCATATCAATGTGATTATTCAATGTTTGTACAAATTTTTCTTCAACAAAAGCTTTTTCTCTGAGGATGACAGTTATGATTGAAAGGTGACTCTGGAGGATTCCACCTGGAATTCTGATAAATTCACTGTCAGCACTTTCACCTTGACTTAGAAGCAGTGTGGTCACTTTAAAAACCAAGCCTCATTTCTTTATTTCCTTTTACTGGCTCTGATAATGATTGCTTCTGCTAATGGTTCATCTACTGGTGGAACAGATCAAATGTTCTTTAATGTGGAAAATATCTTCTGCAGCATCTTCTTTGGGAATCCCAGTTCTCTCAGCATTTTCTTTTCCTGCAAATATCACCCAAGAGACAGATTATGACCTTCATCACACCTAGATACTTGGTAACATCAGAGCTCTTGAAGTCATCGTGTTAATTCTTGGGTACCATTTCTAGTGGACCCGTTTTAAACCTCCAGCTATGACAAACCCTTGACCAAGTGAAATAAAAATGGGTTAAAAAGTAATTTGATGTTGTAAGCAATAGCCAATATTAGGGAAATTAGACTTTTGTCGGGTTCTGTGGCCATGTAAATTCAGTTTCCTAAGTACATTTAGCCTTTGCCAGGGTTTTAAAAGAAGATTGATTTAAGGATAGCAATGGCTATTTCATGATTATTTACAGGACGTTCTGGTAGTCTATTCATTTTTATGACTAAACATCTGAACAATTATTTTTCTAGAGGGAGAGCTTCAGCTATTTAACAAATGTGTTAAGCTACACAGATGTCAGAGGTTTCGTGTAAATAGATCTAGAACAAGAAATTTCCTTTGTCAAGGTATGATGCTGTATATTGTAAATCATGTATAAGTATGGCTTCTTTCTTCTCTTAGTTTTTCTTTAGTTAACGTCAGTCTTAAGCCATTAAAATCTCTGACCATGCCTAATAGCTTTTTATCTGAATTTTACTCTTTATAATGTGATTGAAACTATTCTTAATATTGGATGTCCTTCTGAACAATTTGTAAAAAATATGTAGAATGGTTACTTTATAGAGATTGTAGAATTTCATGTTGCCTGTGAGTATAAGGTGTGAATAAAGGACTTTAATGTGGGTGACTGCCCAATGAAATTTAACTTATCCGTGACAATGGTTGTTTTTCTGTTACGACTTATTTCTCTATTGTTCCACTGTAGTAATATGACAGTTTTACAGTTTTTCAGCAGGAACCTATAAAGAATCACAGTGTGGCCTAGTGAAAACTAGTCGGGAGTCAGGGGACAGCTTCTTTCTTTTTTGCCCAAAACTATTTGTATGACCTTAGGCAGGTCACTCGCTTTCAAAGTGCTCTGCAGCTGCCTCCAAACAGCATCTGTTGTTTCTTTTTCTGATTATATTAAATGAGCCCCTTTCTTCAAAAAGCAACTAAAAACAAATGAAAAACAAAAATCCTCTTAACCAGAGAGGCAGAAATAGCAACCATAATATTTTGGTATGTTACCTTCTGACTCTTTTATGGATTCAATATTTTGATAACTATATATATAATGTGTGTGATATACCTTTTGACGTAACTTTAGGCACATCATGCCACTGCTTTATATTCTTTATTTATAATTTTGTCATAGCATTTTCCCGTGATATTTTTTGCAAGCACGTTTTGTGGTATGTGGGTCTAGGAAGTGTGCTTTAATCCTTGGGAGCTTACTGTAGGGATACACGTATTACTAAGGAGAAACAGGGTGCTGAAATTCCCCAGAGAAGTTTCACAGGAACCCAAGAAAGGCTGCACAAGCAAATGTCACTGGATTACAAAGAATTATAGTGATGGTAGTCATTATCATAATCGGTATTTACTTAACTAATGTGCCAGGTGCCATGGCCGAGCACCTTACAAACATCTCTTTTAATTACTACAGCTGTCGAATGTAGGCTCTATCATTACTTTCATTTATAGATGAGAAAACTGAGTCTTAGCCACATTAAACAACTGACCCAGTGTCAATAGTTAGAAAGTAATGGAGCACTTGGAAGCTTCGGCTCCACTGTTAATCCACAGTGTAGAACCTAAGAATTTAGTATCATAGCACCTGGCATACTGAGTATTCAGTGAATGTTCATCACCATCATTACCACCACCACCACCAATCTGACTGTGCTAGGCCATTGTATTAGACTACTTTATAAGCATTAGGTTGACTGTCCTTGGATCTTAGTTGTAGCTATGGCTGGTGAAGGGAAGGGGACACACTCCAGTACGTGATTCCGTTATTGGAAAATCCACTATCTATTCAGTCTCCTATTATTGTTTAACTTAGCTTGTTTTTAAACTATAGCATGAGGGGTTTATATGAGGTAATTTCTTAAGTTTTGTATAGCTCCATAGTTTTCAAGTGTAAGGTTTCATTTTATCTAGTGTACATATGGACAAGTTAAAGTCTGAAGAATGAAGTATTGGCCCTAAATATCATAGATAATCATCAGAGGCAGTTATGGGAAACCCAAAGAAGCTAGTTGGAGAACTTTTTCTTCCATTAAAAAAAATTAACATGAGGTGCTTTCTTTCTTTAGATTTGCTGAATATCTAGTACTAAAATGCTATGAGGTTAAAAAAATGAGAGTTGCTTTTGAAGAACACTACTTTAAAGAAGAAATAAAAATAAACATGCAGGCCGGGCGCGATGGCTCACGCCTGTAATCCCAGCACTTTGGGAGGCTGAGGCGGGCAGATCACGAGGTCAGGAGATCGAGACCATCCTGGCTAACACGGGGAAACCCCATCTCTACTAAAAATACAAAAAATTAGCCGGGCGTGGTGGCGGGCACCTGTAGTCCCAGCTACTCGGGAGGCTGAGGCGGGAGAATGGGATGAACCCGGGAGGCGGAGCTTGCAGTGAGCCGAGATCGCACCACTGCACTCCAGTCTGGGCGACAGAGCGAGACTCTGTCTCAAAAATAATAATAATAATAATAAAATAAAATAAACATGCAGCCTATTACCACTTTGCTCATGAACCTGCTACAAATTCACACTTTTGTGGACATTCTCACCAATTAATAAAGCAACAAGTTACCGATTTATAAATACTAGGTTTATAGTCTCAAGTGCTAAGCATTTGAATACAAAGTTTGAAAGAAAAAGGCCGTAGTCCATGCCTTTCAGAAACTATACACCTTCAGACTAGTGCTAATGTTAAGATGAGACAGAGTTGTCTGGGAAAGAAGAGCTTCCTCCAAATTAGAATACCTGCAATTTATCACCAAATGGTTATCCAGAGCCTTGTGATTGTAAACCCCATTGCTTTTGAAATTTCACTAAGGTTCTTGATGAAACAAAATGCAAGAAGCCTTCTTTTAAAAATTTAGCTTCTTTGCAATTCCTAATATTTCCTAAATGGTGTCTGCTGTCTGAATGATGAGGCTATAGAGTTTAGTTTCCCTACATGACACCTGAAATACTTCTAAAGTATTGTATAAGGTCAGACCCTTCCCGTTGGAAATGAGATGGCTGGGAGACAAGGTAGACATTACAAGGAAACAGGATTTATGTATAATTATTTTTTAATTACAAGGAAATAGATTTATGTATAATTATCCCTTAAGTGAAAATTATATTTTATAAATATGCTTGTTTAGAAATATCTGTGAAAAATAACTAAGGAAAAGCATTTTACAAAAGACATCTGTCACTTCTATTAATGGTGATAAGTTAAAGACATATATGGGTCTAGAAGATGGTATAACTTGGAGAATTTCAGGCCCTGTTTGAGAATGTGACCACCTGACTCCCATTAATGTTAATGAGTCTCTCACCAGATCATTCTGAAATTGTACCCCCACGGTCTGTTTTAAAGCATCAAGAGTCAGGAAATTTAGCGTGAAAGCTGAAATTCCATCTTGGAACTTTCTCTCTGATGTATCTATTCCTATGGAAGATGTGTAGTACAGTGCAGCTTCAAAATACCACCTCGGTGTTTGGGAATCCTGGAGAAAAATGCTGCCCCTTGGGAAGCAGCAGGGAGCGTTGGAAAATGTAGATTATTAGTCACATTATTAGCCAAAATTATTAAATTATTAGTCAAAAGGCCTGGATTCTGTGACTATTAGTGTAATCCAAATAGTCGCTTCATCTACTTGGGTATCCATTTTCTCCACGTTGAGATTAAATAGTTGGGCTAAGTTATAGCAAGGTTAAGGTTATACTGTCTTATCAACTTCATCAAGGAATTGCATCTGTATCACTCGAAGCCAAGATGTTTCTGCATACAGGTAGTTGTGCAGCATTGAGGGACTTCACTGGACTACACAGAAGCAGAGGAACAAAAGTAGTAGAATATCAGCCACAAATCAAATGATTGCCTTTAAGAAGAATGAACAAAATCCTTCATAAAGTCTGAAGGCCAAGTGTTTTGTCAGTATTGTAAATGGTTGAAAGACTTACCTTGGGGCAAAGCATCTCATCTCTAGTGAAAATATATTGGGAAAAAAAAAGTGAGTTTACTTCTGAAAAAGTGTGGGTAAATATACTTCATTTAGATCCCAATTATACTTGTGTCCGATTACCTCCTAGAACTGTGACTTGATAAAATGTTTACTTTTGCAGTAGTTACTATTGATCACAGACTAGATGTATAATGTGGTTAAGTGTTTGAGATTATGGTCATCCCTCAGTATCCGTGGAGGATTGGTTCCAGGACCCTTATGGATATTAAACTCTACAGATGCTCAAGTCTCTCATATAGAATGGTGTCGTAATTGCTATAACCTACACCCATTCTTTAAATCATCTCTAGATTACTTATGATACCTAATACAATGTAAATGCTATATAACTAGTTGTTAGACTGTGTTGTTTAGGGAATGACAAGGAAAAAAAAAGCGTGTATATGTTCAGCACAGACACAACCATCCATTTTTTCCCCAAATGTTTTCAGTCTGCAGTTGGTGGAATCCATAACCCACAGATACAGAGGGCCAACTGTATATTGTGATCTCTGAAATTGTACCTGTCACCTATACAAATTATTATTACAGTCACCAGAGAATATAAATGAATACATGACACCTGAAATATTTCTATTGTAGAAGGTCTGACCCTTTCTATTGTATGCAAACAGCACTTTGTAATTCATGTTGTTATACCAATAAGATATTTTACGAATATCATCGTACTAGATTTAGAGATACAGGCTGAGAATCTCTAATCTGAAAATCCAAAATGCAAAATGCTCCAAAATCTGAAACTTTTTGAGCACTGACATGACATGAATAAACTGTCTGTTGCGCACCTGCGTTTTGACAAGACCCATCACTTGACTTTATGTGACGGTCTCGGCCAAAATGCAGGAGCACAATAGACAGTTTTTTCAGTGTCCTTGAGGGAAGAATAAAATTACCTTCAAGCTCTATGTATAAAGTATATATGAAACATAAATGAATTTCATCTTTAGACTTGGGTCCCATCCCCAATGTATTACATTATGTATATGCAAGTATCCCAAAATGTGGGGGACAAAAATTGAAATTGGAAACAATTCTGGCCTCAGGCATTTCAGATAAGGAGTACTCAGCCTGTATAAAAGTGTAAATGACTTAATATTATAAGTCACTTGTAAGTTTGATTGCCTCAGGACTCACATTTTCAACTATGTGTAAGGGAATTAAGTCGTACTGCCCTATCTCTGCCATTGTGTGTAATGAGTTGGCATTGTCCTAGACATTTAGAATGTTCCCGGTGATGTGTATATGGGGAAACTGAGAAAATAGCTTCTCAAATCCTTTTCTGTGTTCTGCAGTTCAGATGAAGGACCCTGGTTGAGAACAGCCCCAGGTGCCCAAGTTAGGTGATACCATTTCGTGGTTTTGTTTGTTTGTTTGTTTGTTTGTTTGTTTGTTTAGTGTCCATAAAATACTCCAATTCACTTAAGGGGCAACTAGAAATGGCAGATTAAAATGGTGAAAAAGGCTGGGTGTGGTGGCTCATGCTTGTAATCCCAGCACTTTTGAGAGGCTGAGGTGGGTGGATCACTTGAGGTCAGGAGTTTCAGACCAGCCTGGCCAACATGGCGAAACTACAAAAATTAGCCAGGCATGGTGGCATGTGCCTGTAATCCCAGCTACTCAGAAGGCTGAGGCAGGAGAATCGCTTGAACCCAGGAGGCGGAGGTTGCAGTGAGCCGAGATCGCACCACTGCACTCCAGCCTGAGTGACAGAGCGAGACTCCGTCTCAAAAAAAAAAAAAGCAAATAAAATGATGAAAAAGACAAGGTCTGCAAAGTCTGACTGGAAATAAGAGGATCCAGGATAGCACATCAGCCTGGGAGGTAGACTAGATGACCATTTGAAGACTCCTTTTAACTGGATTTTTTTTTTTTATTTTATGACTCTGAAGACCTCTTCAGAGTGTAGTGACACAATGTCCTTTACTTGGTACTTTCACCAAAAGCCTAGTTTCCTAGTCCACTTTAGCCTTAGGCAAGTGACCTGGAAATCCTACACCCTACACTAGGAACCTTGACAGCATGTCTTTATACAACCTCATAACACTTTACACAGAAAATCTCACAGGTGGCCCTCTACTCTTCAACTTTACCATCCAGCTTAGACACTTGCTCTGACAGACCAGAAATGATCACTCTTCTAATTTCACCACAACCAGGAAAACTAATAACTTAGGAAGACCAGCAAGGATATCGTCCTCCATGGGCAAGCATACCAGAAGGAAAAATGTAAGGGTAAGAACTCTGCATCACAAACTGGTTCCAAATATCTGTTGTTTTCTTCTCTCAAATGTTAAAAGGCCATCCCTTTCCGATGTCAGCGTGCTGTGCCTCTGTTGGTGTAAAGCATTTGTTTCTCCTGGAAAGTGCACAACGGGGATTTTCTAAGAAATGGAAAACGATTGCCACACTCACATCAGACGGATCCCACGTGAAGCAGAGCGCAGTCCCTTTGTTTCCTCGTTAGCATCACCCGGCTCCCATATTTGTAGAGCTGTAATAAAAACAACTTCTTAACTGTGCGTCCTGTTGGTTTATACCAACCATGTCAGGTCCATAAACCATGGTATATTAAAGTGTAATAGACTGTGTAAAGAATACTAGGAAGATACTCCAACCCTTATCCCTTCCCCTTATTTCACAATTTACTGCCTCCCAGATGGGCATCCATAAATAGGACTTAATTGCGTTTGGCATAAAAGCCCCACTTTCTTTAAAGAGTGGCCTCCTCCTTCAGCCACTCTCATTGTATGAATGCCACCCTCTTGAGAATAAAAACTTCGGTTATTTGGGTACATTTAAATGGTGAATGTTCTTAGTCTGAATATTTTATGGAAATATCATTTTATTTATAAAAACTTTCTCTTTTTCAAAGTTAACTGTGGAAAATAGTATATTTTAAAGACTCAATCTGATACAGACGAAACTGGAGGGTTAATGCTATTTGTGCCTCCCTATAGTGTTAGTGCTGTTTGTGCCTGTGTTAATGTATCAGTCTAAAAGCAGGACATAGGATGGGCATAGTAATCTCTTGCTTTTCAGTTCTACTCTACTCTTCACTATTTTGTTGCAAACAAAAGATGGAAGATTAGAAATTTCTGTGCCAAAAAACAGGCACTTAATGAGTAGGGACTGTGTTCTGCTAACATGGGTTCTTCTGTTGTGTACTTTTCCATCTGTCAAATAAGTACACAAGGCTGGGCACGGTGGCTCACGCCTGTAATCCCAGCACTTTGGGAGGCTGAGGCAGATGGATCACTTGAGGTCAGGAGTTTGAGACCAGCCTGGCCAACATGGTGAAACCCTGTCTCTACTAAAGATACAAAAATTAGCCAGCCATGGTGCGTGCCTATAATCCCAGCTACTTGGGAGGCTGAGGCTGGAGAATCACTTGAACCCGGGAGATGGAGGTTGCAGTGAGCTGAGATTGCATCACGGCACTCCAGCCTGGGTGAAAGAACAAGACCCTGTCTCAAAAGAAAAAAAAAAATAAGTATTTGAGTACCTGCTAGGTAATAGTTGAGAGAAAAACTCTGAAAACAGATTTTGGTTGCAACTCTGAAAGGAGCACAGAGTCCAGTGGGAAAAGCCAGCTGCAAGCCAGTGACCTTGACATAGCATTCTGTGTGCTGTGATAAGGAATTGTGGGGAGATAGTGTGTTTGGATCTCCACAGAAAGAACGGCTCACCACATTATGGGGGAGAGGCATGGAGGGCCCCTCAGAGGAGATTTTCAAGCTTGGTTTTCAAAGAAAGAGAAGACATTCAAACAGAAGGGTAGGAGAAGGGAGAAGGGCAAGGAAGAGAAGGCATTAGAAACAGAAGGAGCAAAGTGCCCAAAAATAAAGACACCATGCAGCAAGTTAAGTCCAGAGACCAGCCATGAGTCCCACGCAGCAGGAGCTCTGGGGATGATAGTATGGGGATGGCAGGAGGCAGGTGTGAGGGGCACACTGTGAACTGCAAATGCACTTTGTCTTCAGAGGGGGAACCAGTGAGAACATTAAGCAGAAAAGGGGCATAGTTCACTTTGCCTTCTAAAATGGCAGTTTTGGTGGCAACAAAGAGAATTGAATTTACTGTGCAATGAGGGGAACCTGTTACAGGTCACCATATAGAGCCTAGAGGTTAAGGAAGGAATCTTAGCTCTCAGAAAACTTAACCTCTCAAAAAAAGACTCCTGTATCATTGTCTTTTATTTGGTATTGGGGAAGTGATCCAGTTAATCAGGTCAAAGATTACAGAACTCCATGGTCATTAAGGGGAAAAAACAGGTGAGAGTAATCATTAAGTACCTCTCCCCTCACATCCACCCCCATGACTCCCAGTTATTTGTTAAATTATAAATAAGTTTTTCTCTTTCTCCTGAGGATGAAATAAAACAAAATGAGCTGAAACAGCAAATAAAATGACTTTAGGTCAGACATAGGGAACCACCCTTTTGTAGAAAAGCCTTTTACAGGCCATGCTAAGGACATCAGCTCAGTGAGTGAAATGAAAAAAAAAAAAACACTAAAGTTTTGAGCATAAATGATAACAACCAAAATTCTTGTCTACTGAAAGCAGTTATGAACATTCTAAAGAAAGCATGTTGTGTGCAATTTTGTGATAACCATGCCAAAAAGTCAGAAAGCTAGAGTAGTGACTACTAGCATTTGCTTCTAGCCAATAGACAATAAATGGCTGCCATTCTGGAATGCCCATCATATGTCAGTCACTAGATTAATCTCACACGTTCAGTATATCTCATAGTCACAAGCACTTTGCAAGGTAGATCTTATTATTCCCATTTTACGGATAAGGCTCAGTGGAGTTAAGTGATTTTCTGACGATCACCCAGTTAATAAGTATCAGAGCAGAAATTAAACCCAGGTCCACCTGGTGCAAAACCCAAGCTCTTTCCTCTATGCTACACTTCATTTAACTCTGGCAAAACAGCCAACCCACTGGAAGCTTGAACCCCCAGCAGCCATGGCATGACGTTGAACTGTCAAAGACCTGACTGCAAAGACTGGCTGCAACTATGTGGGAGGGTAGGTATCATCATCTCCATTTGACAGAGCAGGAGACTGAAACACAGGACACTGTGATTGGCTCATGACACTCAGGTGACACAGCTAGGGTTAAAGCTTGGCAGTTAGTTATCATGAGTTCTGATTTGCATTCCTTGGGCCCATAGCCATGGAATAGAAAGCCATTTCTGCTTCACTTGGTAGGCTGTGGAACTATGAACTTCAGAATTGTTCTTGTGGAGCAATTGTATGATATATAGTTCCCGTATTGAAAAGCTAGAACTAGAACGTTGGAACACCGGGATTCTTATACTTGGCCCACAGTGACCTTATTTGTTGATGGTATTAGAATTTGAGTTTGTGACTCCAGTCTTTAAACATGGTTCTTCCAGGTCATGTATTTGTGTTTTGCTTAGAGCATCTTGAAGACTTAAAATGTGTAATGGCCTGGTTTAAAATTTTACACATTCAAGTAGGAGAAATATTTCATGCTGTTAGAGCTTCCAAGTCACACCATAAAGGTAGATGCCTTTTGTATCTGTACAAGGGCAAAATTAGGGAACATTTAAATCTCTAATTTCTTCTCATTTTCCTGAAGGCCCTTTTCCCTAAACCCTCAGAGTTTTCTGCAGTGTGCATTGGCTCTTAATAATACCTCTTTTTACATTTAGACTCTGTTTCTCCAAATCACCATATTCACAGAGGTATTGCAAAATCTTACCTGATGCTCAATTCAGTTTGAATAGGGTATTTCTTGTCACTAAATTCATATACAGTTATGGCTTGGCCACACTCTGCTTAGCACACACAGCTTGGAAGTAGCCAGTTAGAAACCATCTGCTGAGAGAGCAGAGCTGGTCCAAGAAGATCACTCGGGCCTCAGAGGAATTTTTCCTCCTGTTTGGCTATGCACATAACTTAAAATCACTGGAGAAGAACAGATCACTAGTTTGTTTCACATTTTGGGGAACTTGATAACCTAGGAGAGACACAGGTCATTTCTCAGTATCTGATTGGCTAAGTACCAGACTAATTCACAGAAATTCCTGCCAAGAGTATGGGGGGACATCAGACAGCAAAAGATGGCCCTGGCCATGGCTTCCGTCTGCCTAAAATGATGCACTTATGAAAGCTGAATCATTTTAATATAAAACAAAATAAGTTTTACTAGTTGAAATATACTACATTTAGAGATAATGGTATACAACATTAGCCTCTCAATCTTCTTTAGCTTATGTTCATATTCTAAATATAAAGTTTTTTCAGGAAAGCCAGTATATCTCTTTTTAAGCAAGCTTTATCCAATATATGCATTTTTAAGCTAAAATGATTGCTTTAACATATAGCCAGTTTTCTACAATTAAGGCTACAGCAGAAAGCAAGCCAGGTGAAGCTGCTGCCCTCCTAGAGCTTACATTCAGTTGTTGCATGATAAACACATGAGGAAAGGAATAGTCTGTTAGGTAGATAGAGGCTGTGGGAAGGCTATGGAAGGAAGGTAGGGGTAGAGGGTGTGTGTGGAGGGGTAGTAGGAAGATGATGAGTGGCAAGGGATGGTCTTTTATTTACGGAAGCTGGAGAAGGAGATACTTCTGCTGAGACCTCAATGCAGTGAGGGAGCCCATCGTGCAGACTGTGGTCAGGGTGTCCCAGAGAGGAGGAACAGCAAGTGCAAAGATCCTCCAATGTGCACGCTCAGTGCGCTCAAGCCAGAGGCAGCTGCCAGCGAAGCTGGAAAGGAAGGGGTGTGGGAAAGAGGAGGTAATGCCACCAAACAGCCAGGGAGCCGACTTAAGTGCAGGGCCTTCTAGAGCATTTTGAAGACTGTAGATACTATGTCAAGGCTGATGGCAAGACAAGCCATTGGAAGGTTTTGAGCAGGGGAGCCTTTACATTTTAAAATCAATGAGGAAGATTATGGTAATGTAGTATTAATACCTGCCATGGCCTATATTGAGCACACATTATGTGCTAAGCACTCTGCATGTATTATCTCATTAAATCTTTACAGCAGCTGTATGATAATGGTCACTATGGCTGTTCTCATGGGACAGATGAGGCAATAACTAAGCATTTGGTCTTAACTAACTTGCCAAAGTCATACAGATAGTAAGTGGTAGGGCCAGGTTTAATAAAAGGGTGATGTTTCAAAATCCCTTATCTTTCATGAAGTATCACAGCATAGATCCTAGATACGAGACTTACTTATTTTCGTTCATTTTACATCATTGTAGCCCTAAATTAAAGGAATCTGAAGGCTTATGTTACATAATAACATGTTACATAATAACATAACAACTTATGTTGTAGCTTATGTTAACAACTTTCCTATTTTTCTGGATATTTTAAAGTGTGAGAGTGGTATTTTCATATATAATAATATATCTTCTGATTGTAGAGAAGGATATATAAAAGAACCACCCCAAAATGAAACCTCTTGATAATCCTATAGAAAGAACATAGGTTCTTAACCTGTGGATTCAGAATTGTATCTTAGTATCACTGATTTTCTTAGTAACCTTATGAAAACATTATTCTGACAAGAGTCCATGGGCTTCCCTAGACTGCCAAAAGGGCCTGTGGGTGTGGAGGCAGTATGCGGCAAGATTCCCATGACTCTGAGCAGCACTGCTGCAAATGCTACTGGATTTATAATGTTTAGAGTAAGGGGGAACATGATGAGACGTGCAAGAGGGACCACATGTCGTGATCTACCCAAGATTTCCCTAATTTATGTCTTTGCCTAGGTGTAATTATTAACATTACTCTCAAAAGTATCCCAGAGGAAACAATAAATTATTTGGCCACTATTAGCTATGTCTGTTATCAAGACTTCATGACTAAAACACCAAAAGCAATGGCAACAAAAGCCAAAATAGATAAATGGGATCTAATTAAACTAAAGAGCTTCTGCACAGCAGAAGAAACTGTCATCAGAGTGAACAGGCAACCTACAGAATGGGAGAAAATTTTTGCAATCTACCCATCTGACAAAGGGCTAATATCCAGAATCCACAAAGAAAAACAAATTTACAAGAAAAAAACAACCCCATCGAAAAGTGGGCAAAGGATATGAACAGACACTTCTCAAAAGAAGACATTTATGCAGCCAATAGACACATGAAAAAATGCTCATCATCACTGGTCATCAGAGAAATGCAAATCAAAACCACAATGACACACCATCTCACTCCAGTTAGAATGGCGATCACTAAAAAGTCAGGAAACAACAGATGCTGGAGAAGGTGTGGAGAAATAGGAACGCTTTTACACTGTTGGGAGTGTAAATTAGTTCAACCATTGTGGAAGACAGTGTGGTGATTCCTCAAGGATCTAGAACTAGAAATACCATTTGACCCAGTGATCCCATTACTGGATATATACCCAAAGGATTATAAATCATGCTACTATAAAGATATATGCACATGTATATTTATTGTGGCACTATTCACAATAGCAAAGACTTGGAACCAAGCCAAATGTCCATCAATGAGAGACTGGATTAAGAAAATGTGGCACATATACACCATGGAATACTATGCAGTCATAAAAAAGGGTAAGTTCATGCCCTTTGCAGGGACACGGATGAAGCCAGAAACTATCATTCTCAGCAAACTATCACAAGGACAGAAAACCAAACACTGCATGTTCTCACTCATAGGTGGGAGTTGAACAGTGAGAACAGATGGACACAGGGTGGGGAACATCACACACTGGGGCCTGTTGGGGGGTGGGGGGCTGGGGGAGGGATAGTATTAGAAATACCTAATGTAAATGACGAGTCGATGGGTGCAGCAAACCAACATGGCACATGTATACATATGTAACAAACCTGCACGTAGTGCACATGTACCCTAGAACTTAGTATAATTTAAAAAAAAAAAAAGCAGTGGTAGCAAATAAAGCAAATTGAGTGTTATTGCCAGGACATGTGTTACAGGCTACCCCCCCCCCCCCCCCCCGAATTCAGACCTCCTGTGGTAATGAATGGGTGTAATTGAAGCTGTAAGATTACGCAAAGGAGACAACAGAAGAAAAAATTTTTAATCATGATTTATCTTTTACAGCCAAAAAAGAGCATAAGATGGAAGAAAGTCACTTGGAGAATGCACAGAAAAGGTAAGCAGCTCTGATTTGGCCCCAGTTCTTTCTTTGACTAGCCATTCTTTTGTATTATTATTATGAAGTGCATTCATTTTGCTATGCAGTTCTATCTCCAAAACATTTTTACTTCCCCAACTGAAACTTTATACCCTTTAAACACAAATTCCCCATTCCCCACTCCCCTGTCCCTAGGCAACCACCGTTCTACTTTCTGTCTCTGTGACTTCGACTACTTTAGCTACCTCATGCAATTGGGGTCATCCAGTATTTGTCCTTGTGTGACTGACTTCTTTCCTGTAGCATAAGGTTTGACTAGCCCTACTTTCGGCCCCATGTGTTAAGACTATGCATCCATAAGCAATAAGCTTCACTTGGAAGCTGGAGTGAAAGCACTGTAGCAGGACTTAGGAATATTTTTCCTCAGGAAGTGAGGAATCATCCAGAAGTGACTCACCTGCCTCACATGCGTGTCATGACACTATTCTGCCTGTTTGCCTGTCCTGCATTGCTCTGCTCCTGAACCGCTTGATGGAAGTCAGGGACAGTTTGATCCTTCCTGGCATTACAACTAGATCAAACTAATTATTGCAGACACCCAAGAGACTTATTATGTCTTTCCTCAGCTTCTAGAGGAGGATATTATAAACAAGGGGCAGGTAGGGAGAAGGGGCTGTCCATATGTTCAGGTGGGGAGAAGGGGCTGTCCATATGCCCATACAGCGTATGGACAATTTCCCCCAGAAGTTGGGGAACACCTCAGAGATCTTCTGTTCAGATTCATGTCACCCACTTCAGGCATCTTCTTGCTCGCTCACTCTCTCAATAGATATCACATGGGAACCATTCACTCCACCCAGTGGAACCTAATCATCAGCAGTTCTCATCCCTTAGGGCTTTTTCCTTTTTGTTAGTTGACCAGGTTAGTCAGTGTGGCTCTCCCTCCCTCATAGAAGAGTGAGTGGCAATAGACAGCGGTATTCTCATATTTAGGGCTGAAATTTGAGATACATTTTGCTGGTACGAATTCTAAAAGTACTGGTAAATTAGATGACAGGTAGAGGTAGGAGACAGCATCTAAGGACAAATGAGCTTTACAAATGTGTGAGAGGAACAGTTACCCAGTTAGGAATTTAAATGCAAATAAACAGATTGTAGAAATTAACCATTTTCCTCCTGTCTAGCCACAATTTCCGAGACTTCTGAAATCCCATAGACGGTGCCATCTGCCCTGCTTTCACAGGTGCCAACATCTTGCCCTGCTTCCCACTGTAATTACCAATAAGATTAAAATGCTGGTGAAAGCAAGGTGAAGGCAAGTCTTGCACTTTGCTAAGTACAGACATATTCTCAAATCGTGCTTATCATCCTATCATAATAATCATTCAAAACTGAGATAATTCCATGGCTATGTTTTTAGGAGTTTGTGTCTCTCTATTGACCTTATTCCTATGTTAAGCTTCCCTTCACAATGCATAAAACTAGCACGTCTGTGTTATAGAAACATCCAGCACATAAGAGATTATCAACAAGGGCACGTTGGTGTCAGGCCAAACAGAAATTCAGCTTCTGGGGCGGATGTCAAATTTCTAATACTTTTTCAGGATTCTTGCTGAAGGAAAAGGGGGCCCAGCGTGGAGGGGCCGAAACTGCTGCCGTGCATTAGCTCTGTGGAGGGGAGTCATAAATTCTGGTTGTCAGCGTTTTCCGTGGCTTTGTGGTGAAGGTAGTCTAGCTTTCATGTCATACATGAAATATGTTAGATCCCATCTTTAATGTAGAAACCACAGTTGTTTGGTTATACTCTTTAAGGAGGTTGTGGTCAGTGTTGCAATATTTGTGTGAGATTAGTGAATTCTTATGTTTTATTCTCAAGAGAAACAATTTACTCTGAGGCTAAGGCATATTTGCTTTTCCTAAGCAGTTTCTGAAGGCATGCATGTAAGACAATAAGTGGATGTGTTCCGCTCTGGATCTCAGGACTGTAAAAGTAAAACAGTTCACTTCGCTACAGGCTCTTTGATGTAATCATTGTCTGTACTTTAAAAATGTTTGGCTGAATTAAAAAGATACAAATCAGACAGGGAATTATAGCAGAGAGAAAAGGGGTCAGGGACTAGTTTGCATGAAATGAAAAAGTTATATAAAACCAAACATAGGATTAGAAATCAATCTTCTAAAATTTGAGAGCCATTTTAGAGCTATCTGCTAACAAATAGAAATTTCAAATCGCATGATTGACCTTTGTTTCCTGTATATTAGAGAAAATTCTCCTGGTTGTTAAATATCAACAATTTTCTTGTCCAAATTGCAAAAGATTTTCAGTGGTCAATCTCTGTGAATCAAAACTGAATTTAAAATGGAGTTTTGTCTAGGAAAGACAACAGTCTAGGCCTTATCAAACCATTGCAGGTTCATATTCTAGCTTTTAGCATTTTCTTAAACAGTGGAATAACAATGAAATCAAATAAGGCACACTGGTTTTGTTTGTTTGTTTGTTTTTTGAGACGGAGTCTCATTCTGTCGCCCAGGCTGGATTGCAGTGGCGCAGTCTGGGCTCACTGCAAGCTCTGCCTCCCAGGTTCACGCCATTCTCCTGCCTCAGCTTCCTGAGTGGCTGGGCCTGCAGGTGCCTACCACCACGCCTGAATAATTTTTTTTTGTTTGTTTGTTTTTGTTTTTTTGTTTTTGTTTTTAGTAGAGATGGGGTTTCAGCATGTTAGCCAGGATGGTCTCGATCTCCTGACCTCGTGATGCACCCGCCTCGGCCTCCCAAAGTGCTAGGATTACAGGCGTGAGCCACTGTGCCCGGCCAAATAAGGCACATTCTTGAAGCGACTTTATCTTTGTCTAAGCTGCTGAGTGCCAAAGCCAGGCCATCCTCTGGGAGTCTGTGTACTTTGGTTCTTCTGAAGAGGTTCACTTGCTTTCTTAGTTTCCAAAACACATAAGAAAAAAAAGGCTGAAATTTAGTATTTTTTTTAGTGTTTCTCCCCCTTTCAGGGAGAGTAAGCAAGCAGTACCTCACAAATCCCCAGGGAGAGAGGCAAGGAGGGCAATGGTTAGCTTCAGTTTAGAGTTGGGAAAATCGAGGCCCACAGGAGGATGATGTGTTTTTCTCAGGCTGTGCAACAACCACCAAATCACTCTTGACATTCTCTGAAACTGCACCAGGATTTGCAATATGTTGATCTCACAATCTAGACTCCAGGTGATGCCAGAGGTGTCAGGTGTTCCATGAAGCACAATAACTGGACTTCACTATATTTTGCTGGAAAATCAGAAGATAAGTTGTCCCTCTAAATACTAGAAATGAAAGACTTTCCCTTCCCCATGAATGCTCAAATAAATATGTATCTGTATAGAAGGTAAGCATAAGAAAGAGAAAAAATAATCACATGCCCTCCCTGGGGTAATGCATGTTATGTGTGATACAGAGGAGGACACCTGTGTCTAAAGTAGAAAAGGGTGGGGTAGAACGACTATTTTGTCTCTTAAATGCCTGTGTTATTGAGCATGAGCAACAGAAAGATAAAGCAGACAGAGCATTTCACAGAAAATCAGGGGACCTGAATTCCAGGCCCAACCCTACCAGGGAATAATGCCACACAGTCTTTCCAGGTCTCTGTTTTGTCACCTATAAAATGATAATTTGGGCAAGTCATCCTGTAAATTCCTTCCCATTCTAAAGTCCTGTGACTTTGTAGGAAATGAATGGCCTGTTCCTATAGGTTATATAACTCTCTACTTATGTATTCCCATGCTATAGTCAAAATAATTTTCATTTGAGTGAAATAAAGTTACATGCTATAGAGTGTACATTTGGTTTTACCAGTGTTTGGACTGCCATGGAAATAAGGGTTATGTCTGGGGCAAGAGTGGACATTGCCACATTCTTCCCTTCCCGGTTTTTCTCAACATTATGTATGTTTGGAATTATAATAGAGTCCCTTAAGAGATTACTGCAGTTATTGCCTTTCTCCACTTACACATTTCCAGTCTTTTAATAACTGGGAGCCAAAATTCCCTGACCAGTAGTTTTAATTTGCATTAAAAACAGATTTATTCTTTACAGAAGCACAAAGAATTTATGGGACTCAGAGCTGCAGCTCCAGCTTGGATCTCGCCTAATCGTACCCATGGAATCAATTAACAGTTCATCTGTGAAATGTGATAAAATCTTATGAGATACATATTGCCCAATAACCGAGAATGAGATGAAAGTATGCTCCATAATAGTAACGGAGCTTCAGGGTTTTACAATCGCCATTGAATAGAGTTCCATTAGAAAATCAGTATTCAGGATGGCCACACACAAAAAAAAAACCACTGTGTCTGAACAGATGATAGAGCATTGAGTAATAAACCTGGCCAGCCATTCCTGCTTTGATTAGTTTCCAACACCCTAGAAAAGGGGGTCATTTATTTAAGTGTTCTTGCTCATGGCAAATGAGCTTGTGAGGCTTGGGGTAGGTGGGGGTGAGGGGGAAAGATTGAGTTCAAAGCTGTAAATTGCTGCAAAGCTAGTGCCTCCAAGAAGGGCTGCTTGGGAGGCCCAGGTAGTCTGGTGTGCAGTGAGCCTTGCTGGGATAGGTCTTACTGATATCTGGGAATCCACTCTGGAAAATTGGGATTCTTTACTGACCAGACTGGAGATCATTTTTCCAAGATCAGAAATGGTTTTTCATCCAAAACTTGCTATGCCTACAACTGTATCTGTTTTTGTACATCAGTGGTTTGTATTCTTGTATCATATTAAGCTTTAAAAGGTAGCCCTCCTGAAGATCATATCATCTACATCTCTTATTTTACCCTTGAGAAAATTGAGAGTCAAAGATGCTGAGTGATTGACCCAAGATTACAAAGCCAGTATATGCCCGAAAAAGGATAGAATGGATTTTCTTGCTTTTTTGTGAAACATTTGACAGATTAATTATTCCCAATGAGCTATCGAACTGACCGCTGCTAATGCTGCAGTCAGTGTGTCATCCACCTTGCATGTAATCACTAAACATAAAATGAAGAGCAGGGAAGAGACGGGGATTTGAGATGAAGAACAAACTCGAGACGTTTTACCTACACACCCCCAGAAATTATACATGCTGATTTTATACAGATAAGATGTGCCCAGGAGCATCCCAATCAAGTTCCATTTTTTGGCAAATCAGTTTGAGCAAATAGATTTTCTGAGGTTTACAATAAACTTCAGTAACTATGAGCCCCCAGCTTCTGTGTTACAAAATAAACACAAGAGAAACTGCCCCCAGCATCCCCCCTCTAATGGATTTTAGTGTTGGCAATTTCTCACCTCTACCTCATTCCATTTTCCCCCCTACCTGTTGCAGTTTTGAAACAACAGTACGATATTTTGGGATGAAGCCAAAGTCTGGTGAGAAGGAGATCACACCCAGCTACGTGTTTATGGTGTGGTATGAGTTCTGCAGTGACTTCAAGACAATTTGGAAACGGGAGAGTAAAAACATATCTAAAGAAAGGTAAGGTTCAAAAAAAGATTTTAATGCCTCCTTCAGGAGCCTAGGAAACTGCACTCTTAAACCTATCAAAGTGTGTCTATTTCACACCTGTCGATGTTTTCTTTCGGATGAAGTGGTCATAGGGGAAGGACTTTTTGCCTCAGGGATCGTAGGGAAATTCGGGGAAAGCTTGCTGTCCACACAGGCAGATATGCTCACATGATCTGATAAGTTACACTTTCTTAACCCCTTCCAATTACTAGCTAGTAAATGAAAGGAGGGTTGTGCTAATTTGCAACAGATTGCTTCTCTGTGTATTTTCATGTTGGCCCAGGCTAAATGAGGCAGCCTTGCTGTCGCAGACAGTATAGACAAATAAAAGTGAATGCTTTTCCCATTAATATACTGAACTTGCATCAAAGGAAAATCTCTGTGACTCAGGCCACACTTCACACAGCGTGGAAGCCCCGCATTGGATTTACAGCGCCACTTCTGACTCCCTGTATCCTGCTGCGGACATCAAACTGCGTGCCGCTCAGCCTCGTTGCAGCCCCCGATTTTATTAGCTGGGGGTAGAAGAAAAACCTCAACTCTGAATATAGACGGGGTGTGTGTGTGTGTGTGTGTGTGTGTGTGTGTGTGTGTGCGTTTTCCTTAGAGAGATTGAATTTGCCCCTATTTATCAGAAAAAAGCATTTCTGCCTGATCATTTTTGTGATTGGGTTGCCACTGTTATGGAAGGGGTGTCATGGATTTAAATTTCAAACAGGTCTTACTACTACTCCTGTGGAACAGATGTATAAGAATGGCATTCAAAACAGAGTGGAAGGAGACAAAAAATTCCTCAGCGTAAGGAAAATGATATATTTCATTATAGCATCTACCTTTTACTAACCTGTGAGGCCTGACATTCCATAATTCAGTATTTTTATTCTTCACTTTGTAATCAAAGAAAAGATATATACATAATATATTTCTAGACACATCACAACCTACCCTAATATATTTCACCTTAAAACACTAGTAAGAGGAGCAAAATTGTGAGATTTTTGACCTAGTATTAGTCTCTAAGTATTTTCTCAGGGAGCTAAAAAAAGAGAAAGGCCTTCTTTCTTTCCAAGGAAGTTAAAGATGTGTTTATCAACACATCTTCCCATCAGTACTTCTTTGGGAACATGGGAATTAAACTGAATATATCCATTATATAGATAAAACTGAAGCAGAGAAAAGTACCATTGTTGAGAAAATAGGTCGTTGATAATAACATGAAAAAAAATCCTAAAAATCTTGGCACCCAACCCATAGTTCTTGCCCTGCCATCACTTATTTAGCCCTTTAAAGTAAGCTAAAATAAGTTTCTGTGGAATCAATTCTCATACGAAAATACTATTCTTAAAACAGCATAGGAGCTGGCCAGTCTGCCCTCCAGGTCCATACACCTTGAGGCTGGGACATCCCACAGTGGGCCTGGAATGTACAGCTTTTGCTTAAGAATTTTTACACCTCAGATTTTGAGCACAGTCCTTAGTATATTTGTCCTTGGGGCCCTAAAAATGGTCTAAAACAAACAAAAGACCAACAGAGAAGGCAATTAATTGCTTTATATGTTAATGATCTTCTGTTGAAATAACTGTATTCCACATTAAAGAGTGTTCTGTATCATAGAAGTTAGATCAAAGAAATTGTGAGTCTGTCATAGAGGTGGTATCCAGAAGTCCTTCAAAATGACAGTATCTCTGATTCCCAGCCACGGGCGTTTGTGGCATTGCTTCCTGGGTGCAGCTGTTGAATTGCCTGCTTCACACTCTGTAAACCAACCCCTTTACAGGGTCATGACCTCACAAGACCCTTTTTGGTTCTTCTCATTTCGCAGTTTCAGGGGACCCTTCATTCCAGCCATGCTCTGTGAGGATGGATCACCAAGGTTTCTACCCTAAAACAACATCTCTGAAAGTTGATGATGGCTAATAAGATATTTCTGGAGGCAGCAGCATGGTTAGGAAAATCTGTGTGTTAAGAAATATTAGCACATTATGTATATTACTCCTCAACCATTTAAACAAACTGCTTGATATCCAGGGTTTTCTTAAAATCCTAAAGTGAGAACTTTGTTAAAGTGTTCTCTGTCTGCTAAAGATTTTAGCTTCTTTCCTGTTAGAATCACACATTCATTATGGTAAAATAAGCAAATTAACTGGAATTTTTCTATTAAATGAGGAACACTATAATTGCTTTGTTTTGACATCTATTTAATGATATTTGATATTATAGTTTCAATTATACTTTCCCCAGAAACCGAATATATCCCAACAACACTAAACATCAGGAGACAACATAACATCATTAACAAGGGCATCCTAAAAAATAAAATTCATAACCAAAATAAAAACCTGATGATGTGTAATTATAAAGAAAAAAACTAGTTTGGGATCTCATCAGAAAAATTCAACTCACTTAATTTTTAAATATATTGGAAGGCCAACTAAGTGCTCAAAATCATTGGAAAAATTAAGAATCAGTACTAGCATTTTCAAAGGGACAGGTTTCATGGAAAACACTGTTTTGTTTAAATTCTACTTCCAAATGAAATGGAAGTGTTGAAAACTACTTAGGCCACTGGAGGTTAATTTTAGGTGGTGGTGAATATTTACTTTTCCTGCTTAGGTAGTTTTCATGAGTACACATTAGTTTGATACAAAATTGAGATGAATGCATCTTCATAACAAGATAACAGCTTCCCCTCATAAAATCCAGAATAATCTGTAACATACAAATGACCACATAAAAATGTCCTAAGTTCTTGTGCCTTGTGAGTGAACAATAATCTTATTAAACTGGTGTCAGGGCACAACTCTGTGGTTCGGCAGAAGGAACAATATTTCACTGGGGAATATGGTTTACCTGGAGATTAACTATATCTTTGGAAGAGTAATCTACTGTGTCGTGGTATATTAATGGCTTTCAATTTTCCTTGGCATTCAAGCCAATCTTAAGCAAAAGAGCAAACTTCTGAGCCCAGGCACAAATCCAAAAGCGCCACTTTCTAGACGTGCAGTCTGTGACCCACTCAGTCATCGTGCTGCCCCTGGTATCAGGACTCATCTTTCAGTGAAGCATCCCAGTCCCTTCTCTTATCCCTTCTGAATATGTGCAGTGCTGAGCAGTGTAAAAAAAGACCTGGAGACAGAGAGCTGAAAACAGGCATTTTTACCCTTCACCCTGCCACCCCCCCACCCCCATTAATTGGCTATGTGATCTTGGGCCAGTCACTTATTCACTGGGAACCCGATTGTCACATCTGTAAAATGTATGTATCAGGATGAAGCAGGAATTAAATGGTGACTATGAGCTCTTCTAGCTCAAAATCTCTATGAATCTAGAAACTGCGGTTCTAATTTTCTGAGGAGCTGTGTGTTTCCCTTCTGCCATAGTGCCCCTCACCTTTGCTCTTGAGCTATAGGTACTATATTGGAAGATATTTCAAGCAAGGACTTGCAGGTGAGTTGGGAGAGAGATTAGGTGCCAGAAAGAATTTTCATTGCCCTCTTGAAATCGGTAAACATCTATAGCTACCTTGCCTCACCTGAACCCCCAGTTCTTCTCATAAAATACTAATGTTGGCCTTTGTTTTGTTTTCTTTTGAGTCATTCAGGCTAGAGTGCCATGACGCAATCATAGCTTACTGCAGCCTTGACCTCCTGGGCTCAAGCAATCCTCCTGCCTTAGCCTACTGAGTAGCTGGGACTACAGGTGTGCATCACCATACCTAGCTAATTTTATTTTTTTATTTTTGTAGAGACGGTGTCTCACTATGTTGCCCAGGCTGGTCTCAAACTCCTGGGCTCAAACAATCCTCCTGCCTTGGCCTCCCAAAGTGCTGGGATTACAGGCATGAGCCACCACGCCTGATCCTAATGTTGTTCTTGAAGATCACGTTTTTTTATGGAGCATGTACACAAAACGTTTTTTTCTCTGCTCATCTGTATCCAACATTGCATTTACGATGTATCATAATCCAAGGTTTATTTTATCCTCAGAAGCAACTTTGCCTCACTTTTACCTTTTAATGCACTTTTGTATTTGTACCTCATGATATCCAAACATTCAATGAATTTTTGGTACACATGTTTCTTCCACCTGTTAAATCAATAGATTATCCAAGTATATGCATAACTGCAAGTAGGTAACCTAATTTTTGCTGATACCTTTATTGGCTATTCTTTACTCTTTTTTATTTTTTATTTTTTATTTTTTTTGGCTGCTGAATTATTCTGGGTGATAGGACCCTTACTTACAAAACATTCCACCATTTAGGATATCCTAAGACTGCCCCCACATATGCCCGCGCATGCACACGAAGCACTGCCTCCCACAAAATGAGCTTTGAATTTGCAAAAGGTACAGAAGGCCTACGGGAGTCATGACTCCAGGAATAAAGTCTGGGCATATAATTCACCCTGAGCCAAAGCAAACTTTAAAAGTGCCATTTAAAAACCCCATAATGGGTAAGTAATGAGTGAATTAGAAGTTTGGTGAATTTTATGTGAAATGAAAATAAGAAATTTCACTACACACATAGCTATAATTTACACCATAGGGGAATGGATAGTTATCTTGTTTTTTTCTTTTGGGGGCGAGGGGGCTGTTTTTTTTATTACCCAGCCACCTACCAATAGGGTTTTTGTTTTAAGTCTATTACTTGCTGCTGTTATGGGTGATTATGGAACTGCTGTACCCTTTACAGAAGATAGTTCAAAGCTGTTGTGAGGCTATCCTGAAAGCTGTTCTCAGAGCTCCCTACTGCTCAGGTCACTTTAGGACCAAGAGCTGGGGACTTAGAGATGCTGTCACTCAATCCACAAGCCACTGACTGCAGTGTAGACACTACAGGAATTCTTTTCTTTACATGATAAACTTACTCCTAGAAAAAGCTCCATAAATAAAATTGTTATTTATTGAATTCTGCTTTCCTACTGACATACATACATGATAATTTCAGTAACTTGTAACATGTTAACTTTCTTTTCCTTGCCCTGTGTTATGTAGTTAAATGACTTGTATTCATTTAACCACTAAAGAGCTGCTTATTTTTAAAAATCCCTTAATAATACAATCACCCCCTAATTAATTGTCAAAACTTTGAATTTTCCTAAATCACATTTGAAAATGGTTCTGTGCAAATACACAAACAGTAAATGCCCCAAGACCTAACTGATAAACAACATTGTCATAATCACAAAGAACAGCCGGGCGTAGTGGCTCATGCCTGTAATCCCAGCACTTTGGGAGGCGGAGGTGGGTGGATGACCTGAGGTCAGGCGTTCAAGATCAGCCTGGCCAACATGGTGAAACCTCATCTCTACTAAAAAATACAAAACTTGGCTGGGTGTGGTGGTGCACACCTGTAATCCCAGCTACTCGGGAGGCTGAGGCAGGAAAATTACTTAAGCCTGGGAGGCGAAGGTTGCAGTGAGCCGAGATCGCGCCACTGCACTCCAGCCTGGGCAACAGAGTGAGACTGTCTTTAAAAAAAAAAGAAAAGAAAAAAAGAAATCACAAATAATAAAAACTGCTTATTCCCCAAGCAATAAATTTAAAACTACATCTGCAAAATTAAAAATATGCCATGAATAAGGAGAGAGGATAAACTAAAAAACTGTAAGAATTATAGGATCATTGGTTTAAAAAACTATACACACCTCTTGGCCCTCTCTCTGAAAGCATCATTCCGTCTCCTTTTCCCTTCTAACTTCTTTTAAAAGAATGATTTACGTTCATTTCCTTATTTCCTTTTTCGTACCACACACTCCTTCCTGTCTCAGTAAGGATAACGTCTTGGCTGCCATAACAGAGGCCAAAATAACTGTTGCTTAAACAAAGGAAAAATCAATTTTCCTCATGTATAACAATCTGAATGCAAGGAGTTTGGATGTCAGGAACCCAGTTTTCTTCTCTTTTGTGGTTGCCGTCCTTAAGGTAAGGTCCTTATTCCCAACGTGTAAGGGGGCACACGTCAGGTCTACTGCTACCATTGCTGCTGAGTTCCTGCCAGTGGGAAGGGGACTGCACAACCTTTCCTTTTAATATTAAATAGCATGAGCTGGAAGGTGCACACATCACTTCCACTTTATCCCATTGGACAGAACTTAGTCTCATGGCCATACACAAGGGAGACCAGGAAATGTAGGCTTAGCTGGGAGCCATGTCCCTGCTAAAGACTCATGGTTTCCTTTACTAAAGGAAGCAGGAGAACTGCATATTGAGATTGTTACTAGACTGTGTCACATTTCCTAACTGAAATCAGATGACTCCTTCTAACTAATTCTTTGCCACTGCTAGTTTTTTTGGGTTTTTTTTGTTTGTTTGTTTTATTTTGTTTTGAGACAGAGTCTTGCTCTGTCGCCCAGGCTGGAGTGCAGTGGCGCGATTTCGGCTCACTACAAGCTCCACCTTCCGGGTTCATGCCATTCTCCTGCCTCAGCCTCCCAAGTAGCTGGGACTACAGGCGTCTGCCACCACGCCCGGCTAATTTTTTTTTTTTTTTTTTTTGGTAGAGACTGGGTTTCACTGTGTTAGCCAGGATGGTCTCAATCTCCTGACCTCGTGATCTGCCCGCCTCGGCCTCCCAAAGTGTGCCACTGCTAGTTTTTGACACCAATGGTAGTTTCCTCCATCTCGAAATGCCTCGTTGCTCTGATAATATATTGGGTCTCTCTGCGAAGGTGACTACTCCCCTTCTTCATCTCCCTCCTTAGTTCCTCTGTTTCTTCTGTTCCTTAAGTGTGGGCCTTCCCCAAGGTAAATCTCAGTGTTCCTCTTTTCTGCTCTATTCTCTGTTTTGTTAGTCCCAACTATTTTCACAGCTTCACCTATCACCTCATTGCCAAGGCCTCCCAAGTTTTAGACCTACATTTCCTACTGCACATTAAACTGTATACCCAGCCTTCATCTGCAATTCAATATGTCTCGGTTGGAAATTATTCCATCTCAACTAAGGCCTATTCCTCTTAGGCTCCCTAACTTTCAATTGCAACACTATCCTCCTCCTATTAGCAAAAGGCAGGCTGGAATGAGAATTATTTTTACTGCTACAAGATTTATTTTTCATCTATTTCTGACTCTTTATAGTTTTGCCCCCTTAATGGTGATTGTTCTTTACCCTGTATTTGAGGTGTCTCTGCTCTGATTCAGGACTCTATCATCTCTCACTTGGATTATTGAAACATCCTTCTAACTCTTCTCTCTGCCTAGAGGTTTTCTATTTCCTCTTGAAGTGTCCCTGAATATTGCATCCAATTATCTTTCCAAAACAGAATTTAGATCATAGTTATCTCTTTAAACATATTCTGTGGTTTTCCATTGCTCATGAAATAAAGGAAAGATAATTAGCCATGGATGGTACTTTAATTTATTAATGTATTAAGTTGTCACAACAGCCCTGAAGGAAAAAAAAAAAAGGTTTATTGCTATTTCACAGCTAAGCATGAGAGAGTAAATGAATTTTCAATGTCATAGTTTCATTAATAAACAGAATGAGGATAAGAACCTAGGTCTTTTTTTTTTTTTTTACACTAAAGCTTGAGTTCTTTCAAGAACTTCATATTCTCTCCCAAATTATAGCATGGCCCTCTGAGAACCTGCCCTAAACTCACTCTTTAGCCTCATTTCCTATAGCCTCATCCCTCCCTGCACCTACTATGACCACTCACTGTCTCACACCTGCACTTTCTTTCCTTGTGTTCTCACTGGATAATTTCTTCATACCGCATTCCCCCCATTATTTCCTGCTGATCAAAATAGAGTCGTCTTTCAAGGGCTGCCTCCAGAAACCAGGTTCTGTAGAAATGTTCTGAAATCTCCCTTAATAAAAGAATTAGCTTTTCCTGTGGGCTCTGACAGCATTTTCTTCTTACGATCCTTTAGTATTTAATTCATTCCAACTTGTTATTTTAGCAGTTTATGTGTATCTTTCCACTTCTAGGACACAAGCCTGTTCTTTGCTGTGTCTTGTATGGTGCATTCTCCAGCGCACAGCTGGATATTGAAAGAGCATTGAAGATCTTGGCTGGTGTAAGAGTTTGGAGGAAGAAATGATCCAAAGGAAATGTGGAAGCTACAGGGAGCTTTGAGAAGACACTTAGCCATAATCAGGACCACCCTAAGCAGATAGTTTTAGAGGAGATTCAGAAGCCAGTAGGGCAGTGTTAGAGATCAGCAGCTCCCAAACCTGGCAGATCTCCCAAGTCACCTGGAGGTCATTGTAAAAATGTAAACAGATCCACTGAATCAGAATACCAGAGTGTAGAGTCTAGAAATCTGTGGTTTTAGAAACTCCCCACAGAGATGGCAGAGCAAGAACACATTTTGTGTTTAGTTTCCTTAATAAATGCCTTGGCTTCACCATCCTCTTGTTTACATGTACCAGGTAGGCTTTGGAGATCAGAGATTGACACCTTCCTAGTGATCCTTCAGCCAAGTTTAGAAACTCCTGGGCTCAGGTGATCTTGCAGTTCTCTTCCAACCCTGACTTCCTGTGATTTTAAGTAGAAAATGAGCTGGGCATTGACAGCAGATGAATTTGGCTACATAGACATAAAGAGGCGGACCTGGGTGACTGAACATGCGTTTGGAGGAATCATGCAGTGTTATTCCTGGGATCAGCCTAACTGCCTTCTTTTCTGTGCTTCCTCCTTTGAGTGCTTGGTCTACTCCAGTCTCTTGTGTATTTGCACATTCCTATAATATAAATTTGCAGCACTTAATTTAAACACGTAGAATCGTGTCACTTAACTAGCGGGATACATTGTGAGAAACGCATTGTTAGGTGATTTCATCATTGTGCGAACATTATAGAGTGTACTTACACAAACCTAGATGGTGTAGCCTACTTCACACCTAGGCTGTATGGCATAACCTAGTGTTCTTAGGCTGCAAACCTGTACGGCAGGTTACTGTACTGAATATAATTGTAACACAATGGTATTTGTGTATCTAAACATATCTAAACACAGAAAAGGTACAGTAAAAATACAGTATAAAAGATAGAAAATGGTACACCTGTGTAGGGCGCTTAACCATGAATGGAGGTTGCAGGATTGGAAATTGCTCTGGGTGAGTCAGTGAGTCAGTGGTGGGTGAATCTGAAGGCCTAGAATATTACTGTACCCTTCTGTAGATGTTATAAACACTGTACATTTAGGCTACACTAAATTTATTTTTATAATAAAGTAGTTGTGCCACAACATTATGGTGGCTATGACTTCACTAGGCAATAGGAATTTTTGAGCTCCATTATAACCTTATGGGACCACCATCATATATGAGGTCTGTCTTTGACCGAAATGTCATTATGCAGTGTGTGACTCTACTTTAAAACTACTATAATATTTACATAATGGTATAATCTAAAAATATTATGTCTCAAGTGATATACAGACTATGAAACTATTCTGGAAAAATTTATTGATCACATACGGTGTCCTTCATGAAGCTTTCTCCAATCTGTGTGAGCTATCGTATCTCCAGAATTTTGGGGGTTTACTGTATCTTCAGTTTTGTCATTTAATGATTTGGTTTTTTATTCATTTGGTTATAGGCACTTTCTCTTTTAGATAAATCATAGGCCCCTAGAAGATAATTACAATGTCTTGTACCACTTTGTTTTCTCTGTAGCACCTTGTTTTTCCATATATATAGTAGATGCTGAGTTAGTATTTGTTGAACAAATAAATAATCATTGTGTTTCCTTTTGCCATGTTGAAATTGATTGCAAGATTTGCTGTCTGCTGCTGATAGATGAAAAATCTTGTTTATTTGGGTTTTGGTGGTAGAAGTCCCTAAATGTATCCCATATGGGTTGCTTTTGCCCAAGAATCTAAAATCTTAATAGCTTTGTTAAAGAGAATAGACATGTTCAGAACAAGAAAGATTAGTTAATGGAATAAAACAATCGCCAGCTCTGTTCTTGACTGTATTACTTTCAGTTTGTTTAGAAAAAAAGAAGGAAGTGGAGATCCTTTGGATTCATGGCTATGCCAAGCCTCAAACCTCTTTGGAGCTCAAATCAAAACCTTAGAGAGCATCTGTCCGCACTCCATTTCCCTAGCTTGGCAGAGAACAATGGAAACCTAAAGTATGTCTCCTTCATTCAGCCTAGAATATTTCTAAATTACTTATCTGTGGGACTCCTGACAGCTCCTGCCTTGGGCAGAGATGCAACAGGGGGCTGCCTGGGTAGAATGATTTGAGGGGCGCCAGAGAGACTCCTTACTCCAGACAATCTTCCCTGTTTCCTCACCCTTTTGTTCCAGTCACCCATGCAAACAGGCTCTCAGTGCTAGTTTTTGGTGAGACTCAGTAGGTGGTAGAGGTTTCAAAACCAAAAGGGGGAGCTTGCATCTGCTAGCACATGCATGTCTTCATTATCGGGATTGGAAATGTCTTCCAAAGACTAATGCATTTCAATTAAATTTGCAAATTTATGACACAGGGCTGATTTCAGTTTTCAAACTGTCTCCCAGACTACTCTCCCTAAATGAGGAAATGAATGCGATGCTGTTACCTTTCACTCTGCACCTAAATCGCCGGGTCGGCTCTGGGTGTTATGTCTACTAAGTGCAGAGTGATTGGCTTTAACTGATCATGCATTCCAGGGCAAGTCCAGGGCTCCCCAACTTCAACTCCCCTGTGTCCTGGGGGAGAAGCTCTGCAAACGGAAGAGGACTTTGTTCTGCAATTAATCACTTGAAGTCAAAGTATGTTTGGGTATACAAGTGATAGCTCACAAAAACTATGAAGTGGCTGATCTGTGTAGCTGGTGAAATGCATGCAGTCTCTAAGAGAAGTTTTTTACTTTTAAATAGGAAAATATCTTAGGAATAGAGTAGGGAAAATTGTCAGATTTAGATTTGACAAAGTACACAATTGGACAAAGTAGAAGTGATATGCTAATTTATCATGGAATAACTTTTTTTTTTTAAGAGACAAGGTCTCATTCTTTTGCCCAGGCTAGAATGCAGTGGTGTCATCATAGTAACCTCCAATTCCTGGGATCAAGTGATCCTCCTGCCTCAGCCTCCTGACTAGTTAGGACTACAGACACACATCATCATGCCCAACTCATTTTTTAAAAAGCATTTTTTAGTTGAGAGGGTCTTGCTGTGTTGCCCAGGCTGGCCTTGAACTCCTAGCCTCAAGCAGTCCTGCCTCAGCCTCCCAAAGCACTGGAATTACAGGTGTGAGCCACCATGCCCAACTGGAATAACTTTTAAAGGCTAAATTCTGGTGTGTTAGGAGCTAAGCCTAAGATTACTTTCTGCTGGTATTCTTACTTTCCTGCTGGTCTGTTTTATCATGGCTGCTAGTGAAACTGACCTGGGAGGCACAGGAGGTGGTCGGTGCCAGAGCGGTCAGGGCCGAAGGTCAGACTCTGAAGAGAAAATGAGCATGGAAGAGTGTGTCTGTCTAAGTATGTGGCCTTGTTGGCCTGCCTGGGATAAATGAACTTGGGGTTACCCATTCTTTCTTACTGTTTATGGCTCTTTTCTCTTAGTTTTATTTTTCTACCCTTTGGAAACATTCCACATAGCCTAGTCAATGATGTTTTCATCAGCTGCTGCAGCAAGGAAAAAATTTCCCTTTAAATTGAGAAATTAATGAGTTTGTTGTTGTTTTTTTCTTACAGTAGGGAGTGACTTTACTTATTTCATTGACTTTTATAGCAGTTAACCTCGTGCGATAGTTATGTCAGGAATTCAGAAATGCCTCGTGAGTGACTGTTGTCAAGATGGATAGAAATGAGAGTGGTCCTCACAGCCCTGGTCAGGTCTCTACGATCTCACTTATTTAGAATCAAAGTTGGACATTAGCCCGTTTTCGCCTGGAGAAACAATTTCGCTCTGGGAACTGGGGGCTGTACCTTGTATAGACTCGAGTAGTATCAAAAGACCTGAACAAACTATATAGAGTGGACAGAGCCTTACTTCTGATGTTCAGGCCACCAGGCAGTGGTTGGAGGGATGGCTGGACACAGCCATATCCCTCTGAAAGCATATTTAAAACAGCCCTTATGGCGTTAATACCATCTATGTTTCAGGTAAGCCTAATGAGAAAAAGATCAAAACGTTGCCCTCAATCTTCTCTATTCAAAATGCCATAAACCATGTGATATTGAGCTTTCTGAGGCAAGGAAGCCATTTCCCTGATGCCCCAAAGTCTATATGTTATTCCTTGTGCCTTGGCCTGATGTGACTTAGTTCAAAGCTGCAAGGAGATCATGGCAAAGGAGTGAATATTCACTCCTTTTTGTATTTCATCCTTGAAGCTCTATATACCCCTTTTCTGACTTTTTCTTCTGAAGGGAGACCATAAGAGTGTCATTATTTGCTCATAGAAGCTGTCCCTGATAATGACTGGTAGAGCAAAGCTATATTGGGTAGTCAGACTGGTGAGTCATTTATTTTACAGGTGTGATCTACAGTGAGGGCCAATACCTTTTTTATACCACGGAAACCTTATTCACCATTCCAAAGGACCATAGGCCAGAATTGACTGAGCCAGTGGTAAAAATGTGTTTTTTGCATGTTCCTTTGTTTATCATGTTCGTCCATGTATTTCTGAACAGTCATGAGAATGAAGAGCTCTTGCATTTATTAGAGAGATTCTGAACTCCTGTCTTTACATTTAGGGTAAGTCCAGTGGTGCAGCAGCTTGGACCTTCAGTTTTTATCATCCTACTTTTTAGGGAACGTGGACATTTCCTGTGGCATGCTGACTTAAAGGCACATTACCTGTTGGCACACAGAGCATACCGTATCCATTTTTTAGACCATTTTTATCTTCTTTCTTTAGCAACGAGTGATATTAAAATCTTTTTTTAAAGAGATTCATATTATAGCTGGTCAGATCTCATGTGTTTCCCAAGATGCCTTTCATGAACCATATTCCCTCAATGTGTCTCTTTTCTTTGCCTTTGTCTGCCAATATTTCCAAAGCCATTAACTTTTAATGGCTTGGATCAAGAAACATACATGATCTGAGTCGAGCGGTGATTAATTTTAGTCACACTGTACTAGGTAGCTGGTAGGGCTTTCTTTTTAAAGCTAGTAGCATTAGAGGCCAAAAGTTTATTCCTCTGCTCCTGAAGTCACTTCTTGGTCCTGTTGTCTACAATACAAAAGCAAGTAATGTATTAACAAAAATGCCCTGATAGTATTACCAGATTGTATTTTCTGTACTGACTGAAATGAACCAATCATATTATTTAGGAGAATTTCTAACATATCACCCATAGGTGTTTAAAAGATAACGCTAATTTTCAGGGGCCAGTTACCTATTTTTAAACACTAAAATTAATTCCATAGGTTAGAGTGTAAACCCAAACCTGAACCATGATTTGAGACCTGTTGTGTCCAGACGCCAGTCATCAGCCTAAATTCCTTTTTTTCATTATAAATATAACTTAGCCTTTGTCTGGGCTTGATGGCTTACACCTGTAATCCTAATACTTTGGGAGGCTGAGGCAGGTGGATTGCTTGAGTTCAGGAGTTTGAGACCAGCCTGGGCAACATGGTGAAACCTCATCTCTACAAAAAAAAAAAAAAAAAAATATATATATATATATATACACACACACACACACACACACACACACACACACACACACGTACGTATACACACACACACACACACCCCTAGCATCATACTTAAGAGTTACTCAAAAGTTAACAGGTTGACAGTCTTGTTACAGTTCACACAGATACGTTGAATGGGAAAGAAAGGAAACGAGGATGAGCAGATGAACCCCCCTCCAAAAAAAGTTAATTGCAGTCACAGAATTAAGTTGGGAGAAGCCATAGGCAAGGTGTAATAAGATAGCTCTATTTAATTTTCATTCTGAAGCTATTAAAAGCAAAGGAGGCAAATAGACATTGGAAAGTTGCATAGGGCAGAAATCAGGGAACTCAAGCAAAATTCCAGAAAAGACCATAAATAAAATGAATCATAATGAAATGTGAGGCAATCTCTGCCTTTATGAGAGGGAAATAAATGGGTGCCCCACTTATTTCCACAGTCTGGTTCATCTGGATCTGTCCCCACTGTGCCTGTCTGTATTTGCCAGACACTGGTGATCTCACAGGCTTAGAACTTACCTGGAAAGTAATAAGCAGAAGAGAGTGGGAAAGCTGGCCATGTTGTGATTTTTGTAGATTTGATGTTTTACTGGAGCCCAAAATCTGAAATCTTGTGGTTATGGCTGTCAGAAGAATCATCCCCTTGGTCTTCTTAAATCAGTTGTCTACCTCTAAGATATTCATAGACAGTTCTTTAGGAAGAAGCTTTCTGTTGGCTTCTGTTGTCTTTCTCCTGAAGAGGAAGGTTTGTTTTGTTTTGTTTTGTTTTGTTTTGTTTTTCCCCCTAGGAGCTTCAAAAAGTTCTGTTAAAAAAAAAAAAGCAGACCTCTTTTTGTCTAAAAACATACATAAATCATCAATGTATAAAACAAAGTAAAGCTTTTCTAACTGAAGCAGAGCTTGCCAACATTGGCATCTGGAGGATCCCCTAATTCTGCCTCTTCTCCCTGAAACACCTTTGCTGAAGGTTAAAGCTCTTTGAAAAATAGTTTACAAACACTGCTCCAAACTATTGGATTTTCCAATAGTGAAAAGGAGTGTAAAGCAGCCTGAACACTCTTATCTGCCCCATTTCCTCCATATCTCATTTATCTCTTGATTGGCTGGTGTGCTCAATCCCTGTGGTCAAAAATAAAAGCACTTCTGTTATTACAAACTTCATAATGATTTCAGTATCTTCTGCCTTGTACAACACAAACCAGTGAAATACTGAATGTCAAAAGAATAAAGACTTGGTACTTCCTCAGTCTCACAGATGGCTAGATTCTGAAAATTGACTTGATTTAGCTGCAGCTGTATGCCTCTAACCTGTAGAAAGCCCACAGTATGCCCATAGGCTTTCCCAAAAGATGAGGCTATAACAGTGGGGAGCCTAAATCTCTAAATGGAAAGCCACGCCACTTCAACTATTTTTTTTTTTTTTTTTTTTTTTTTTTTTTTTTTTTTTTTGAAACAGAGTCTCGCTCTGTCGCCCAGGCTGGAGTGCAGTGGCACAATCTCAGCTCACTGCAAGCTCCCCCGACCCCGGGTTCACGCCATTCTCCTGCCTCAGCCTCCTGAGTAGCTGGGACTACAGGCGCCCACCACCACATCTGGCTAATTTTTTGTATTTTTAGTCGAGATGGGGATTCACTGTGTTAGCCAGGATGGTTTCGATCTGACTTCATGATCCACTCACCTCGGCCTCCCAAAGTGCTGGGATTACAGGCGTGAGCCACCACACCCGGCCAGGTTACAGTCAACTTCTACAGAGTCAAGACTAGGCAAGAACATCAGAGGACATGACTCACTTTCCCATCTTACACTTGTGTCTTTCCTCAGTAGTCTTTGGCAGCACTTGGTATTTACTGGGGCTCCCAATAACTCCTTAGGGAGCATATGCATGATAATGAGAAAGAGGAAAAGATAAAGTTTTCAAAAATTTTACTGAGACGTTTATCAATTGAGAATATATATTTTCTTTCTCTGATATGTTTGTTTGTTTCCTATATTTCCAAATTCTTTTGTAAGGATTGCCATATAACCTTTATTTTTTTTTGTTTTTATCAATTCAGGAGGTACATGGATTTGTGCAGGTTTGTTACACGGATGTATTTCATAGTGGCAGGGTTTGGGCTTCTACTGTATCCATCACCTGAAGAGTGAACCTTGTACCCAGTAGATTATTTGTTGACCCTCACTGTCTTCCCCACTCTCCCCACCCCCAGCGTCTGTTATTTCCCTCTATATGTCCATGTGTAACCACTGTTTAGCTCCCACTTATAAGTGAGACCATGCAGTATTTGATTTTCTCTTTCTGAGTTATTTCACTTAGGATAATGATCTGCAGCTCCATCTATGTTGCTGCAATGGACGTGATTTCATTCTTTTTATGACTGCATAGTATTTCATGGTGTATGTGATCCACATTTTCTTTGTCCAGTCATCTACTGATGGACATTAGAGCCAACATTTAGGCCAGAAACAAAAACAAGTCCACAAACAATGAGGAGGTTGAGCGTGTATGCAGCTAGAAACTGTCTAACCAGCAAATTTTCTTTGATTAAATGCAAAAAGCCCTTACCTCCTAAGTGGGAGAAATAAATTCCAGACTTGGGACAAAGTCACATAACCTCACTGAGTCTTAGTCTCCTTGTGGGCAAAGTAATGTGGATACTTTTAAGTATCTTGGAATCTATACATAAGATGACACGTGTAAATATTTAGCACATTTGGGTGGCCTTGAGTATCTTTTCTTTTTCCTTGTTTAAGACTTAATCAGCTAATCAGTAACTGGAACTACACTTCTAAATGTTTTTATAGTTTTTTCCCAAGGATAAATGCAAAAAGCAATCATTTTATAACTATTTACTAAACATTTAAATTGTTTAAGTCAGAAAAACAAAAGTTATCAATGCATGTCATTTGTCACGTAGATACTAAGAACTGACTTGAGCATGGTACAGTGCTGGGTAAAGGAACAAGGAGAGGTCCCAAATATGGATAAATCCTGCTCGTTGTCCCTAAGTCATTCCAATGGTTTAAGAAAAATAAGACACCTACTCAGTTCTAAGATGAAATGCCTTAAGTACCTTAAGAGAGGCACAAAGTGCTTTGTCATTTAAGAAAAGAGCAATTACTTCTGGCTAAGAGAGATGAAGGAAGCTTTCATGACTTTGACACTTAAGCTGTAAATAGAAGAATGGGAAGAATTTGCATGCATGGAAATGACTCAGACCGTCATTGAGGGAACAGTAAAAGCAAGATGCAAAGGTGAGAAAAAGCCATGTACAAAGAATGTAAGTCGTTTGGGTGGGTCATGGAACACGTGGAGTGAGGTGAAGGAAAAGATGCTTGATCAGTAATCACATATAGTATTTTCTTTAATTTTTATAGCAACAATGTTATTAGGTGTGGTATTATTCACACTTTAAAGAGATGAGGAAATTGAGGTTTGGGGGTTACATGACTTATCCAAGGATACTCAGCTAATTAAACCAGCATACTACGAATACAACAACAGATCTGGGTCTGAAAAGGTAAGATAAGTAAACTGGGTTTATAGCAGGGAGATTGTATTGCCAGTCCAAAAGCATAAGATTTTGAATCCTATGATACAGTCCAGGAATTGGCAGACTACAGCCTATGAGCCGGATCTGGCCCACTACCAGTATTTGTCAATAAAATCTATCAGAACATAGCATAGCCCGGTCGTTGATGCATTTTTCAGATGGCTGCTTTCCCACTGCAACAGTAGAATTAATTTATTGTCCAGTGCACAAGTAAGAATGTTGAATTCATTGTAACTAACGTGTGCATGTGGGCAGGGAGATGGGATTACTAAATGTGTGTTTTAAGCAAATTGTATAACATTAGCTAAATAAAGAGCTAAGCTACTCAGCCACTTACAGATGCCAACAAGTATGTGATTAATATTAAGTAAGATATTTTTATTTGAAGCATGGAAGAAAAAGCATATTTTTTAAATGTCTGAGTTGATAGATCTTTAAGTATTTACTATTTTGAAGATTTTTTGAAGAAATTTTAAAAATAAAAATATAAAAGATAGCATATCACACCCATATTCCCACTACCTAGAATTATAACTATTAACATGCATCATATATTCTTTAAGATTTTAAGTTTAAAAATGAAGTATTACAGATAAAATGAAATTCTACTTGGCATATTATTGCCAGTGTCATTCTCTTCCCAGATCTTTCTAGCAATAACCTCTATCATGAAATTATTGAGTATCTTTCTAGTCTATTTTGAATACTTTCATATGTGTGTATCCATATATAAATACAGATAGATGTCTGTATGTATGGGTTCAATTTAAAATTATACGCACAGTGTAGCATACTGCATGCAAAGTAACAATAGCAGCTTACATTTATTCTGCTATTACCGCCTGCCTGGAGCTGTACTGCTGATACAGGACCCCACCGGTTACCCAAAGCTAGCCTTTGGGTCAGGGGTTTCCTCACTATAGTCCCTTCTGTGGTTGCCAGAAAGATGTTACAGGAAAGTGGTCCCAATCCAGACCCCAAAAGAGGGTTCTTGGATCTCACACAAGAAAGGATACAGGGTGAGTCTGTAGAGTACAGGGAAAGCAAGTTTATCAGGAAAGTAAAGGAATAAAAGAATGGCTACTCCATAGGCAGAACAGCCTTGAGAGCTGCTGGCTGCCCACTTTTATGGTTATTTTTTGATGACATGCTAAATAAGGGATAGATTATTCATGCCTCCCTTTTTTAAGACCATACAGGGTAACTTCCTGACTATTGCCATGACATTTGTAAACTGTCTTGGCACTAATGGGAGTGTAGCAGTGAGGACGACCAGAGGTCACTAGGTGGCCATCTTGGTTTTGGAGAGTTTGGGTCAGCTTCTTTACTGCAACCTATTTTATCAGCAAGGTCTTTATGACCTGTATCTTGTGCTGACCTCATGTCTCTTCCTGTGTCTT
This sequence comes from Homo sapiens, assembly GCF_000001405.40. NCBI lineage: Eukaryota > Metazoa > Chordata > Mammalia > Primates > Hominidae > Homo > Homo sapiens. Next base: position 32,780,242 of record NC_000015.10, on the reverse strand, counting down.
ACAATGCCTTAGTCATCTGGAAATGCAGCCCAAAAGGTTCCAGCCTCATTTTACCCAGCTTCTATTGAAGATGGAGTTGCTCTGGTTCACATGCTTCTGATACTGTCTCAGTCCTCTTATTGATCCTATGTAGCATGCACTATTACTGTCATGTTTTTTAGGAAATAAGGCACACAGAGAGTTCCCTTGTGCAGGGTCACACAGTTAATAAGTGATAGGGCTGAGAATTAATTCTGCAATCAGGCTTTGGAGCCTGAGCTCTTGACCATCATCACAGATGGACTATTCACTGTATCACTGCAGGATTCTTCACTCTCAGTATCATGCCTCTGATTCCTGTGATTTTTGAATTTGTAGATCTAGTTCATTCCTTCTCACTGTTATACCCTATTCTGTTGAATGAATACAGTACATAAGCAGCATTGCACATTGCATGGTGGTTAAGACCTATGAAATGGGAATAGTAGAAGTTCCTATCTCACAGAGTTGTGAAAATTAAGTTTAATTCAAATACAGTAGGTAGAACAGCACCTGGTACAGATTAAGTACCCAATAAATGTTAGTTGTTATTTGCTATTCTCATATATCACCCTGTTGAACCTATTCATTAGGTTGTCTGTAGTTTTTCTTGATTGCATATATTGCCACAGTGAAAGCTCTGTGTCTGTTTATAATTCTTTTTGGTATCTCCCTACAAGAAAACTTGATGGCTCGTAGAGTGTACATGCTTTCAGTTTTACTTGATATTGCCAAACCCAACTAGACCAATTTCTTCTCCTTAGTGCACTGTGTGGCACTTCCCATTCCCCTGCATCCTCACAAACAGTTAATATTGTCTAATTGTTTACATTTGCCAACCTGATGGGTAAGAAATACTATCATGCTGAATTAATGAATTTTTAATAAGTTGTATTGAGATAGAATTTACATATCATAAAATTCACCCTTTTAAAGTGTACAATTCCATACACATTAGTATCACTTCACTACACAGTGGTTTTTAGTATGTTCACAAGGGTCTACAACCATTACCTCTATCTGATTTTAGAGGAAATCTTTGACTGGTTAGCAATAACTCCCCATTTTCCCCAGCATGGGGAAACCCATAGTTTTGCTAACCTACTTTCTGTATGGATTTGCCTGTTCTGAACATTTCATATAAATAGAGTCATGTGTTTTTGTGATTGGCTTCTTTCACTTAGCACAATGTTTTTGAGGTACATCCATGTTGTAGCATGTATCAGCAAATTCATTCCTTTTTATGGCTCAGTAGTATTCCATTGTATGGATATACCACATTTAATTTTTCCATCAGGTGATGGAAATTTGGTTGCTTCTACTCTTGATTACTATAAATAGTGGTTCTATAAACATTCATATGCAAATTTTTATATAGACATCTTTTCAATTTTCTTAGTTATAGATATATTTATGTACCTAGCAGTAGAATTGCTGGGTCATATGGTAATTCTGTGCTTAACGTTTTGGAAAACGGCCAAACTGTTTTCCAAAGCAACTGTGTAATTCTACAATCACATCAACAGTGTATAAGGGTTCCAGTTTCTTCACATCTTCATCTCTAGTACTTGTTACTGTCTTCCTTTCTGATTCTAGCCGTCCTAGTGGATGTGAAGTGGTATCCCATTGTGGTTTTGATTTGCATTTTCTGATGACTAATGATGTTGAGCATCTTTTTACGTGCTTATTGACCATGTGTATGTCAGCTTTGGAGAAATGTCTATTCAAATCCCTTGTCCATTTTTAGAGGAGGGGGTATAATTTGTCTTCTTATTTGAATTGTAAGAGTTCTTTCTGTGTTCCAGACACAAGTTTCTATCAGGTATATGATTTAAAAATATTTTTCCCATTCTGGAGGTGGAGGTTGCAGTGAGCTGAGATCGCATCACTGCACTCCAGCCTGAGCAACAGAGCAAGACTCTGTCTCAAAAAAATATATATATATATAAAATATATATTTCTATATTATACATATATGTATTATATAATATATAAATAAATGTATTATATAATATATAAATAAATGTATTATATAATATATAAATAAATGTATTATATAATATATAATAAATGTATTATATATTATACATAATATATAATAAATGTATTATATATTATACATAATATATAATAAATGTATTATATATTATACATAATATATAATAAATGTATTATATATTATACATAATATATAATAAATGTATTATATATTATACATAATATATAATAAATGTATTATATATTATACATAATATATAATAAATGTATTATATATTATACATAATATATAATGTATTATATATTATACATAATATATAATGTATTATATATTATACATAATATATAATGTATTATATATTATACATAATATATAATTAATGTATTATATATTATACATAATATATAAATAAATGTATTATATTATACATAATATATAAATGTATTATACATAGTATATAAATGTATTATACATAATATATAAGTAAATGTATTATATATTATACGTAATATATAAGTAAATGTGTTATATGTTATACGTAATATATAAATGTGTTATGTTATACGTAATATATAAATGTGTTATGTTATACGTAATATATAAATGTGTTATGTTATACGTAATATATAAAGTGTTATATGTTATACGTAATATATAAAGTGTTATATGTTATACGTAATATATAAATGTTATGTTATACGTAATATATAAATGTGTTATATGTTATACGTAATATATAAATATAATATATAAATATACGTAATATATAAATATAATATATAAATATATTTTTTGAATGGAAAAAAACCTACAGAATGAAAAATACATATATTTATATTTTCCCATTCCGTAGGTTATCTTTTTTCCCATTCTATAGGTTATCACATCTTAATTGATGTGAATTCGTGAATTTTAGTATTTGTAGTTTCACATTTCCTCAGAACTTCATTCTTCAAAATCATCTCATTATCTGCTAAGTGGATCACAAGCCGGATAACACTGAAGTAAATAATGCTCTGTGCACATAGTACTCCATCCATCAGAAACTACCACATTGTTCACAAAAACAGGCTTCAGCTGGTGAAGAAAATTAAATTTTGATAAAGCAGAGAAGCCTTCACACCTAATTAGGATTTGAATTTAATAACAAGCATTGAAAAAACATTTCAGTATTTTCAAATTGCTGATGGATTAATTCAAAAGCATTTGGGTTTATGTTTAACCTGCCTTAACTCTTTTCTTCTTTCCTTTTCCCTCTTCCTTTCTTTTCCCTCTCTCCCCTGTCTTTTCCCTATTTCTATTTCAGATTGAAAATGGCTCAGGAATCAGTCAGCAAGTTGACTTCAGAGAAGAAAGTGGAGACAAAGAAAATCAATCCCACTGCTAGCCTGGTGAGATATATTTTTCAACATAATCTAACGATTGTCATGAAAATTGAGGTGCGCCCAGGAAGGGCTAAAGCTCAGAGATGAAACATAGTATCCAGATTCTCAGTTCCCATCCCAGAGTAGCATATGGTTAAAAAAAAAAAAAAAAAAGTATGTGTGGGTGGAGGTACAAAACATAGCTTTATATGTTTTTCCTGTAAACTCAACATAGGTCATTTCTGATAAACCAAATTTAGTCACTTACCATTTCACATCCTTCCACACCCTACCCGCAGTACAGTCACCCTTATCTCAAAGTATCTTTTTCTCAAAATGTTTAAATATATTCATTCTCTTCAGTTCCTTTTCCCCATTAAAGAAAGAGGCAGGGATTCTCCTATTTTGATAGTTGGAAAATTTGAAGTGCAGAAAGATACAGCCTACCCAGGGTCACTTAGCAAGTGGATAACAAAAGCCAGGACCAGATTCTGGGTCTCCTGACATCTCTCCCTATGCTGGAAACCAGCAGTCTCCCCAGCCTTCCTATATGTGAGATTGCGTTGTCCTCCAAAGTCCAGTTTTCAGTAGAGATCACAATGAATCTCCACCTAGGTGTTACGGACAATAGTCAGAATAGCTACATGGTTAGGATCCCAGGATGCCGAGAATGAAATGGCCTGGGTTCAGATCACAGCTCTGCCACTTAAATAGTTGTAAAACCTTAGTGAAGTTACTTTGTTTCTTTCTCTTCCATGAAAAGAACATACTACTTTTTTTTTGGGGTTATTTTGAGAAAACTGAGAAAAGACATGTAAAATGCCTAACACATAATAAGAGCTCAATAAATATTAGTTGTTTTCCTTGTTGCTGTGAATTTCAGCTGCTTTGGTTGACCCTGCAATGGGGAATGGCAATGAGTGGGAAGTGGAAGTATCACCCTCCTCTCTCGGATTTTTCAAACTCTGTCCTCTCTGGGCCCTGATGTCCAACAACTACTTACTTTATCCTTTTAGATTATTAGTACCTTTTTGCTGGATGCTTCAAATCCTTTGAAAATATAAATGGGTTCTAAGTTACAAAGTGAGATTATTTCTGTTGATTGACCATAATGTTTCTCCCAACAACCCCATGAGCAGCTAAATGAATGTTGCATGAGGTTGATGAATGAGAAATGGAGAAGTCCGGGCTATACTTTTTGGTCGGGGAAAGCCATGGTTGAGCACATGGCCCCTACCTAACCGGACATGTCCTTTGTACCCGTTTGATGGTATATTTATGACATTCATTTGTATGACTTTCAGTGGCAGTCGGCTGAACCCTGATTTTTGTCTTCTTCCTTCATGAGCCTCTCCCTCTTCCTCAGACCTTTTATTTGGGCCTCTATCCAGACTTTTACAGCCAAGCTTGTTCCCCCAAGGCAGAGAGAATGGGGTCAGCCATATAGACAAAAGGGAAACAGTGGGTTTACGACCTCCCCTGTGAGCAAGCTCCCAGTTGTGATCCTGGGCTTGTTGGGGCTGCTTATTTTATTGTCTGTGTGGGTGGGTGGGTGGAAATCAGGGAAGAGCTTGTAAACTGATTCCTGATTCAATTTCGCAAGTTAGGGATGGGGTCCAAATTTAGGATGGGTGTCGAAAAATCATCAACTTAAGTTTATATCTAGGCCAATTTAGTAATTCACTGCAACATCATATCTCATAGCTCATAAGCAGCTAAGGATCCATTCTCAAAGGCTTCTCTCTGCATCTGCTCATTCCAAAAGAGTATACTTCTCCCTTTTCCATTTTAGCCTTCTATTTACCCTCCTCCCAGAGCAGGCACACCATCCTTACCATACTGATATGTGTGCTTCCCTAGTGTCACAGATACCATGGGGGTCCATGTTTCTGTGTAGTGTGCTCCTGTGTATTCTTACGTCTTCCCAGCAGATGTCCATGTCCTTCCCTTTAGAAGGCAGTCTCTGAGGAGGAAGCTCGGAGAATGAAGAGCATAACATCCATGGCAAATCGGGAACTTCTGCCATTCTGCAGAGACTAAATCTGGTCATCTCCCATTTTGCATGGCTTTTGTTGAGTTCTGCCAAGTTGATCATTGGAAATAGTAATTTTTTTTTTCATATCTTCTTGGGCATTCTCTAATTCCATCAATGAGCCAAAGGTAGGGACGGAAGGGGTCCTTGAGTAACACTACAAAGTTAGGGTCTTTGTCACAAAAGAAGAGAACAGAAAAGACCACCCTGGCATGGTAAAGGCCCGTGTTTTAGATGGATGTAGTTGGTAGATTGGCTGGTTATTGATTTCTTGTTTGTTTTTCTGGGGAGTAAGGGTGATAGGTAGGGAGGGGCAGATAACTAAGAGCTTAGGGAAAGCAGTAGAGGTACTCTCATTTCTAGGCCATTTGGCACAATTCCGGAAACTCAGCATTCTAGACCAAAATTTGAGAAATGTATCAAAACTTGAGAAAGATGAAAGAAAATGATACATTCATTTTTTTTTCCTTAACAGAAAGAAAGACTGCGTCAGAAGGAAGCCAGTGTGACCACTAACTAAGATGAAGACACATGGAAATGATGGCACTGGAGGTGGAGGACCTTGCACGCATACTCTTTGTGACCACAGGGTTGCAGGACGTTCTTGAAAGATGTGTCACTAAATGTTTGTTTTTGCTCATCTCTTTCTGAGGTCATCTGCAGAGAGTGCCCCATGCCTTCTTTAAGAAGTCCCTCATTAAGCCGCAGGAACAATGGAAAACTATTTAAGGGAACATTGCAGAAATATTTGATGACTGTTTCTTGTGGAAGCCCAAAGTCCACTCTAAGAGCAGAAGAAATACCAAAATGTTTCCAAAATTTTTTTAAAAGCTGAGATTTCCAGCTTTATAACCAAAGCTTGATATATGTCACATTGTCACAGAAGAGAGAAAAGATCATTGAGGACAGTTGCCTTGGGAGAGTTCAAGTCTTTGTCGTTACACACTGCTGTTTTGATTATTGGTCTTAGTTTTGATCCTGTTGCAGCAAAATCCTGCAGCATCTTTCTCTCCAATAATGTTGCAACTCACCAAAACTATTCTTGAAGAGGTCCAAGAACATGTATTATCCAGACTAAAAAAATGATTTTTTGTTGTTATGGTTTACGTGATGAAAAGGAGAAAAAACAGAATCATACCTGGGTGGAGAGAGGGAGACAAATAGCCATAAACTTCATCCTGGAGAACAAGTTACCATGCAAGGAGTTGACATCAGTTGTTAAGTGAGGCCCATTCTTGTTTTTACATCGGTCCTTTGTGGTTTTTCTGGGCCAGCAGAGATTCTGCACCCCAACTCCCAGGAGAAAATGTAATACCTGAGCAAGCACAGCCTTGGGTGTGCTTGGACAAGAGACCCAGCGGCAGAGCACCTTTTACATTTTGGACCGTTCATGAATGGGCAATGTTGTGTTGATACGCAGCCGAGTTCTACGTTATGTGCTGTGACTGTGCAGCTGGACGACCCCCATCCCCAGGAGGCAGTTTCCAGACAGGAGAGCAAATGCAACTCACAGCACCTGCTCATGACCTTGGCTGATAGGCATGTGAAGTAGGATGAAGCAGGACTCTTTAATGTCAAAAAAACTGAAGGGCAGAAAAAAGGTTCCTTACATCAAAATGAAAGTAATTACATTAATAGAAAACTTCCAAGTGGAATATTGTTCACAGGCAGCTCTTTCTGACCCTGGCTCTTGAGTCACATAAGGAAACCACCTTTGACCTCTCTGACACTTTTGTCTTTAAGCCACGTCTCTGAAATCTTGTGAGGGGTGAAGAAAGAGGACTGGAGATGAATGGACAATATGATCAAAGACTCATTTTTAGGCCTTGAAGAGGCCGAGCTTTCTCCCCCCAATTGGTGGAGGACAGTCCAGAGATGAGCAGAAATCTTAAATTCCTTCCTGATCCAGCCTCCACATGTGGCCTGCCCCTTGCCCCAGCATCTTTCCAGAACCCCTGGACTTGCCAGGTGCCTGAGCATCTTCCCAGGATATGCCTGCCAGCCAGCAGCCCCTCAGGAATGCTTCTATAATAGATCCAGTAATGAAAGCAGCACCATATCCTAATCTAATGTCAGCTTCGAGAATGAAGACTGCAGTCAGGATCAAATCAAGTCACAGAAGCCATATTCATGCAGGTGCTAACCGCCTTTTCTACTGGTGCAACTGAAAGGAATATGGTAACATGGTTGGATTTTTAAAATTCACAATGAAGGAACGAGACAAGCAAAACAGAAAAGCCGAGAAGGAACATGCATGACTAAAAAGGCTTGAAGTTGCTTGTGAGCAAGAAGCTTTTTATGCTGCTTTCTTACATAGTTTCTCTTCATTTTCACTTAACTCTGAAGACAACCAAAAGAACGGATCAATTAAAAACTGATTCCACTTATAACCATTGTATGCTCCTTCTAGTGTTATCATGCACAAGAAAAGTGCCAGTTTTACCCATGCCATATAATTCAGCTCTTTTGAGTTATGTGGGGCCAGCAGAAGTCTCAATCCTTATAGGCTTGATGGTGAGAGCAGCGGGAGGTTTGAGGTGTACTCATTGCAGTCCACTTTGGTCTGTAAGTAGGATGCTTACGAGAAATCAGTGAAGGTAAGCAGGGCTGCCACTGTGGCCACGTAACCCTTCAGGAACCAGTGCTGAAGAATAATGAGTGAGAACACTTAATTTGAGAGTTAGACAAATACAGCCCACTTTGGATTTCATCCTAGTGAACAGACTAAAACTTTGCAGTAAAATACCTATTTCTACAAAGCAAGGTTTGCCTGCCTCGGTTGGGGAAACCTAGTGGTTTTGTCACACTAGTCGATGTATGATGTTAGTGTTGTAAGACACCATGGCAGAATCTTCATTATTCTCACCTATTCTGAACCCTGCATCATGTATCTGGGATGCCCCCTCCCAAGTCCACCAATGTACCACGTTGCTGACACAGCCTTCATTTTTAACTCAAATTGATGCTCAGTAAAGGTCAATGACAATTTGTTCAAGGAAGTTCATCTAAAATAATCTGGAGGCCTTGAAAATGATCCCTCTAAAATGCTGTTGAGCTTGTGTTCAGTGTAGCAGGAGGATCTGAACTTTTCCTGGAGAGGAGGTGATCGGGATGCCATTTGGCAGCTTAAGCACATCCTGCCAGCAGGCTTTAAGTGGCTGTTCTAGGCATAGCCCTCCCTGAACTAGAAAGGAGAGTAACCAGTTTGCTATGCTGCATCTAACCAGACACACCTGACTTAGTAGTAACTCTAAGAACCCTTAACTTACAAACAACTTTGTCTCCTCTTAGACAATATTCATTAAATCTGAGGACACAGTTTGACAGTAGTTCAGATTCTTGCATGAGCAATTGACAGCATCAGAGCACACAATATCATAAGTTACATAAATTACACAAAGTACATCATAAATTACACTACAGACACGTTAGGTAAAAAGCATCAGGCCCGGGCCGGGCGTGGTGGCTCATGCCTATAATCCCAGCACTTTGGGAGGCCAAGCGGGGGCGGATCACGAGGTCAGGAGATTGAGACCATCCTGGCTAACACGGTGAAACCCCATCTCTACTAAAAATACAAAAAATTAGCCGGGCGTGGTGGTGGGCGCCTGTAGTCCCAGCTACTCGGGAGGCTGAGGCAGGAGAATGGCGTGAACCCAGGAGGTGGAGCTTGCAGCTAGCCGAGATAGCACCACTGCACTCCAGCCTGGGCGACAGTGAGACTCCGTTTCAAAAAAAAAAGCATCAGGCCCATGAAGTATCAAAAACCAGGTTAGGAGGTGTGCTGTATGGCTTTTATCTCAATAAGTGGCAGCTTACTGGGGAAAAAGAAATAAGAAAAAGTGTGGCCAAGCAGAAGTGGATGTTTATGATGACGGTGGGGGCCCAGAGGTCATAGGTGATGGTCCTACTGCCCAACAGTTGCCTTTTGAATCCTTATGTTGATGATGGTGTCTTTCTACACACTCACTGCAACTACTCAGGAATTATAAAGATTTTCTGAAATCTGAGAAGTGGAATAAGGAAACCCAGTGGAGCTATTACACTTTTAAATGTTCTAGCCAAAACAAATTGCCAGTATGGTTGAGGAATTGAATATCAGATGGCATGCAGTCTCCCCTCCCCTCCCCTATCAAGGACAGTAGAAGCTGCAAACCTCTTCTCAGCCTCCTTCAGGCACCTCCTGTTTTCATAAGCACCATGAAGAATGGTGTTTCCTAAATGAAAAGTTCAGATACTGCTGGTAAAGAAACTGGAAAAACTGAAGGAAGGAATAAAATATGTTGGTGGTATTAACACCTCCAGTAAGATAAGTCATTGGTACGGTTTTTCTAAGGGCCGCAGTGAGATGTAGCAGAAGAAATATGTTTATTTTGGGCAAAGATTTGCTTATTGGCCTGGGATTGCACATTTTCTCTATGATGTTTGCAACAGAGAAATTTTCATTTTAATGATACTCTTCCTTTCTTGAAAGTTACATGTCCTCATTTCTGTTTCTGCTTCTCCCTTGGCCAGTGTCATTGATGCAGATCATTGCATACAACAGCACAGCAAATTGCGCCAAGTCAGTGTGTGAATGGGAATTAGCAATGCACGCTTGCAGGCTCTTTTTCCAGGAACCAGGCTGTAACATTGACCGGGGAACCTCTTCATTCCCTGACATACTAAATTGGTCAATTTTGTAGTACTCATCTCCATCCACAAAAACAACAAAGATAAAATCAATTTGGAGCTTTATATGACAAAAAGGAAGAAGTCCAAAAATATATAGCCTTCCCCCCTCCCACATATCTGATCCAAATATTAAATATCTGATTTTATAAAACAGTTTAAATTGTCTTTTTAAATTGCTAACAAGCATCAGTTATATTTGAGCTTCATTTTTCTTTTATCCTGTCTGTCCTAATAAAAACAAAAATGGCCAAAAAGTGGAGAGGAAAGAAAAAGCTTCCACTTTTTAAAATTTGTTTTGTATTAGTTATTTTACCTTTAGGGACCCTACAACTGAAGAGAGTGGAGAGAATAAAGAAGTGAACTTTCATTCATGTCTGCTACTTTGACCTCATAAAGAAATCTGCAACACAGATGAAACCAGTCTGTGTGGCCAAGCTGATGGGATTTGAAAAGAGTGGATAATTTTTAGCCTTTCCAAAATGCAAATAACTTGGATATATTTCCATTTTCCAGCTATAGAGAGAAACAATCCAGCTGCCTGGAAACTGTTATTAGTATAGAAGTGGCTTAAAGAAAAGCATCTTCAAATACTTGACTTAGCATATCTTTCTTCTTTAGACTTACATAATGATATTCATCTCTCCATTAGCAATTGAATCCAGGCATAACCGGGCTCAGTTACACAGCTTGTCTGTGACTGGGAAGCCCATTTTGTGTCATTTCTGCACACCTGTCCGCTGTTGACACCTTATTAGAGGCACTGCATTTTGGTTTCACAATTCTTCATCTCCCTTCCCAAGGAATGGGCAATCTACTGAACTTCCAGATCAATGCTTTGTTGGAAAGTGATGAATTTAAGAGAGTTTTAACATGTCAAATTTGAAGCCAATTCAGTATCCTTATTTGTTCCAAGACTCTTAACCAATACTGTGATATAAAGTTAGGATTTGGGAAACGTGTAGTTAACAACTTGGAAACATGAAGATATTAAAATGGCAGCTGGCTAACTGTCTCTTAAGCCACTATGCAATTTCTACCAATGGAGAGATTAGGGAAGCAAATTAAGCCTCATTCAGTAGGTCTGCTGTCTGGTGGAACTTACGGAACTCATTTCCTCCTCTATCCCCAGCCCTTCTCCTAACTATGGTGATAACCAGGGCCATAGAAGACCTTTTCTCTCTTACCTTTCTCTGATAGGATCGTGTCCTTCAGTCAAGAGCTCATGTGAACTCCAGACTTTATATTACATCTCTGAAGTTCTTGATGTGGGGAAGATTGACTTTTATTCCATTTTTATATGAAGGTGTTAGATATAGCCATCAATTTATTTTTCTACATTCCCTCTACGCTTATGTAATTTTCTATTTTTAAATCTTCTCTTAAATATACTGAGAATCTCTAGTCTCCTTTTCTAAAGGCTGATCCAACTACACTTGTGGGCTATTTTTCCAAGCTTTGTGTGAAACTTGATGACATTGGGCCAGCAAAATGCAAAGAAGACTATAGTTTCAGGCAGAAAATCACGTCCAAAGAATTTGGCATGGATTAAACAACCTCTACCACACTATAGCTCTCACATAGGCTGAACATTTTCCTAAATTCTACCTGTGCAGACACTGAGGGGCTCTCTACCTTTGAAACTATGAGAACGTCTTAAATTAATATGAATATTTCTCTCCATGTATAGTGTGAGCTGCCAATGCATTATCTTAATACATCAAGAAGGAAATCAGATTTCAGGCACACATTAGCAATTGTTTGTTAATGTCCTTGGCAAACGTGTACCTGCTTTCCTTCATTGTTCTCTTCAGGGGCTTTCTTCCACTTTCCTCTTATGAAACGAATGTGTTTTTGACTGTTAACTGGGTTCGCTTTCCAGATCTGTCTTTCCCAAATGAAAGGTTAGTCCCATAGACCACTGGCTATTCAGGGAAATTACTCTCTACCTCCCCATGACATGGATGATAAGTGTTGAGGGATGAACACTCTGGAAACTCTTAGCATGGATTTTGAATTCCAGATTTCTTTATAGGAGATGTATAAAAAGGAGTTTATAGCATACAAAAATTATACTGCTCTTCCCAGTAAGGGACTAAAAGGACATTTGAAATCTTTACATTTTAGATGTTTTTGTGAATTATAAATATCTCCTTTTTCCTCGCTTCATGCTAACTTGTCTCTAGATAAAATCTTATTTCTTCATACATTGGACCACAAGGCATAAAGAAGGTAGCTCAGCGCCACTGAGATTGTGTTCTGCATAATATTTGGAAGGCTTCCATTTCCATTGAAAACAAATCCATGAGTGAGAGGGAAAGTCTAGTATCAATTCTTCTGTTTGCTCGCAATGACACAAATAGGTTTTGGGGATCTACCTAAGGGATAGGTCTACTCCAAAATTATTAAATTTATAATTGTGCAATTCTGTAATTTCCCAAGGCATAAGTAATATGACCCTACTGTCAGCTAGATGTCTTATCTTCAAAGAGAGTATGCATTAATAAAAAGAACTTCCCTTTAAAGAACCAATCTAAAATACTAAAAAGGCAGAAACTTTTAAAATTAGAAATTGGATAATTTTTAAGAATCTTTAGAGAAAACATTGGTTTATCATAGTCTTTTTCTTTCATTGAGTTTTCATTTAGACTAGCATGGCAAGCAGGGTGGCCTTGGACTTTGATTTAGGGGATCGTGCTTTGGCCTGGAAAATAAGCACTGGCCTGCATGCCTAGAACCTGAGTGAAGGCAGTCAACATCCTAGTATGAATCAGACCTAGCAGAAATGTAAATTATTTCAAGTACTTCAGGGTTTAGTTTTCTTAGTGACACCCTGGACCCTGGATGCTGCTTTCTAAAGTGCACCTGATCCATGCAGTTTTATGTCTTCATATAACTGGTATCTTGTGAGTTTGCAAGCAATGGGATGAGCAAGAAAAAAAGGACGCATGGAGGAGAAAAATTTGAACGAGGCTAGTGCAATGTTTTGCTGATAGATTACATTGTTAGGGAGCTGGTGATTTTTTGCCATGGTCGTATCGTGGACAGCTTTTCCGTGGAAATTCAAGGCATCTGTATTAGGCAAATGTGAGTGCCCTTGATCTTGTATTGATCAGTGCCAATGTACTGGGAAAGCAGGTACCCCAGTGAAACTGGTCTGTGCTTGGTTTAACAGCTCCAACAATTTCAGATCCATGGGGCTGCTTGACCATAGACCCTGTTTACTCCATGCCTGTTCAAAAGTCATTTTGACTTCTAGCTTTGTTTCACTTTCTTCTTTCAATACTTCTGTTTCCTCGTCCTTTTCCTTCATATTCCATGGCTATTTCTTTCCTACTTTACAGTTTCCCCCAGACCCAGATTTTTTCACACCTCTGCATCATAGACAACTGAGTAGCTCCCTTGGCCCCTCCTCCATCCTCTCACACCCTGTGCTCCGTTCCTCAGCCGTTTGGACAGGGAGCTCCGCTGTCACCAAGGAGCCCATGTGAGACACACTGCTGTGACTGCCTCTTGTTAATGTCAGCATCACCTCATCACTTAAGCAAAAAGGAAAATCCATAAAAGAGATGGAAAATACGTCTCTTTTTATTTTATTTTAAGAAGATTGGGCGGGGTGGGGGGGGGGTTCTTATTCTAGGCCTTCTCAATTTCTCATAGATTTTACCTTAAACTAATTAAGGCCATTCTCTTGATAAATTTGTACATCAGACCGGGTCACCAGCTATGATGCAGAACGCCAGATTTTTGAATCTCAAGTAACTTTCTGTGGTGCTGGACAAATTGACTTAATTCTGTGCAGGCAAACACTTTGAATCATAAGGATTTTTATTGCCGCTCCATTCTTACTACTATTCATGATTCAAACATCTACCCCTGTTCTGAATCAGGATGTTGACACTTCTTGGTTATTTTCAGATGAACAGTAACTGCTACACTCTTGAAAGCACTTAAAAGTGCAAGCATGTCCTAAATAGCCATTTAACCTGGTAAAACATAGGCTTTTCTGTTTAATTAAGTATTAGACCAGTCTGTAGATATAATCTGAAAAGATTGTAGGCAGTAATGAAGACAGTTGGGGAAAGGAGAAGGCCCTTTAAAGACATGAAACCTTACACGCTCTTGGGATATTTTTAAGCATAATAAGCTCATTGGATTCAGGTATTTTTCCCTTTGCATTTTTAAAAATACGTATTTCTAATTTGTTTGCATATTTAATTTTGTCAAAGCTGAGAAATGCTCATGAGTTGAATTTATAAATGTCATTTGCAACCAAATGAAGTATTTATTTTTAAAAAGAGAGTGAAGGAACCAACACTGATTTGTACATAATAAAAATGTGTGTATTATATATATATATTTTTTCCTCCTTGACAGTACTTGGTCACAATATCAAGTGTATTTTTGTACATAATATATATTGATTAGAAAAACGTCAATTGTCTATTCAAAAAATTCTATCTCTGTGATAGATTATATTTATCCTAATCTGTTGATACCTCTGTTAATTTGTTTTAAGAGAATTATATTTTTTGGAATTTACAGAGAATTGCATTCATGGCTTTCAATTGTAAATATGCTAAGGGTATTTTAATAAATCTTGGTTTCATGTCCATCTGGTGTGCAATGCAGATTTGTTTTCAGGAGGCATGTAAAGCAATATCCCAGTAGTACTGTAATGTGGAGAACACCAGTCATTTCTAACTTGCGTTACCACTCGGGTACACTATTCTGAGCTGCAAGAGCTGAGTCTGAGGAAGTCTATCGTTGGTATTTCCGTTTTTCTCCCATTTGTCCCCTATCAACTGTGGGCAACTTGGCCAGACATTCAAGGCTAACAACCAACAGACAAAACCAGCCAGGCATTGTCTCAACAAGGCTTACCCAAAAGCAACACTTCCTGAATATACATTGCCCAAGGGACGGGGCACAAAGAGATTGGTGACTTCAGGCTATAGGTTGAAAATAATAAACTGGAGAAACAGAATAGAAACATAATTGTATGGATTCTTTTACTAAGCACAAGGTACACATTCTTTTCAAGGAATAATATGAAGCATGCAGGTATTTTATAAACATAAAACACTTTAAGCAAAACAGTCTTCTATTTAAATACAAATGTAATTGTGCTTTTTAGTTAATTCATTTCTTTGGTGTTCCTGAATGCCGTACGCTACAGTTCTAGATATTTGCTGCAATATACCCTATTATGTATAGCAATGTTTAATGAACATACATAGTTATTATCTAGGAAGACATTTCACCACTACAAAATCTTCTAAATCATAGTCAGTGAGCTGCAAAAATCTTTGGACATTGGAGAAAATATCTCAGTAAAACTTCTGAAGTTCAAGGGAATTGCTAAAAATCACACTTACTGTTGGTGAACACTTCAAGACTAGAACCCAGATTTCTTGACACTAAGGCCAAAGCCCTTCCAACTGATGGATTCATTCATCAAATTAGACCGCTCTCTCCTTCAAAATACTCTATCATGGAGAAATATTCTAGAACTATTCTTTGAAAAGAAGAATCCAAAGGCCGCTAACATTTTTGAGAAACATTATTAGGTTTGTGTTCTGAATTACAACACCTATGTGAGGGTAGAGGCCTGGATGTCATAAGGACCCAGGAAAAAATACCAGCACACCATAGGAAGAATCTCATCTCTGGTCTAACCAAGATTTACCCTCCCTTGCTTAGCTAATGAGTATACATCTTTGCCTAGTCTTTAAATAGTCTATGAAGCTGATGGTCCAACTAACATCTGTTTTAGTACGTTTTGTGTTCCTGTAACAGAATACCTGAGAATGGGCAATTTATAAACAGAAATGCATTGTCTAACAATTCTAGAGTCTGAGAAGTCCAATATCATGGTGCCAGCATCTGGCAAGGACCTTCTTGGTGCATCATCAGACGGCAGAAGTCAGGCCACAGAGGCAAGGGGGGGCCTAGCTTTTTTCATACAGCATTAATCCCACCCATCAAAGTGGAGCCCTCATAGCCTCATCACCTCTTAAAGGTCCCATATCTTAATACTGTTACAACGGCAATTAAACTTTAACATGAGTTTTAGAAGGGACAAACATTCAAACCATAGCACAGGTTATAAATCCCTGAGGCTAAATATTCTCCCCCAGATCGGCTGCCCACTTTCACCTTGCTGTGATTGTCATTATGGAAATAAAAGACTTTAAAGTTCTCCACTGGCCCTTCATGCACATTAGATGCCACTGAATCCAAATCTTCTGAAGGTAATGTTTGCTTCATGCCCATCATTGTGCAATGATAAATTGTAGGAGAAAATATATTAGTTATTAATTGCTGTATAACAAAATACCCCAAAATTTAGTGTATTAAAGCAACAATATTACTTCTCTTGGCTTTTGTTGATCAAGAATTTGAGAAAGGCTCAGCTGGGCTGTTATCACTTGGAGTGTCTCATAAGGTTGTAGTGATATGTTCATTAACATATCTGTCATCTAAAAAATTATTAATATGAGCCTGTCATCATCTGAAAACTGTATGGCTTGAGTGGGACTGGAAGATGCCCATTCTAGTTAGCTGACTCAGCTGGCAAGTTGGTGCTGGCTCTAAGCTGGAAGCCTCAGTTCCTCTCCACATGGGCGTCTTGAGTGGTCCAAAGTGAAACATGTAATGTGCTTTCTGACCAAAGCTCAGAAGCTACACCCAGTCACTTTCATATTGAGCTATTTATAAATGATCTGTGCAGACTGGGGAAGTGGGGAACTAGACTCTGCCTCTTGATGGAAGAATGTCAATGCCACATTGTAAGAGCATGTAAGATGGGATGTATATTGGTGAGACCATCTTTGGAAAATACAATCTGTTACAGCAGCTTGCCCTGTTTTTTCTCTCTAGTCTTTCTCCTCCTTCCCTTGTTCTAATTTTTGTCCTAAATCTAGGTTTTAGATTTCTTTTTCAAATTTTTTCCTACTTTTCCCCAAATCTTCCCTCCCTCAATCTGCATATTGGAGCACAGACATGTTTGTCTTGCCTCTCTGGAATAGAGGCACTCTTTTTTTTTTTTTTTTTTTTTTGAGACAGAGTCTCGCTCTGTCTCCCAGGCTGGAGTGCAGTGGCGCGATCTCGGCCCACTGCAAGCTCCGCCTCCCGGGTTCACGCCATTCTCCTGCCTCAACCTCCTGAGTAGCTGGGACTACAGGCGCCCGCCACCACGCCCAGCTAATTTTTTCTATTTTTTAGTGGAGACGGGGTTTCATCATGTTAGCCAGGATGGTCTCGATCTCCTGACTTCGTGATCTGCCTGCCTCAGCCTCCAAAAGGGCTGGGATTACAGGTGTGAACCACCACGCCTGGCCTGGAACGGCTGTATTTACCCAATATCTGTACCCCCATTGTATCTAGGATGTAACTAGCTTGCTTTTGATTTTACAGGCTCATAAGCAGAATAGACTTGCCTTGTCTCAGATGAGACTTTGGACTGTGGACTTTTGGATTAATGCCGAAATGAGTTAAGACTTTGGGGGACTGTTGGGAGGGCATGACTGGTTTTTAAATGTGAGGACATGAGATTTGGAGGGGCCAGGAGTGGAATAATATGGTTTGGCTGCGTCTCCACCCAAATCTCAACTTGAATTATGTCTCCCAGAATTCACACGTGTTGTGGGAGGGACCCAGGGAGAGGTAACTGAATCACGGGGGCCGGTCTTTCCCGTGCTATTCTCATGATAGTGAGTAAGTCTCACGAAATCTGGTGGGTTTATCAGGGGTTTCTGCTTTTGGATCTTCCTCCTTTTTCTCTTGCTGCCACCATGTAAACAGTGCCTTTCACCTCCCGCCGTGATTCTGAGGCCGCACCAGCCATGTGGAAATGTAAGGTATGTCTCAGTCTCAGGTATGTCTTTATCAGCAGCGTGAAAATGGGCTAATACAGTAGGTCTTGCAAGGAAGAGCCTCTGAGGTGGCAAAGCCTTCAGTGGTAGATACCAAGTTTTTATTACAAGTGACTGCAAGACTGTGTCAGTTAAGATGGCTGTTTGAAGCTCCTGAAGGCTTAATTTTTTTTATGGTCACAGAGTCCTCTGGTGAAAACTGATAGTGGAAGAGTGTGCTTGTTTGTGAACTTATCTGGTTGGATGCAATCTTCATTTCTTTATATGTTTATTAAACAAAACATGTTATCCTTATTGGCAAAGTGCCCTATGAAATATAAAGTAAAGTCTTTTTCTAAGATGGAGTTAGTTATGTCCGAGGTGCTCTACACAAACAGCCAATACTGTTTTTCCTGGGACCATCCCCTTTTGAACTTCACAATTGGAAATTACTGTCTCATTTCCTGAACCCAAACCTTGCCACTCGATTACTTAGTCTGCATGTGAGTTGATTCATTCTGGCCTTTCCCGTTCCTCTAGGGGTGAGATATTCTTTCAGTTCTAGTTAGCCCACAACAGTACTTTATTTATTCACTTGGACTTTTTGCATTTCAATTTCCACATCTGTTTAGACCAGAAGATTTTTAAGCTCTGTAAGCAGCTATTGTAGAAAGCACCGTATGAGCTCCTGTCTTCAAGACCTACAATATACCAAAGAGGAAACACACCACTAATAAAAACGAATGGGCATTTACACTAAACACATTCTATTTGGGAAGAGGCCATTGACACTTAGAGCTGAAGACTGGCTCTTTAGACATTTCTCTTGAAGAACGGCAAAAAAGAGAAAGCCTATTCCAAGCAGCATAATGACCCATGTGGGAAGCAGACAGTAAATACGGAAGCCCTATAACCACATTTGCAGATAAATCAAAGGATATGGCAGGGTGTTGTCCAGGCAGCAGTAATGTGTGTATGTAGATTCATCCTATGTTGAGGCATGGTAGGTAATATGGGTCTCCTCACTGAGAGCAACAAGAAAGACAATTTTTAAAAATTTACTTGAAAGACTTTACAAAGTAAAAATTACTGAACTAAGATTTGAGAGAAGATCAAAGAGATAAAGATGACATTTGGCATTGCTTTCCACCCAGGGATTCTAAAAAAGATTACTGAGCGGCTGGGAAACTTTGATGTGTTAGAGGTACAAAAGTGAGATCAGGCACCATTATGTTTAAACCTGATAAAATCACCTTGTTTTGGGTTAAGGGAGTGGTTCTCAAGTACCAGGGACATTTGGCAATGTCTAGAGACATCTTTGATAGTCAGGACTGGGAAGGGATGCTGTTAGCATCTAGTGGGGAGAGGCCAGGGAAACTCCTAAACTTCCTACAAGGCATAGGACATCCCTTCCACAATAAACAATTATCAGACAGAAATTTCAATAGTCCTGAAATAAGGCGATACCAGATGGCTAGTGCTCTCAAGTGCCTGGAACAACAGCAGCACAATCCTTTCTGGAGGTATATAATGTCATCCTACATCTGTACAAACAAACCAATTTTTCAAATAAAATTTCTGTCACACAAGGATAAACCAGCATACAAGGAAACAACAATCATGAATGAGAATTAGTAGGAAACATGCTCAATAGAACAAAACATGCACAGGCTTGACATATTGAAGCTATCAGCTTGCAATGTTCAGGGAGAAAAAATGAAAAGATTGGAAATTTTGGCAAAGAACTGAAAACCATGAAAAGATTACAGGGCAAATTTGGGAGAAAGAAAAATTCTAGAACCAAAAAAATGCAGTAATCCCAATTAAGAATGCCCAGGATGGGCCAGGCACGGTGGCTCACGCCTGTAATTCCAGCACTTTGGGAGGCCGAGGCGGGCGGATCACGAGGTCAGGAGATCGAGACCATCCTGGCTAACACGGTGAAACCCCATCTCTACTAAAAATACAAAAAAATTAGCCGGGCGTGTTGGCAGGCATCTGTAATCCCAGCTGTTGGGGAGGCTGAGGCAGGAGAATGGCATGAACCCAGGAGGCAGAGCTTGCAGTGAGCCGAGATTGCGCCACTGCGCTCCAGACTGGGTGACAGAGCGAGACTCCATCTCAAAAAAAAAAAAAAAATGCCCAGGATAGGTGTTACAGCAAATTAGAAATAAAGTAATAGAGAATTGGTAAACTGAAAAGCAGGTCTGAAGAAACAATCTAAAATGAAACTCAAAAGAGATGAAACATTGAACAGAAGGTAAGAAATGTAGAGGATACAGTGAGAACAGAAGTAGTAAAGCTATATTAGCAGGGTTGATGGCAAAATGTTCCAAAACTAAAGCAAAGCATCAGCCAACAGATTCAGGAAGCTGCCGGAAACCCAAGCAGTATAAAGGAAAAGAAATTCACTCCTAGATGCATCTTAATTAAACTTCAGGAAAACAGAAACAAAAATAAAATCTTAAAGGCATCCAGGGAAAAAAAGACATTAAAATCAAAGAGTTGTTATACAGGTTGAGCATCCCTAATCTGAAATGCTCCAAAATCTGAAACTTTTGATCACTGATATGATGTTATATGTGGAAAATTCCACACCACCTCATGTGATGGGTTGTAGTCAAAATGCAGACGCACAACCTCAGTTTATTCAGGATTTCCAAGGGAAAACAGACCCTCCAGCCATTTAAAAATAGCCATGCAGCAGAATGCCTCCTCATTCCTGGAGGACCCACTTCCTCGTCTCTCAACTGCTTCTAATGTTTCTTCTCATCTAGAAAGGTAAAATTCAGTGTATAGTAACCTTTTCATCGAAACACACATCAAAAGTAGAGATTGAAAACTTGCCGTTCTTTGTGGTTGCTATTGTTTAAAAACTGATACAGGTATTCTGGTGACGCTACTGTGCTGCTTAGTTACCCTGAACATTATTTTTTCACTGGATTCATGGTACCTCCTAGTTTTTACTGTTGGGTACTTGTGTGAGTAAGTGTAAGAAAATGATTGCTTCTCAGTTGCATATAAATTCAGTCAGTAAAGATGGTGATGCCAAACAATGACAGATTGTCCATACAGGTGGCTGAAATAATGGCACCTGTGCTTTCTGATGGTTCAGTGTAAATAAACTTTGTTTCATGCACAAAATTATTAAAATATATACAATTACCTTCAGGCTATGTGTTTAAGGTATATATAAAACAAATGAATTTCACATTTAGACTTGGGTCTCATCCCCAAGATATCTCATTATATATGTGCAAATATTCCAAAATCCAAAAACATTTGAAATCTGAAAAACTTGTAGTCCCAAGTATTTTGGATAAGAAAAACTCAACTTATAGTAGGATGGTAGATTTAAACTCATATTTGTAATTATGTTAAAAGTAAATAAATTATATACCCCAATTAAAAGACAAATTCTGTGAGAATGGATTTCTTGGGAAGACCAAAAATCTTTACAGCTACTGATGGGATATACAAAGATTCAGAAAGGGTGAGAGTGAAAGGATAAAAAGTGTATAAATATACCATTTAAAGTTACAAAAACTAGATCATTAGCTGATTTCTCAAGTGAAAGCATGAAATTCAGAAGATAATTATATGATTTATTCAGTGTTCAAATGACACACACACAAAAGAGAAAATTTGTCACCTGAAGCCCTGCCCTAAATTGATATAGCTACATTAATATTCACTAAAGTATACTTTAAGAAAAAAAGCATTACATTAATAGGAACACTTCACATTAAGAAAAGGCTTCACTTACTCGGAAGATAAAACAATTTCATTTTTTATTTATGTAATGGCATAGTCTCTGAATATTTAATAGAAAAATAGAATTATAAGGAGAAACAGAAAAAGCCACCCAACACTGTGGGAGTAACTGACAGGTCACACGGAGAGAAATTAGAAGGAAGTAGGATCATGAACACCATGATTAATAAATCGACCTAATCTACATATATAGAACACAACACTCAACAACTCTTTAAGCACATACAAATGTTTACAAAAATTGACTATGTGTTAGATCGTAAGGCAAGTCTCAACGAATTTAAAATAACTGAAACTATAAAATATGTTCTGTGAAAGCAAAGCAATTAAAATGGAGATAAATAGCTTTTTAAACTAGAAAATTTCTACATTTATAAACAGTAAGAAACGTTCTTCTAAATGACCAGTGGGTAAAAAGAAATCGCAATGAAAATTTAAAAATATTTTGAGCTGAGAGATAATATTTTTCGTGGAAAAACTTGCGTAATAGAGCAAAATCAGTGTTTAGCAGGGAAGTTATAATCTTAAGTGTATAATTACAAAACAAGACAAAATATTAATCTCAAGAAATTAGGCATGCTATAACAAAACTACCTTAGGGGGAAAAAAGAAATTAGACAAATAACAACATGTAGAATCAAAAGAAAGGGAAGAATGAAATAATTAAAGTAGAAAACAGAATTAACACCAAAAGATGATTTTTTAAAGTCTAATAAAGTTTTTAAACCGTTGGCAAGACTAAGTCAAATGAGAGCATGAGAACGAATATCAGAAAGCAGGAACAGAAGACACCAAAAAAAATGGAAAAATATTTCATGTTCATAAAAGGGAAGAATTAATATTGTTGAAATGTCCAGACTACCCAAAGCAATCTACAGATTCAGTGAAATTCCTATCAAAATACCAATGACATTCTTCAGAGAAATAGAAAAAACAATCCTAAAATTTATACAAAACCACAAAAGACCCAGAATAGCCATAGCTATCCTAAGCAAAAAGAATAAAACTGGAGGAATATATTACCTGACTTCAAATTATACTAGAGAGCTATAGTAACCAAAACAGCATGGTACTGGCATATAAACAGACACATGAACAGTGGAACAGAATAGAGAACCCAGAAACAAATCCACACACCTACAGTGAACTCATTTTTGACAAAGGTGCCAGGATCATACACTAGGGAAAAGATAGTCTCTTCAATAAATGGTGCTGGAAAAACTGGATATCCGTAAGCAAAAGAAGCAAACTAGACCCCCATCTCCTACTACATACAAAAATCAAATCAAAATTAATGAAAGATTTAAATCTAAGGCCTCATACCATGAAACTATTACAAGAAAACTTTTGGGAAAATCTTCAGGACATTGGTCTGGGCAAAGACTTCTTGAGAATTATCCCACAAGCACAGGCAACCAAAACAAACATGGGTAAGTGAATCACATCAAGTTAAAAAGCTTCTGCCCAGCAAAGGATACAACCAACAAAGTGAAGAAACAACCCACAGGATGAGAGAAAATATTTGCAAACTACTTCTCTGACAAGGGATTAATAACCAGAATATACGAGGAGCTCAAACAACTGTATAGGAAAAAATATAATAATCTGATCCAAAAATGGGCAAATTGAACAGACATTTCTCAAAGGAAGACATACAAATGGCAAACAGGCGTATGAAAAAGGTGCTCAACATCACTGATTATCAGAGAAATGCAAATCTAAACTACAATGAGCTATTATCTCACCCAAGTTAAAATGGCTTATATCCAAAAGACAGGCAATAACAAACGCTGGCGAGGATGTGGAGAAAAGGAAACACTTGTACACTGT
Source organism: Homo sapiens (assembly GCF_000001405.40). Classification (NCBI taxonomy): domain Eukaryota; kingdom Metazoa; phylum Chordata; class Mammalia; order Primates; family Hominidae; genus Homo; species Homo sapiens. The sequence goes on along the minus strand of NC_000015.10, from coordinate 32,756,698 downwards.
TGTTGGGAATGTAAATTAGTAAAACCACTGTGGAGAACAGTTTGCAAGTTCTTTAAAAAACTAAAAATTGAGCTGCTATATGACCCAGCAACCCCACTGTTGAGTATATACCGAAAAGAAAGTAAACCAGTTTTGTTGAAGGTTTGTCTTCACTCTAGTGTTTGCTGCAGCACTGTCAGCCCTGTTTACAATAGCTAAGATTTAGAAACAACCTAATTGTCTATCAATAGATGAAGGGATAAAGAAAATGTGGTACATATACATGATGGAATACTATTCAGCTATACAAAAGGACAAGATCCAGTCATTTGCAACAACATGAATGGAATGGAGATCATTATTCCAAGTGAAATATGCCAGGCACAGAAAGACAAATATCACATGTTCTCACTTATTTGTGGGATCTAAAAATGAAATCAGTTGAACTCCTGGACATAGAGAGTAGAAGGATGGTTACCAGAGGCTCTAAGGGTAGTGTGGGGCCAGGAGGTGGGGAGGGGGTGAAGGTGGGAATGGTTCAAACAAACAAACAAAAAAAGAAATCAGGGTGAAAGAAGGGACCCATGGAACATCACTATAGAGCCTGTAGAAGATTAAAAAGATGATTTTAAAAACCTTTAACCCAACATATTTTAAAATTTAGATGAAATCGAAACATTCTTCTAAAAATATTCAATTCACCAAAACTAACAAAAAAATAGAATATCTGAATCTTTCTAAAATTATTAAACATAATCAAACTAAACCCAAAGCTTTCACTTAAAAAATTCATCAATCATTTAAGGAAGAGATTACATGAAACTTACACAAACTCTTCTCGAGAATAAAAAAGAAAGATGATCAAATAATCTTGATAATAAAATTTGATAAAGGCACATAACAAAGGAAAATTACAGGTGATTCTCAGTCATAAGCTTAGATCCAAAAATCCTAAACAAAATATTAGCAACCTGGGTTCAACTAATATATAAAAAGATGATATACCATGATTAAATTGGCTTTATAATTCCAGGAACTCAATGGTTTTGTTTAATATTGAGAAATCAAGCAATTTAATTCACCATGGTAACAGAGTAAAGAGGAAAAATTATCATCTCAATTGATGCTCCCCAAAAACATCGGATAAAATGCATCATGAATTAATAATGGAAAAATACTTTTACCAAACTAGAATAAATGCATCTGATAAATATGTATTCATAAAACAACCTAATTGAGCATTATGTTGAATGATGAAATACTGAAAGCTTCTCTTTGAGATTGAGAACAAGAGAAGAATGCTGCTATTATTATCTCTAATCACTGTTATGTTGAATGAAGATCCTAATCAGTGCAATAATCTAAGAGAAAAGATTAAAGTTGTAGAAATTAGAAAGGAAAAAATAAAACTTATTCACAGATAATATTGTATGCACACAAAATTTGAAATAATCTATAGACAAAGTGTTAGAATTAATAAGCACATAAGAGAGGTTTTGAATATAAGATAAACTATATAGTATATAAACACACACACATATATATATCTCAACAACCAACCACAAAATGTTTAAGTGCCATTTGGAATCACATATGAAGTATACACATGACTTCTACATAGAAAATTATAAATCACTATTGTGAGCAATTAAAAACCTAAACAAATAGAGGGATATAAGCATATTTATACATTGAGTATGTAGGATGTGTCTTAGTCAATTTGGGCTACTATAAGAAATTACCATAGGCTGGGTGTGGTGGCTCATGCCTATAATCCCAGCACTTTGGGAGGCCATGGCAGGTGGATTGTTTGAGCCCAGGAGTTCGAGACCAGTGTGGGCAACATGGTGAAACCCCATCTCTACAAAAAATACAAAAATTAGCTAGGCATGGTGGTGTGCACCTGTGGTCCCAGCTACTCAGGAGGCTGAGGTGAGAGGATCGCTTGAGCCTAGGAGGCAGAGGTTGCAGTAAGCCGTGATCAAACCACTGCACTCCAGCCTGGGTGACAGAGTGAGAGCCTGTCTCCAAAAAAAAGAAAGAAAGAAAAAAATTACCAAAAATGGTTTCTTAGTCTCTTTTGTGTTGCTATAATGGAATACCTGAGGCTGAGTGATTTATTTTTTAAAAAGGCTTATTTGTCTCATTGTTCTACAGGCTGTACAAGAAGCATGGCACCAGCACCTGCATCTGGCGAGAGCCTCAGGCTGTTTCCACTTATGGTGGAAGGTGAAGGGGAGAGGAAGGAAGCAAGAGGGAGAAGGGGAAGGTGCCAGGATTTTTTTTTTTTTTTTTTTTTTTGAGACAGAGTCTCACTCTGTCTCCCAGGCTGGAGTGCGGTGGTGTGATCTCGGCTCACTGCAACTCTGCCTCCCGGGTTCCAGCGATTCTCCTGCCTCAGTCTCCCTCCTGGGCTGGGACTACAGGCGGGTGCCACCACGCCCGGCTAATTTTTGTATTTTTTAGTAGAGACTAGGTTTCACCATATTGGTCAGGCTGGTCTTGAACTCCTGACCTCGTGATCCGCCTGCCTCAGCCTCCTAAACTGCTGGGATTACAGGCGTGAGCCACTGCGCCTGGCAGGTGCCAGGATCTTTTTAACAACCAGCTCTTGTGGGAACTATTAGAGCGAGAACTCACCCAGAAGGAGGGCATTAATCTACTCATGAAGGATCCATCCACATGACCCAAACACCTCCCATTAGGCCCCACCTCCTACATTGGGGATCAAATTTCAACATGATGTTTGGAAGGAACAAATATCCAAATTATATCAGATGGGGAGGCTTAAACAATAAATATTTATTTCTCACAGTTTCTGGAGTCTGGAAGTCCAAGATCAGGGAGGGGACCAGCATAGTCAGGTTCTGGTAAGGACCCTCTTTCAGGGTGCAGACAACTGACTTCTCATATTCTCAGATGGTGAAAGTACGGTGAAAGAGCTATCTGATGTATCTTTTATAAAGGCACTTACCCCATTGATGAGGGCTTCATTCTCATGACCTAATTCCCTCCCAAATCACCTTCTAAAACCATCATATTGGGGATTAGAATTTCAGCATGTGAATTTTGGGGGGCCATAAACATTCAGTCCATTTCAGGATGTTAATTCGCCCCCCAACTAATAAATAGATTCGATGCAGTTGCATATTAAAATCCCAGCAAATATCATTGTAAAACTTGACAAGCTGATTCTAATATCTGAATGTAATTGCAAAGTGTCAAGAGTAGCCAAGATGATCTTGAAGAAGAGAACAAGTTTGTCAGAAATGTGTTCTACCAGATATCATGATTTTTTTGAAACTATATAACTACTATAACAGTGTGAATTTGGTACAAGGATAGACAAATAGAATACAATAAAGACTCCCCAAACAGACCTATATATAACTATACGATCTATTACACAAATGCCACTCTAGAGAAATGCAGAAAAGCTGTTGCAATGAATAGTTCTGGGATAATGGTACATTTATATAAGAAAAAACTTGACCTCTAGCTAATATGTACGTGCAAGTATCAGTTTCCAGGTGCTTTGTAGGTCTACATGTGAAAGCAAAGGAATCAAGTTTTTTAAAGACTGTATTCATGATTTGTGAAAGGAAAATATTTTTAATTAGGACACAAAAAGTTACCAACCATAAAATTGGATAAATTTTACTACATTAAAAGTAAGAACTTCTCTCCTATTAAGGTAAAGACTGGGAGAAGCTATTTGCTACATGGTTCTGATAAAGAACTGTCATCAGAATGTATAAAGAACTCATAAATTAATAAGAAAAGACCCCAACTAATAAAAGAATCAGCAAGAAACTACACAAAAGGAGATAGCCAAATGGCCAATAAATTTTTGGAAAGATACTCAACCTCATTACTGATCAGGGAAGACCATATAAAAATCACAATGAGATTAGCCAGGCACGATGGCGGGTACCTGTAATCCCAGCTACTCGGGAGGCTGAGGCGGAAGAATTGCTTGAATCCAGGAGGCGGAGGTTGCAGTGCGCTGAGATTGTGCCATTGCACTCCAGCCTAGGCGACAGAGACTCCGTCTCCAAAAAAAAAAAAAAAAAAATCACAATGAGATTATTAGTGTGATTTAATACACACCCACTGGAATGGTTGAAATTGAAAGAACCAACAACATCCAGCGTTGGTGAAAATGTGGCACAAGAAAATCCTCTGATGCTGTTGGAGGGAGTGTAAATTGAGACAATGACTTTGGAAAACACTTGGCATTATCCATAAAGCTGAGCAAACACACACCTTATAACCTAGCAAAATTCCACTCACAGGTAAAATGCTCAATGGGAGCAGATGCACTTTGGTGCGGAGATACACATACAACAATTTTTATAACAACCTTATTCATAATAGCCAAAACTAGAAATCTCTCAAATTTCCATCAAAAATAGAATATATTTTTAAAATTATGATATACTCACAGATGAAAATGTTATACAGGAATGAGACAAGTGCAAATAACAAATGGTTGAATCTCACCAACAAGGTTGACACACAAGATAATATGCCATGCAATTCCATTTACAGAAAATTCTGACAGGTAAACTATAATGTGCAGATATGCATACCGAGGTGATAAAACAATACAGAAGAGCAAAAAAGGGACCCGTGAAAGTTAGGATAATGGGTATTTGTGAGGGAGAAGGAGATGTGATTGGGTAGGAGCATGACTGGGTACATAATTGGACAGGCCCAGTGCAAAATGAATATATAAGATTCCTTGTTCATAAATTATTAGGAATTTTAAAACAGTTTCAGTAGAACACTAACCAAGGTGTGAGGTCTGCTAAGCACAGGATCCTGTCTCATGTCCATGAAGCCCTCCTGGCTCAGTACACTCAAAGGACCTCCACCGTGCTGGCGATGTTACAAAAGTCTTTGAAAATAATTCAATAAGCTCTGCTTCATTTTGTGTCTTTTTCTGTATATATATGATAAAGCATGATAAAGAAAGGACATTTTTTAAAGGACCAAAACAAAACAAAATACAGGAGCCATATTTTATTCCAATCCAAGGAGTTTTGGAGGCTAATGCAGATCAAATTATGCGGGGAAAAAAAAGAAGGAAGAAAGGAAGGAATGAAGGAAGGAAGGAGAGAGAGAGAGAAAAAAGAAAGAAAGAGAGGAAGGAGGGAAGGAATGAAGGAAGGAAAGAAAGAAAAAGATCCTAGGGCATTGGAAGGTTGGGGTACTGTCATAGCTCTCATTTATGACTTTAGGCAAGTCGCTTGACCTTTTAGAATCTTGGTTTCTCAATCTGCCAAATGTACATTCACCTCCCTACTTCACAAAGTTATAAGAATCAAATTATATCAGTAGCACTTTAGAAAGAACAAATGTCATACCCTATAAGATAGTGGCACTGGAGAATTCTATATGCTTTAAACTTCATGTTTATATATCCCTATGCTATGTACACCAGATGATTTCAATTTACAGTGGTGTCTCCTGGTTACCTTCTTCATGTTTTGCTTTGGGCTAGGTCAAGGGATGGCAATTGAATTTCCAGGCCCCTTTGCAACCTCATGCGCATTTGAATTCCAGGATTGAAAGGCCAGACCCACATAAATTTGTTACTACGGCCATCTCTCCTGCACACAGAGTCTAAAGTAACATCCTGCTTCCTGCACACAGCACTGACACCACTCATTTCCATCTGGGTGATTGGGAGTCAGCGGGACAGCCTGTGTATTTGAACTAAGAAATCATGCTCATTCTCAGGAAGTGAATAAAAAGAGGGATTCTGGTCCTTTAGGATAAAATCCTGTAGTCCCCTGTACAATTCTTTCTCAGGCCCAAAGTTACATAAGTAATTTTGATCATGTAGTCAGAACCTGTATGGCATTCATTCCACATATTGAAAGTCTTCATTCAGATAGGATGAATTTTTCTGAAAAGCAGAAAAATATAGAGAAGAAGCAGGTAACCCCCAGGTCTGAAAGGACACCTTGAAACAGTCATTTTAAGAGACCTCTATTCAAAACATGAGCAAATCCAGCCACATCTGCACTTCCACCACTGTGTGTGAGTATATCTCCATGTAGAGTTGTTCAGATAGATTGTTGCAGGTGCTGACTTCACAGATCTTTTTTAAGTGCTTTTGCTACCATATTGTCTGTAATACCCTTGGGTATACAGATTGGGTCTTATAGTTTCTTCATATTTCTTCAAAACCTCTAGGGGAGTCCTTTGTGAGCACTAAGAAAATATCCTAGGGAGACTTGAGTGTCAGTGCAGTGAGGGTCTGTGTTTCCTCCCAAATTTATACCCACTTCAGACTATTATTTAGGCTTCTGAAGAGCCTCTCTTGGGAGCCATCCCCATCAGACTTAAAAGCTTCAGCTGTGGCCATAGTTTATATTTTAGAACCATAAAGTGGAAAGAAATGCTTTATGGCCTAATACCTGATATCCAAGGAATTGATTGAAAACTGACTGGAAAATCTGATAGATGTGTTGACACAAAGGGGCACACCGAACTCTGCTTTCATGCTGCAAAGGTGAGCTGCACCACTGGCACAGAAAAAAATAAAATCAGCCTTTGCTGTTTGTTTTTTCAGTCCTCACCTCAATGACTGCTTTCATGGCTTGTCTTTCCACTAGAAGTTCATAGGGGATTCCTGAGGAGAAGAATCAGAATTGTGCTGTAATGGCAGCATGTGTTTGCAAACGCTTCTTACAGACAAAACCTCTGGTCCTCATAGTACACAGGTGGAGAGGCAGAGTGTAGAGTGAGTCTTACTAAGTGGACAGAAGGAGGGAAGAGGCGGGGCACAGTGGCTCACGCCTGTAATCCCAACACTTTGGGAGGCCAAGATGGGCGGATCACCTGAGGTCAGGAGTTCGAGACCAGCCTGGCCGACATGGTGAAACCCTAACTATACAACTAAAAATACAAAAATTAGCCAGGTGTGGTGACAAGCGCCTGTAATCCCAGCTACTCGGGAGGCTGAGGCAGGAGAATCTCCTGAACCCAGGAAGTGGAGTTTGCAGTGAGCTGAGATCGCGCCACTGCACTCCAGCCTGGGTGAGAAGAACAAAACTACGTCTCAAAAAAAAAAGAGAGAGAGAGAGAGATAGAAGATGTCAGGAGATCTGAGTCACAGTATTGCCTTTGTCTCCAACCAGTCACAAGGCTTTCCAGTACTCGTGGACCCCTTGGGCTCGGCTTCTTCATCCTAAAGTATGAAGGACAGTGCTGCCCTGGCTCCCTTACAGTGCGGTTATTTGGCTCCAATAACATTCTGTTTGTAGAAGGACTTTTTAATTTAATAGAATGTTAGGCCAATCTGAGTTTACCTACTCTTCCAGAAGAGAAAATAGATGAAGAGAAGCCATGATTTACTCAAGGTCACATAGCTGCAGTGAAAACATGATGTATTGAGACTTGAACCCTTTCTCCTGCTACGGAACTGGTGTTCTCTAGAGCAGGCTCACATCTTGGGGCAATTGTCCGTGGTTTGATCCACTTGAGGGCAAAATCGTGGCCAAATGTTTTTACAGATTCAGTTGAATGCCTCATCAGTAGTATTCACTGAAGATTAATTAAAGGAGACTGGCACAGTGGCTCATACCCTTAATCCCAGCACTTTGGGAGAGCGAGGCAAGTGGATCGCTTGAGGCCAAGAGTTCGAGACCAGCCTAGCCAACATGGTGAAACCCCCATCTCTACTAAAAATACACAAATTAGCTGGGCGTAGTGGTGTGCACCTGTAATCCCAGCTACTCAGGAGGCTCAGGCAGGAGAATTGCTTGAACCCTGGAGATTGAGGTTGCCGTGAGCTGAGATCACACCATTGCACTCTAGACTGGGTGACAGAGTAAGACTCTGTTGCAGACAAAAAAAGGAGATTTCCAAATGCCATTTACCTTCTGTCAATGGGATGAGATTGGGTTCAGATATTTGCATCTTCACCATCAACAGAATGAATGAAATCAAACTCTTGGCCTCGTCATCTGATTGCCCGACACAGGCTGCATCAACAAGGACAGGAATAAAACTTTAACTGGGATGAAAGTCATAGAGGACTTAGAGAAGGAAGACATTCTGATTTGGTGTATTTCATTTAAATCAGATTCTTCTGCTTTACTGCTTTGCTAATAGGGTTGTTCTGCGAGGATTTTTTTTCACATATCTGGCTGGGACTTGGAGCGGGAAACTTCATTTTGAAGAACTGGAAAAAAAAAATCCTGCCCCCAAGTAAGCCAACTTTGTTTCCTTACAGAGAAATGTGCATGAGACTTTGCCTAGCACTTCTCATAAGCTACTGGTATTTTTTTGGCTTCCATTGAACCATCCCAGTTGCCTATATATAGCCCTGTCTTGTGTAAAGAATTTAAAAAGCATTAGAATGCAGAAATCAAAGAGACAATAAATTTAAAACCAATCTTATTGTCTGCAGCCTAAAGTGTTATTCAGATCAAAGGGGAGGGGACATCTGGCTTCTGGCTTGCTACAAAAGGCAGATCATGTTACCTACCAATTGCTGAATTCATCCACTCTCATTTTTGGTGTCTAGAGAACATGGCTTTTTCAGCTCCCACTTGAGGCATATTGGGTGAATCAGCCAAACCTCCCGACACTCTCAAAAAGAAACAAGCTCTACAGGATCACATAAAAATGTACTGATGAGTTTGTTCCTGTGCCTCTTTGGTCATCTGTGAGTGCTTCAAGAACCCAAAGCCACGGCCATGTTGTCGTCACATGGCCCCGTCCACTGACCCCTCCTGTATAGGCCCATCCCCCAAAGCTAGAACTTTCTGGTTTGCAAAGCTAACTTAGTTGAGGAGACACATCCGTGTTAGATTATTTGACTCTGTTTTTGCCCAAATCACAATGTGAGACTGAGTCACCAAATACGTAGTTGAAAACTTGTGTGCTTCCTTTCTCCCATTTTGGTTATAAAAACATAGATTTGTCTTACCATACATTTTTTTCTAATGGAAGCTTTGAAAGCAAGGTCAATTGTGCTCTTCGACTAGGAATTTGCTTAATGTCTGTATAAATTGTATACATGGCTGGGCACGGTGGCTCACACCTGTAGTCCTGGCCCTTTGGAAGGCCAAGATGGGCGGATCACCTGAGGTCAGGAGTTCGAGACCAAACTGGCCAACATGGTGAAACCCCATCTCTGCTAAAAATACAAAAATTAACTGGGCACCATGGGAGGCACCTGTAATCCCAGCTACTTGGGAGGCTGAGGCAGGAGAATCACTTGAACCTGGGAGGCAGAGTTTGCAGTGAGCCGAGATCGCGCCATTGCACTCCAGCCTGGGTGACAGAGCAAGACTCTGTCTCAAAACAAACAAACGAACAAAAATATAGACATGATTCAATTTAAAGGCCTTTCTTAATATCCACAACCAGAAACAGCGCACATGGCTCTGACTTCATTTGTTATAATGAACAAATCGCAAAAACGCAGGATAGGATTATTTTTTCAGACTGTTTCAGAGACAGCAATCAAAGAAGGAAGCGCCACAATTAACAATATTTTCCAATTACTCAGTACTTCCTCATTACAACGCTCACTAATTCCTCACTCCAAAAAGTCTAGAAAGGAATGCAGACAATGGCAATATGGATTCTGTATTTAGAATATCACATAGAGCTCTTGGCAGCATTCTTTGACTACTGACATGGTTCACTCATTCTCCAATATAGTGGATAAGGTTTCTATTAAAGGGCTTCACAAATTGCTATGCTGCTCAGTCCCACTTGTATATTTCCCTTCCATTGCAATTTCCTTCTACTGATTTTGGTTCTCTACTTGCCTAGGGACCTTCTGGAAACTTACAAAACAAATCAAAATTGTCTCTTTACTTACTACCTCAGCCTTTTCCTCTCCTCACCTATTTTCACCTACCTTAATCTTTCAGGGAAAACTTTCACTGCCAGCCAAAAGTTAAAAAAAGAAAAATCACCAAGAGATTTTGCATCATCCTAGACTGATCGTCTTCTCCAAAAGACATGATTCTCTTCCACAATCTTAATTCATTATTCACTAAGCATACCCTTTATTGCTGATGAAAGACTTTCATTCACAAATACAAGGAATCTCAGGTGAGAGGTAAAAATTAGTGAGGAGATCTTAATTTGATTGCAAGACAGGTTTCAGGGTAGAAGAATATTTTAGAGTCTTCAGTTCCTGGAGGGAGTTGGAATTGAGATTTTTCCATCTAGTATTTCATCACCACTAATGGCTCGTTACTTCTATTTTGAGAATAGTGTCCAGCTTCCCTTGAGTCATGGGTGAGAATTTGGTATGGATGTGGCATTCAATTGTTAACAGTGTGTCTGGAAAGGAGGTGACTAGTTAAAATGTTTAATAAAATACAAAAGAATAGACCAGCAGGGAATAAAATAGCTCTTCCAGTCTTCCTTCCAACAACTGGAACGGCAAGTTTTCGGTGTCAAGTATCAGGGCAAGAAATCCAAATAAAATATTCTTTAACACCCACCTCTATTCTGTTCCCTTTTTCCTTGACAAACAGAGCCTCTCTCTGGAGCTCAATGCCACATTCCATAAACTTTTCTGTATGCCTTCCTGCTCTCAAAAAAAAGCCAGAAGTGGGGTTGTACATATCCTCACTACTAACTACTAAAAGAAAAACTTAATGATTTTCTTAATGAGGGTGTTAACATAAAATAACCTGTGGCTCTGAAAAGACTCAAGAATGCCCCCAACCAGGCTCTGCTCATTATATCTGTGTATTTATGGTAGATACAATAGCAAAAATGTTTTGTATTCCTCCATTAGAGAGCCGGGATTTTATTTTGACAGACATATAATTCTTCTCAGATTTCTAAAAAGTGGGCCTTTTTTCTACCCCTGCCCTCTTCCATCCTTCCATAAAGTGTAATCAATAAAGCCAAATTTTGGCAGAAGAGAAAGAAAGTGAAAAGCAGAAATGAATGTCTAATAATTGAAAGCATCATGGACTCCATTATGGTTTATGGCCTTGTTCTAGGGGTCGGATGAGCACACTGTAAAGAATGTGGCACTAAATTTATTAGCATGGTTATCATCTTTCAGACAAGACATAAAGCTGAGGGGACCCACTTCTTCCATCACCTGCCATCACTATAGATCCCATGGCACCTTCTATAAGAAGAGTCGAGTTATCCTGGCCCAGATCCAGATTCAACTATTTGATGACTTATATTTCCTTTGTAGTATGCCTGGGAGACATTATGGGCTCTTCTTCTTTGAAACTCTGTCACTACCATAAGCACAGCCAAAATGGCTCCAGCGAAAGGATGTAAGAGAAAAATTCTCACATCCTAGCATGTGGATCAAGTGAACAGATTGAACAGTGTGGCCTGAAGTACGAAGCTGAGCCATGCCTGGTCTGACCCACTCCACCATGACTGCTCACGTATATCAAAAATCCTAGATTGTGAATGGGCTACATCAATGCTATACAAATTATGGGTTTTCTGAACTCCACGCATTATATCCTTCTCTCAAAAAAGTTTTGAAAAGAAAAGACAGGTAAGTTGTATTTTCTGACTTGCCCTTATTATCTTGAGACTTAATCCCCAAACATTCTCCTAAAGTATTTAAAAGAAAGCAAATCACTCATGAGGCATTAGGCAAATCATTTTATTTATCTAATTTCAGCTTGTTTACCACTAAAATAGGGGTCATTTAAATATCTATCTTGCCTTTCTCTCAAAATTAATGAGAACCAAACAAAATGATGTGTGTCAAAGTACATTTTGTTCTTATTTTAAAGCAATCTACGAAATCAAGTTTTTAACAAGTAACAAAGCAGACAATGCCAGGATTGGAGATGTGGAGAGTGAATGGGAGGAAACGGGAATGAATAGTGCAACAGCTCCTTCTGTGGCACAGAGCATTCATTTCTGTCTACAAAATGGAGCTCCGGATCTGCTGGAAGATAAGTTATCTCTGCTATATGCTAAGGTCCTGCCTCTACAGAACCAGTTTGGGTGCTTGATTGTACAGATGCAGGATAACACTGCATTGTTATCCTGCATCTGTACAATGTACAAAGAGAGTAACATTGTTTTGCTTGAGTTAAGTGACGATTTATGAATTCACTAGATTAAAAGCAATAAACAATAATATCTGAAACTTTCTTTTTTTTTTTTTTTTTTGAAGCTGAGTCTCACTCTGTCGCCCAGGCTGGAGCGCAGTGGCGTGATCTCGGCTCACTGCAAGCTCCGTCTCCCGGGTTCACGCCATTCCCCTGCCTCAGCCTCCCGAGTAGCTGGGACTTCAGGCACCTGCCACCACACCCGGCTAATTTTTTGTATTTTTAGTAGAGATAAGGTTTCACCGTGTTAGCCAGGATGGTCTCGATCTCCTGACCACGTGATCCGCCTGCCTCGGCCTCCCAAAGTCTGGGATTAACAGGTGTGAGCCACCGCGCCCAGCCCTGTCTGAAACTTTCTTAATGACTCAGATGTAGATACTGGTTAGGGCACTTTGGTTGCAAGTGATAGAAACCCAATAGAAGCTAAGCCAAAAATGGAATTTATTGATTCATGTAACTGAGAGTGTAATTAAAAAAAAAGGCCACAGATTTTTGGGTGCTTCTCCATTCAAGAGGTGAAGCCCAAATACCCTCATCTTAGATGTGGGCAAATTTAGTGACTTGCTCTAACAAATAAGATAAAGCAAAAGTAAAGGTTTGTAACTTTGGAGAGTAAGTCATGAAAGGCACTGTGCTGTCATGGCTGTCAATCCTTGCTGTCTCTTGGATTAGTCACTCTAGAGGAAGCCAGTTACTAAGTCGTGAAGAGAGGTTCACATGGTGAGGAACTGAGGAACTTGCTAATACGGTTCCTAAAAATCCTTGCAGAACTGCTAATAGGGTTGTTCTGCAAGGATTGTTTTTCACATATCTGGCTGGGACTTGGAGCGGGAAACTTCATTTTGAAGAACAACTGGGAAAAAAAAAAATCCTGCCCCCAAGTAAGCCAGCTTTGTTTCCTTACAGAGAAATGTGCATGAGGCTTTGCCTAGCACATTTGGCCTCCAACCAACAGCCACGTGAGTACACCACATTGAAAGTGCGTCTCCAGCCCCAGGCAAGCCTTTAGATAATTGCAGCCCCCTACTGACACCTTGCCTACACACTCACCAGAGATTCTGACCCAGAACCACCCAGATTAGTCACTCCTATATCTATATCAGAAATGCATGAGATAATAGATGTTTGTTGTTTTAAGCTACTAAATTTTGGCATAATTTGTTACCAAGCAATATATAAGTACTATAGGATACTTCAAAAGTTGGCTTGACTTCAGACATGGCTCAATCCAAGAAAAAAATTCATCAGGATATCCTCTTCCCTTTACAGCTCTGATTTTCTGTGAATGGAGGCTTCATCCTTCAGATAGTTTCATCCATATACCTGGGAAAGGTGGCTGCCAGCAGATATTGGCCTACAGGCTTATTATATATAACTTGTCATCCTAGAGAAAGAAAAAAATCTTTCTTCCAGCCTCTATATTCAAATCTTAAGGAATATATTATGGGCTTTCTTTGAGCTTCAAGTCCATTTCTAAAACCAATCATGGTGGCCAAATGGAATGAGCATTCTGATTTGCCAAAGTGGTCTCATGTCACCCCGTGTCTTCTGTTCCATAGATTGCCTTTTCATTCAGTTGGTCGTTTGCTGTGCAGAAACATTTTAATTTGAGGTAGTCCCATTTGTCTATTTTTGTTTTTATTACCTGTGCTTTTGTTGTTATGTACATGAAATCATTGCCAAGGGCAATGTCATGAAACTTTCTCTTCTGTTTACTTCTAGGAGTTTTACTGTTTCAAGTCTTACATTTAAATAATCCATTTTGAGTTGATTTTTGGTATAAGATAGGGTCCAATTTTATTCTTTTGCATGTGGATATTCAGTTTTCCCAACACCATTTGTTGAAGAGATTATCATTTCTCCCACTGAGTATGCTTGGCACCATTGCCAAATGTCAGTTGACTGTATATTCACGGATTTGTTGCTGAGCTCTCTATTCTGTTCTATTGGTCTGTGTGTTTGTCTTTATGCTGGTAACATACTGTTTTGATTACTGTACCTTTGCAGGATATTTTGAAATCAGGAAGTATAATGCCTCCAGCTTTGTTCTTCTTTTTCAAGATTGATTTGTTTATTCATTGTCTTTTGTGGCTTCAGATGAATTTTAGAATTATTCTATTTCTGTAAATAAAAATGCCACTGGGATTTTTGATGGGGATTGCATGAATCTATAGATCACTTTGGGTAATATGGGCATTTTAAGAATATTAAGTCTTACAACCCATGAATACATGATGACTAAATCATGAAGAAATACAAAGACTGGACAGACCTATGACTAGCGTAAAGATTGAACAAGTAATCAAAAAACTCCCAGTAAAGAAAATCCCAGGACCAAATAATTTCACTAGTGAATTCAACCAAACATTTAACAAAACTAATGCCAATTATTCTCAAACTCTTCCAAAAAAATCAAAGAAGAGAGAACACTTTCTAACTTATTTTATGAAGCCAGAATTACCTTTATACTAAAGCCGGACAAAGACACCACAAGAAAAGAAAATTACAGCCCAATATCCTTGATGAATATATAGATGCAAAAATCCTCAACAAAATACTGGCAAACCAAATTTAACATTATATTAAAAGGATCAAAGACTATGACAAAGTGGGATTTATTCCTAGGATGCAAGTATGCTTCAAGATATGAAAATTAGTTAATGTGATAATCCATTAACAGAATAAAGGATAAAAATTACATAATCATTTGATGGATGTAAAAAAGGTTTTGACAAAATTTAACACACTTTCATGAGAAAAACATTCAATAAACTAAGAATAGAGGAAAAGTACCTCAACCTAATAAAGGTCATATATATTTTTAAAAACCCATAACTAACATTATACCGAATAATGGAAAACTGAAATGTTTTTCTTTAAGACCAGAAACAAGGCATACATGCCCACTCTCATCACTTCTATTCAATTTAGTGCTGGAAGTCCTAGCTAAAGCAATTAGGCAAGAAAAATAAATAAAAGACGCTCACGTTGAAAACAAAGGGTAAAATTGTTGCTGTTTGCAGATGACATAATCTTATACATAGAAAACCCTAAAGACTCCATCAAAAAACTGTTAGAACTAATAAATTCAGTAAAGTTGGAGGATACAAAATCAACATACAAAAATCAATGGCATTTCTATACCAACGATGAACTATCTTAAACAAAAATTAGGAAAACAATGCTATTTGTAATAGCAGCAAAAAAAAAAAAGACCCTGGAATAAACTAAGAAAGTGAAAGGTCTGCATACTGAAGACTACAGTACTTTGATCTGTTACTGTTCCCCAATATCATAAAAACAAGGCTTAGATACTGTTTACTAAAGGATTTTATTATCTCCTATATTTATAGCTGAAATCACTTTCTCTGTTCTGTTCCCCTTATTTGTCACTAAACAATGTAGCATGAATCTGTTGGAATGAGCTTCCTTGCCTTCCAGACCATTCACTTTAAATATATCAATCCTCACCCCTTAAGTATAGACATTTATTACTACACCACAGTGAACAAAAAACATTAAATGTGGAAAAGGCTTTTAAGTAGATATTTGTTATTTTTGACTCCTTGTATCTCTTTTCCTTACAACTATTTTTTTTCAACTACTTTCCCCCTATCCCATGTGGTGCCATCCAGTCTTCTTATCACCATGCTTTTCATCTCCTGTTTCCTTTCTAGGCACAGGGGTAACATGAGACCACACTGGCAAATCAGAATGCTCATTCCGTTTGGCCACCATGATTGATTTTAGAAATGAACTTGAAACTCAAGCTAAGTCCATAAGAATTTTCCTTAAGATTTGAATATGGAGGCTGGGAGAAAGATATTTTTCTTTCTCTAGGATGACAACTTATAATATGCCTGTAGGCTTTGGGATCACTTTTTTATGACCTTTGGGCTTCTTGGATCAGAATGTTCATTTTCTTCCTCATATTTGGGAAGTGTTCAGCCATTATTTCTTTGAATACGTTCTCAGTTCTTTTCTCTCTTTTATTCTGTGATGCCAATAATGAGTATATTGTTCAGCTTGATGTTGCCCATAAGACCCTTGGGCTTTTTTTCACTCTTTTTCATTTTAATTTCTCCTCTAACTGAATTATTTCCAATGACCTGTCTTCAAGTTCATTGATTCTTTCTTCTGATTAATCTTGTCTCCTGTTGATGTCCTGTCATAAATTTTTTCAGTTCAGTTGTTGTGTTCTTCAGTTCCATTTCTTTTTGGTACTTTTAAATATACTCTATCTCTTTGTCAAAATTCTTAACTTTTTTCATGCATTGTTCTCTTGACTCTGGTGAGAATCTTTATGAGAGCTATTCTGAATTCTCTGTCAGGTAAATCACATAAGTTTATTTCATTAGCTCAGTTTCCAGAGATTTATCTTGTTCTTTGGTTTGGAACATCTTCGTATGATTATTCATTTTCCTTGACTCTTTGTGTTGGTGTCTGCACATTAGACAAAGCAGTCACCTGTCCCAGTCCTCACAGCTGGGCCTCAGAGGAGAAGACCCCCACCAATAAGTCTGCCCAGTGATTTGGGGGCCTTTAACAAATCATTCCTTCTCCAGGGAAATGTAGGTAGCCATGATTTTTGTCCTGTCTGTGCTGAGCCAGGAGGTGAGGCAGTAGAGGGCAGGGTGCCATGTCATCTACTGGTCTAAACCTCTGTCTCTGTCCTTCCCCAGGTAGCTAGATAGTACCAATTCTGTCAGAGCTCCAAGACTGACAAGATAGAAGCCAGTCCTCTGGGAATCTCCTCAGAAAAGTTGGAGGTCTTGGATATGTGAACCAACTCCTCTCACCTGGGAGAAACTGAGTGCTAGGGAGTCTCTTGCTGACTACATGGCACTGTGCTGGGGTTAGGGATTCGGACAAGGTGGTATCTCAAATCTCTCTACCAGCTTTGGTGAGTCTGGTTTTTGCATTTGCTGGGAGTGCAGGAGCCTTTTAGTTTCTGGATTCCTCACAAAGGAATTTAGCCATGAATTTTTGCAGAATAGATGTGTTTGTGGATTGAAGAAGGGTCCAGCATTTGCTAATACAACATCTTGCTGATGTCACCTGCCCCATTATCCAATTATTTTAAACTTCTGCTCAGTAAACTTGTTGGTGCCAGAGGAAGAAGCAAACATTTATAATCCCCTAGGTGGTAATCACTATCAGGATTATAGAAAAAGGTTTAGGGCTGCTGCCTTAATTCAGGCCTTATCTTTTCTCATTTAAACTGTTTGCAACCAGACTAAGGTGTTGAGTTTAGGAATGCACACTTCAGTGATGAAACTATAAATATAAACAAGGAGGTAATTGCTTTAAGCTTTAGGAGAATTATAACTGTAGTGGTACAGAAAAAGATTAAAATTGAGGTGGGGTATAAGGAGAGTTTCTGTGAAGCATGGAAAAATTTCTTCCCCTAATGGTAATTACAGGGGTATTTGCCTTACAACAATTCTTTCAGGGTAGCAGTTCTTTTGTAAATTCCTTAGGATTTCTACATACAATATTATGTCATCTGAAAATTGAAATTATTTTATTTCTTTTCTAATCTGGATGACTTCTTTTTCCTTTTTTTGCCTAATTGCCCTAGCTAGAACCTCCAGAACAATATTGAATAAAAATAGTGACAGCAGATATCCTGTTAGTTCCTGTATGGGGAAAGCTTTCAGTATTTTTGTTGTTTGTTTTGTTTTTGAGACAGAGACTTACTCTGTCATGTAGGCTGGAGTGCAGTGGTACAATCTTCTGGGCTCAAGTGATCCTCATGCCTCAGCCTCCTAAGTAGCTGGGACAACAGGTGCATGTTACCACACCTGGCTAATTCCTTTTTAAATTTTTAGTAGAGACAAGGTCTCACTATATCGTCCAGGCTGGTCTCAAACTCCTGTGCTCAAGTGATCCTTCTGCCTCAACTTCCCAAAGTGCTGGGATTATGGGCATGAACCACCATGCCCAGCCTGGTGTATGTTATGAAACCAGGAAGTGTGAGTTCTCCAACTTTTTAAAATCTTTTTTAAGATTATTTTGGCTATTGTGGATCCCTTTCAATTTCTTATGAATTTTAGGATTAACTTGTCAATTTCTTAAGCCACCTGGGATTTTGATAAGAATTGTATTGAATCTGTAGAGCAATGTTAATTTTTTTCATCCATGAACACAGGTTTTATTTCCATCTATTTTGATGATTTTAAATTTTTTAACAATGTTTTATTGTTTTCAATGTACCAGTCTTGCACTTCCTGTTACATTTTTTCTATGTATTTTATTCTTTTTGATACTATTCAAAGGGTGCTATTTTCTTAATTTTATTTTCAGATTTTTCATTACAAGTGTGTAGAATACAATTTATATCTGTATGTTGATCTTGTATCCTGCAACCTTGCTGAAATCATGTATTAGCTCTAATAGTTCTTTTGTAAATTCCTTAGGATTTCTACATACAATATTATGTCATCTTAAAATTGAAATCATTTTATTTCTTTTCCAATCTGGATGACTTTTTTCTTTTCTTTTTTTTTTTTTTTTTTTTTTTTTTTTTTTTTTTTTTTTTTTTTTTTTTGCCTAATTACCCTAGGTAGAACCTCCAGTATAATATTGAATAAAAATAGTGACAGCAGATATCCTGTTAGTTCCTCTTGGGGGAAAGCTTTCAGTCTTTCACCTTTAAGTATGATGTTAGCTGTGGGTTTTTCTTTTCTTTTTTTTTTTTTTTTTGAGACAGAGTTTTGTTCTTGTTGCCCAGGCTGGAGTACAATGGCGTGATCTCGGCTCACCAGAACCTCCACCTCCTGGGTTCAACCGATTCTCCTGCCTCAGCCTCCCAAGCAGCTGGGATTACAGGCATTTGCCACCACGCCGGGCTAATTTTTTGTATTTTTAGTAGATACAGGGTTTCTCCATGTTGGTCAGGTTGGTCTCGAACTCCTGACCTCAGGTGATCCGCCTGGCTCAGCCTCCCAAAGTGCTGGGATTACAGGCTTGAGCCACCATACCCGGCCAGCTGTGGGTTTTTCATAGATGCCATGTGTGAGGTTGAAGAAGTTCCCTTCTCTTCCTAGTGTGTTGAGTGATTTTATTACAAAGGGGTGTTGAATTTTGCCAAATGATTTTTCTGCGTGTATCGAGATGATTGTGTGGTTTCTGTCTTTATTCTATTAATATGATGCATTACACTGATGGTTAAATCAATCTTGCATTCCTGGGGCAAATCCCACTTGGTCAAGGTATATAATCCTTTCCATATGTTGTTGGACCCAGTTATCTAGCATTTTGTTGAATTTTTTTGCATTTACACTTAAAAGAGATATTGGTCTATGGTTTTATTTTTGATGTATTTGTCAGAATTTGGTATCAAGGTAATACTAGTTATAGAAAATAAGGTGGAAAGTGTTTCCTCCTCTTCCATTTCTGGAAGAGTTTGTGAAGAATTTGTACCAATTCTTCTTTAAATATTTGCTAACATTAATCAGTTAAGACATCCTAAATTGGGCTTTTCTTTCTGGGAAGTTATTTGATTGCTTATTTAATCTCTTTACTTGTGATAGCTCTATTCAGATTTTTATTTTTTCTTGAATCAGTTTCAGTAGTTTGTTTATTTATAGGTGTGGTGGACATCTGCATAAACAAGATGAAATGTCACCAAAATTTGGTTTAGATGCTGAGACTGATGATGTTACACACACCCCAAGAGAGTATGAAACATTTATTACTCACATGAGGCTTTTTGTGGAGAGCAGCTCACGTCTCCTAACCTGGTCTGAAAATGACTTGAGAGAGCCAGGAAAGGAGACTGGTTTGGGCTTTTTATGATGTTTAGAAAGTATGACTTGGATGAGGATTCCCACATGCAGGCAGGGCCATGCATGGTTTGATCGTACTGTCATTTCCCCAGGGTTTGTTGTTGTTTCTTTGTTTAATGACTTTTCTGAACTAATTCTGTAAAGTCTGTATTTTTTGTTGTGTGTGGACACTGAAGTCTCTGCTTGGTTAGTAGTCATCTAATAGTTGTACACGGATTTCCTCAAACACTTGGAATCAATAATTCAACCAGTCTCTGCCAAGGAGCTCTGTGTGAATGCTGAGGCACACTCAACACTCCGCCATGCAATTGACAACTCTGCATTCCCTTTACTTATGGCTTGTGCAGAGCCTCAAGATCAGCTTGAAGTGAGAGCTTAAGGCTTTCTTGGGTTTTTCCTGAGCATCTGCACAGTCCTGGGCATGGATGGAGTCCTATTTATGCATTTGGCAGTCTAGATTGCCAATAACACTTTGGAGCTTTTCAAAGTCCCTATGAAAATCTCTTTTTCCAGCTTCTCCTTTTAGGCTTTTTATTTAGCCAATTGCTTTCCCCAACTGTTATACATTACCCCAGGCAGCCACAAAGAGAATCAATTGCCTCTAGTTGTTTTGACAAAGTTTTTTACCCTGGGAAGCTTCCAGTCAGGTCAAATATAGCCTTGCAAGTGGAGCTTCCAGGGCCTGCCAAACAGGTCAAATAGTGACAATTGTCTAGGAATGGGACTTTGAAAGAACTCCAACTCCATTCTGTCACCTTCAGTGGCTGCCAGACTGCTGATTTTCATGGTAATTGCAGGCTGTTGGTTTCAAAGCTATTGTGGAGCTGGAGAGGGGGAGATGAGAGTAGTGCAAGTTACAATATCACAGTGCTCACAGAGATTTAGTCTTTTTCTTGAATAAATGCTCTGCAAATTGCTATACATCTTCAGTTAATTTCCAGAGCTATAAGAAGTTGAATCTATTTTTGTCACATTCTCATTAGTTTTATGGAGGAGAGACTCTTTGGGGGACCAGGGAATCTCAAGCATTGTTGCTGACATCCTCCCACATTCTTCTTTTTTTTTTTTTTCTTAAGCTTGAAATGCTCTTCCGTGTCAAGTCCCACTCACACCTTTCAGGCCTTGTATTTTTCTAATGGGTGTGGCTTTTCTGAGAACACTTTCTCCTTGGTACTTGCTTCCATTCTCCCCCTCCAAGTCCAAGAAGGCCATGACAAAAAGAGAGGTGGCCAAGAGGCTTTGACTGAATGCTTCAGATCTTGGGTTCCTGATGATGCAGCTATAATCTCAGGGTGGCCTTAATCGCTAGATGTGAACAATCTAGTTAGATCTATTTTTAGAGTGCTGTGTTATGTTCTTAAAAGAACAAACCGATAAAAGTTGCTCACAGTTTTGCATAATGTTTAAGGACCCAGTGCCACAGTAAGACCATATAAGTTCACTGCTTTCTAGCAGTGATAATGGTACCTACCTCACTGAGCTACCGTGAAGATTGAGTGAGAAACAATTCAAAGAAAATCCTTAGCACAGTGTCTGGTGTAACCATCCCATACATAGCTGCTGGGATTTTCATTATCATCAGAGCACCCATACCTAATAGAAATCTTGTATTATATATCTAAGTAGAAAGGGACCTCAGAAATTGACAAGTTCACAATTGCACACCAAGGGCAGTGACTTACTCTACTTCACATCCCTATTAAATGATATCTAGCCTGTGGTTTAATATTTCCAAGGACAGGAGTTCACTATCTTTTAAAGGTACCTCATGGTATTGCCAATCACTCTTACCACTAGGAAGCTTTTCCTTCTACTGAGCCCCAAATCTTTCTCCTGCTTTTCCCCTGGAACACCCTGAAATGAAGATATTATCATTTCTGTGTGATGGTCCTTCCATCTCAGGGCCTCCCTTATAACACTCTATAGTTCTTCTTTCTAGTTGTGCTCTAGGGAAGAGGCTGGTACTTCCGATTGCAGACCAGCTCTCCCTTGCCACAACCTGAAGTGTCCTACGGAAATCAAGCAGGGTCTGAAAGGCCTAGGCAAAAGGAATAAATTCCACCAAAGATCACAGGCTATCCAATTCTCTTTTCTACCTCCCTTCCCATGATAAGTGCATCCCTGCTCCACCTCTGCCCTAGGAACACTACCAAACACAAACGCACGCTCACACACACAGAAAGAATAGGTTTAATTTATTAGTTGCTCTTTAGCAAAGGCTATATAGAACATTATTGGGGTGAAAATTAAATTCTAGTTACAGATTCATGAAACTTGAAGCCAAATTAGTTTTATGAGACTATCAACTCCCCTTTCATCCTCCTACACAGCAAGGTACCTCATAGTCTATATAATTCTTTGCCGTTTTTAAATGATTTAAGCAGACATAATACATAATGCAGTTGATATTAAATATCTTGAGGAATGTCAATAGAACTACTTTCACTCTTAGGCATTAACTGATCACTTATAAATGTTCTGTTTATCCACTTTTCATTTTAGATTTTCTCCTTAAAAGGACTTTATGTGTGAACTAGTCATCATTATCTGCTATTCGTTTGTATACATGCATCGTAAGTCTTCCAAAATAACATTTAAAGTCTTTCTTAATATTGCTTTAGAAATGTTAACCTTTAAGGAACATTCAATTTAAAAAATAAAGATTCAGGCACTGACTCAGGAAGACATGTTCAGCTGGGTCAAGATTTTGTTTCCCCTGACCAGATAAAAGACTCTAACAACATACGGTGTGTCAGCTTCTTCTTTGCCCAACTCAGAGAAAGTCATATAAAGGAGAAAAAGAAAACATGCTTGAAATCACAGTGACCAAAGGATTTGAAGTAATAATTACATTAAATAACCATAACTTTTCATTTAACTATTCACATTCCACACAGTGGAAATTATCCTCTCCTCCAGATTTTTCACTTACACTCTTAACTTTGAAGACCTACAGTAACAAAAAACAACTTACAGACTTCCAGGATGTGTGTTTTTTTCTTTTAATGCCAAGCACAAAGTGTACATCATAAAATTCATATTTGGTGTTTGGCATTATTTTAATAGGTATGATCAAGACCACAAATATCTTGCCATAAAAATATTCTACTATAATAATGAAAAAATATATCATTACATCATCAGTGACTCGAATAAAATATGGTATAGATATGGCATTTTCAATGAAAGTTGGAAGACACACCACATTTGTACTAGTCTTAATATAGGCACAGTAAGAAGAACAGATATTTCCCTCTTTGGCTAGTGATATGCTTTTAGGGTAGTTACGCTGCTGATTATCCCAGTGAAGTTAGTGTTGAGGAAATTCTCTTTACTTGAGCCAAATCTGCACTTATGTGCAAGACTGTGGTACAAGCTCCTAAAAGAAGATTACTGCTGCCAACTTAAGTCATCTCCGTTAACGAAATTGCATTCTTGTGGCAGAGTTAAAACAACAAGAGAAATTCAGTGTTTGCTGGTTCTGAATGTCATTTTTCCTCCCTGGTGTGGTTTTACATTTTCAGCTTCTTTCCCTTTTCTTCTCTCCCACCCTCAAAATTCTGCCTTAGCATTTGTGTGCTTAATTAAATCCACTCTGTGCTTTATTGTTGGAGAATGTGGACAATACAAAGATTTGGGGTGGGGTCATACAGTGTATACAAAACACACACACTATGTGTTTGGACAAATTCGCCTAGCGTGAGAATCATCAGTAGTGAGTTTAAAAGTTTGAAAATCAGACCCAACATTTTGGGTGTTTAAAATATCTCCCGCCTTGAAATGGCTCCTGTTTAGTTGTTAGATGGGAGAGCACTGGATCAAAACAAAAACGAAATAAAAACAGCTTCTCGAGTTGCAAGGGTTCTCTGAATGCCAGAGCCTTGATCGGCAACTGAATCTCAAGTCTGCAGTGTTTGTTTTCCATATTACATAGGACTTGGCTAGGAGGCTGAGAAGATACAAGGCAAAAAGAGTATTCAGGGAGTTTGTATATAAAACCTCAGGCTTGAAGAAAACAGGTTAACCAAATCCAAAGTACAATAAAGTTCACCCACCCTGCACTTTGGCCCTTAGATCAATCCTAAGTAGCCATTGCCAGTAGGCCAAGTTTAATCAGAGGACAGTGCCTACCAGTAAATACTGAATAGTTACAATAGTTATGTCCATCCAACCAGTAGCAGATGAACAGCTAATACATCATGATGCTATGCTCTCCTAACAGGGTCCCCTCAGATCCTCAGTGAGCACATAAAGAAAGGGAGGTCATATCCCTTACATCTCTACCAGGTATTAACACCTAACTACTCTCTAGCCAGAGGCAATTCCCTTTATTTCCTTACTCTCGTCGTCTTCTCTTTAGCCCAATCTCCTGACAATAGTTAAAACAAAAAGACCCCCAAAATATCTCTTGCTAAAACAGAGTAGTCCCTAAACTCTCTCATCTTAGACTACTGTCAGGTACACTCAGCAGAGGCAGGATCTTTATCAATCAAGTTAGTGGCTCTCAGAAGCATTATGGGAAATAGTGGAATGGAAATGAGCTGACTATAACCACGATAAAGGAAAGGTATTAGGAATTTCAGCCTCTGAGGTTTTTGATTAATTCCCACCCCTATGCAGAGAGTTCTAAACTACCTCTCTTTTCCACCTGAGGGACAAAGCAGAGGAGTTGGTTTGGTTTAGCTAACTTGCTTGGGTCCGAACATAGGAGTGGTCAGTATTTATGTTTTCAGTTTGGTGTTAGGTTTGAGCAGATTGCAACGGCCAAAGTTAATCACTTTCTGGCAATCTCATTTCTCCTCTGTTCACTTGGGTTCTGTTAAATACTAGGAAAAGACTTTCTCAGAAGCATCAGCCTGTGTTCTGGTATTGGCCTTTCAAGCTTCTGCAATGTCCCTACTGACTTTTGCTGGACCTGATTTGGCCTCACCCTCCACCCTCCCTTTCTCACTCCACTATCCTGCTTGTCCTTGCCCACACCAGCCTCTCCCAGAGTCTGGAGGGTCTTCACAAAATGAAAAACATTTGCATCATGGTTAAGTGAATTAATTTAGGAACCTTGGCAAACAAGAGATTAGACTGACATAGTCACTATCAACTTAAGAAGAGATGGATTGTGAGGAGGAGGAGGAAAGGAGGATGCAAGCACAGGTTAAAAGGACTTTTCCATGTCGAATGCAGCACTAAAACAGGTCTCTTGCCCTCAGAGGAGCCTCTTCCATGAACATTCATTCCGAAAGGAGATTCTGGTCCCCAGGAGGGCACAAAAACACAAAGTCAGAACCAGACCACGGCCCCGCCCCTTTAGATGTGAGCCGGGGTGAGGTGGGTTTCTGGTACATCCCCATTAAAGCAGATATGTTTACAAAATAGGGAGTGCTCTCTAGCAGAGACTGTGTTTTCTCTGGTGTCTAAAAACACCCACAGGCACCCATCCACACTCATGCACACGAACTACGCACAAGCAGGCTCCTGCCAGGAGGCAGCTGGGGGTTCTTCTGGCCTCTAGGTTTAAGCCAAGTAAGAATCTGGTTGTTTTAGGTCTGGGACTTCCTGGGGCTGCATTCCTAGGACATGCTGGGTGCACCTGGATTTGGCTTAATCCAAATCGATGGATATGCAACGACACTGCTTCACACGTGTGACTCTCTTCTTCTTGGTAGGTGGCTGTAGTTCAGGGCAGTTGAGTGTGACCATCATGGTAGTGAATTTCTTGGGCTTGCAGAAGGAGCAGGACTGAAAGGAACCTTCCTCCTTCCGGATGTGCCTGGGGATGTAGAAAGAGTTGCACTGGCCGTAACAGAAGCGGTTGATGATGGTGCGACTGTTGCAGCCTTCCTCGTGGATGGTCTGCTTAAGCGGCTGGGTTTTGCACCAGTCTCGCTTCAGGTATTTGCGCTCCGTCACATGCAGGGCCTCTTGGCTGGACTCCAGCACCTCCTCCCCGGGCATGGCAGTGCCCCGCCCTTGGCCCCGCCCCCGGTTCCTGGAGCCAGGCTGCTGGGGCGACTGAGTCTGCTCTGAGTCATTGTGCTGGGCCTTGTCTGGCGGGGGGATGGCACCTTGGGACCCTTTCTTTTTCCCTTCAGCAGCCGGCAGCAGGGTCCCCAAGAGGAGAAGCAGGGCTCCCACCGTGTAGGCTGTGCGGCTCATACTAAAGAAAGGAAGCACAGAGAGGGGAAGACACAAAACATGGCAAAGTTAATTTAAAAATTAATAATAATAGCACCTAGCATTTAAACGCACCGTTAAACACTTAACGTGAAATATTCCATTTACTTCTCACAGTACCTGTATGAATTAGGTACTATTATCTCCATGACCCAGCCATCAATCCATGGAGTAACTCACCCAGAGTCCCACAGTGACTAAGTCAAGGTTTAAACTCAGCCAGGGCCTAGCTCTTCTCTGCACCTATTCTCACAAGAACTTCTTCCTGGCCTCTGGCACCAACCACATTTGTCTTTGTATTACGTTCACTTATTGAGGGGAACTTATTTTCTATTTTGTTTTACAGCAAGATGAATTAACCTCTCTGCTCAGAGGACTTCATTCCTCCGGAAACCTCCCAGTCTTTTCTCCCCAACTAGCCTGAGGCTTCCTGAGCTGTGAATGCTTATGAGACTTTGCATTTTTATCATATGTGGAAGGAGAGATTCATGGAGACCAGAAGGCATTTGACAGAGGGAAAACAACAAAACAGGAAAGGTCGCGCTCCTGGTGCAGTAACTTGCTATCTGATCTTAAAGATGTCACTTTGTCTCTCAGTAAATCACTCCATTTAAGCAAAGATACCAATACTTCGTCTCCCCAGGTACGCTGTTCAGATCCAACTCGATGTCAATGTGACAGCAATTGGAGAACTAACCAAATGTGTGGCAGTACTGCAGATGGAATGAAAGACAGTAGCGTGTAGGTGACGTGACTCATGAGGCTTCACCTCTCACTTATTCTCATCTTGAAACTGGGCACAGATACTCAATGTATCACTTTGTACCACGATATACATTTTTCTACCTTTTAAATAGTGAAATATGTCATTCACATGTGTCTGTGTATATACAATTTAAAAGGTAGAAAAATGGGCATGATAGAACAAGTATGTGCAAATATTTACATTAATAAATGGCATGGGCATGCTGAATAAATTAGTGGCAATGGATTAGTGGATGGGTCAGAAGCTAGATATGGGTCTGAAAGGGCAGTGATATGTGAACAATGGCAAAAAATAACAAGGAGGTGAGGTGAGGGAAAACCGACAAAAAATAGGAAACCATAGACAGAGAGAGAAAAGAATGAATGAAGTGAAGAATGCAATTCAGAGAAAGGGGAACTCTTCTACAAGTTGAATGTTCAGGGGAGGTAGTAAAGGCAGACAGAAAAGGCGGAAGAAGAGGGAAAGGTGGAGAAGGAGCAGCATATTTTTAAAAAGGAGAGTGCAAGAGAGAAGCCTCAGACAGACTAAAAAGATTTTCCTCCTGGGACAGTGCTTCTTAGACTTGAAAGTGCAGACAATTGGCCGGGCGCAGTGGCTCACGCCTGTAATCCCAGCACTTTGGGAGGCCCAGATGGGCGGCGGATCACGAGGTCAGGAGATCGAGACCATCCTGGCTAACACGGTGAAACCCCATCTCTACTAAAAATACAAAAAAATTAGCCGGGCGTAGTGGCGGGCGCCTGTAGTGCCAGCTACTCGGGAGTCTAAGGCAGGAGAATGGCGTGAACCCGGGAGTCAGAGCTTGCAGTGAGCCGAGATCGCGCCACTGCACTCCAGCCTGGGTGACTGAGCGAGACTCTGTCTCAAAAAAAAGAAGAAAGAAAGAAAGAAAAAAAAAAAGAAAGTGCAGACAATATCTGGGGATATTGTTAAGATGCAGATTATGATTCAGCAGGTCTGCCTTTTTATTAAGCTTTGAGTAGCAAGGCCTATAAGCACTTGCTGCCATGGGGCACGGAGAGAATTATTAAAGTGTGGAGGGATTTTCTTTTCAATGGATGCAGTTTCAAATTCACAGTCTCCCTCCTGCGGCCATCACAACAATCGGACCTGAATCCTGAAGGTTCTCCTGTCCCACTCCTGTGGTTTTCTGAACCTAAGAACACAGCTGTGTAGCAAACATTTTCCTTCTCTCTTTGGAATACCAGTATTACACATAATAACCACTAAGTGCAACTTAACAGTAACATTATTTCTCCCACCAAAACTGGACAGGTTGGTATTATTAGAGCAACTACCTTGCGCAAAGGCAGTGTAGGATCTAGATTTTCTAATGAACAGCACATGGTAAGTAAACACCATTCAACTCTAGGATAATGTCAAATTAAAATAATTAAATATTGAATTTAAGATATCTTTAAATGGCACCATCTTTCCAACATTAACCTAGTACTTTTAGACCATTATAAGTTCGGAGCTGATAATGTGACATTCAGCTTCTGCTCCAACTGTAGGTTTCCCACCTTTGGTCAGTGTATGTTACAACATCCCTGCTCTTTATGCAGAGCTTTTGTTTTACCCCAACAACAAAAAAATTACTTTACTTTGTCTTTTAAAAAAAAGCACTTATACTATACCATGCTGTTTTTGTTACTGTAGCCTTGTAGTATAGTTTGAAGTCAGGTAGCATGATGCTTCCAGCTTTTTTCTTTTTGCTTAGGATCGTCTTGGCTATACCGGCTCTTTTTTCAGTTCCATATGAAATTTAAAGTAGTTTTTTTCTAATTCTGTGAAGGAAGTCAGTGGTAGCTTGATGGGGATGGCATTGAATCTATAAATTGTTTTGGGCAGTATGGCCATTTTCATAATATTGATTCTTCCTATCCATGAGCATGGAATGTTTTTCCATTTGTTTGTGTCCTCTCTTATTACCTTGAGCAGTGGTCTGTAGTTCTCCTTGAAGAGGTCCTTCACATCCCTTGTAAGTTGGATTCCTAGGTATTTTATTCTTTGTAGCACTTGTGAATGGGAGTTCACTCATGATTTGGCTGTTTGTCTATTATTGGTGTATAGGAATGCTTGTGATTTTTGCACATTGATTTTGTATCCTGAGACTTTGCTGAAGTTGCTTATCAGCTTAAGGAGATTTTGGGCTGAGATGATGGGGTTTTCTAAATATACAATCATGTCATCTGCAAACAGAGACAATTTGACTTCCTCTCTTCCTATTTGAATACCCTTTATTTATTTGTCTTGCCTGCTTGCCCTGGCCAGAACTTCCAATAGTATGTTGAATAGGAGTGGTGAGAGAAGTCATCCTTGTGGCGGTTTTCAAAGGGAATGCTTCCAGCTTTTGCCCATTCAGTATGATACTGGCTGTGGGTTTGTCATAAATAACTCTTATTATTTTGAGATATGTTTCATCAATACCTAGTTTATTGAGAGTTCTTAGCATTGAAGGGGTGTTGAATTTTATCGAAGGCCTTTTCTGCATCTATTGAGATAATCATGTGGTTTTTGTCATTGGTTCTGTGTATGTGATTGATTACGTTTATTGATTTGCGTATGTTGAACCAGCCTTGCATCCCAGGGATGAAGCCAACTTGATCATGGCAGGTAAGCTTTTTGATGTGCTGCCAGTATTTTATTGAGGATTTTCACATCAATGTTCATCAGGGATATTGGCCTGAATTTCCTTTTTTATGTTGTGTCTCTGCCAGGTTTTGGTATCAGGATGATGCTGGCCTCATAAAATGAGTTAGGGAGGAGTCCTTCTTTTTCTATTGTTTGGAATAGTTTCAGAAGGAATGGTACTAGCTCCTCTTTGTACCTCTGGTAGACTTCGGCTGTGAATCTGTCTGGTCCTGGGCTTTTTTTGGTTGGTAGGCTACTAATTACTGCCTCAATTTCAGAACTTGCTATTGGTCTATTCAGGGATTCAACTTCTTCCTGGTTTAGTCTTGGGAGGGTGTATGCGTTCAGGAATGTATCCATTTCTTCCCAATTTTCTAGTTTATTTGCGTAGAGGTGTTTATAGTATTCTCTGATGGTAGTTTGTATTTCTGTGGGATCAGTGGTGATATCCCCTTTATCACTTTTTATTGTGTCTATTGTCTATTTGATTCTTCTCTCTTTTCTCCTTTATTAGTTTGGCTAGCAGTCTATTTCATTAATCTTTTCAAAAAAAAAAAAAAAACAGCTCCTGGGTTCATTGATTTTTTGAAGGGTTTTTTGTGTCTCTATCTCCTTCAGTTCTGCTCTGATCTTAGTTATTTCTTGTCTTCTGCTAGCTTTTGAATTTGTTTGCTCTTGTTTCTCTAGTTCTTTTAATTGTGATATTAGGGTGTCGATTTTAGATCTGTCCCGCTTTCTCCTGTGGGCATTTAGTGCTATCAATTTCCCTCTAAACACTGCTTTAGCTGTGTCCCAGAGATTCTGGTATATTGTGTCTTTGTTCTCATTTCTTTCAAAGAACCTATTTATTTCTGCCTTAATTTTGTTATTTACCCAGTAGTCATTCAGGAGCAGGTTGTTCAGTTTCCATGCAGTTGTGTGGTTTTCAGTAAGTTTCTTAATCCTGAGTTCTAATTTGATTGCACTGGGGTCTGACAGACTGTTAGGATTTCTGTTTTTTGCATTTGCTGAGGAGTGTTTTACTTCTAATTATGTGGTCATTTTAGAATAAGTGCGATGCGATACTGAGAAGAATGTATATTCTGTTGATTTGGGGTGGAGAGTTCTATAGATGTCTATGAAAAAACTACTTTAAATTTCATATAGAACCAAAAAAGAGCCCATATAGCCAAGACAATCCTAAGCAAAAAGAACAAAGCATCACGCTACCTGACTTCAAACTGTACTACAAGGCTACAGTAACCAAAACAGCACGGTACTGGTATCAAAGCAGATATACAGACCAATGGAACAGAACAGAGGCCTCAGAAATAACACCACACATCTACAACCGTCTGATCTTTGACAAACCTGACAAAAACAAGCAATGGGGAAAGGATTCCCTATTTAATAAATAACGTTGGGAAAACCGGCTAGCCATACGCAGAAAACTGAAACTGGACCCTTTCCCTACACCTTATACAAAAATTAATTCAAGATGGATTAAAGACTTAAATGTAAGACCTAAAACCATAAAAATCCTAGAAGAAAACCAGGGCAATACAATTCAGGACATAGGCATGGGCAAAGACTTCATGACTAAAACACCAAAAGCAATGGCAACAAAAGCCAAAACTGACAAATTGGATCTAATTAAACTAAACAGCTTCTGCATGGCAAAAGAAACTACCATCAGAGTGAACAGGCAACCTACAGAATGGGAGAAAATTTTTGCAGTC
Organism: Homo sapiens; assembly: GCF_000001405.40. Classification (NCBI taxonomy): domain Eukaryota; kingdom Metazoa; phylum Chordata; class Mammalia; order Primates; family Hominidae; genus Homo; species Homo sapiens. Next base: position 32,725,554 of record NC_000015.10, on the reverse strand, counting down.
TATCCATCTGACAAAGGGCTAATATCCAGAATCTACCAGGAACTCAAACAAATTTACAAGAAAAAAGCAAACAACCCCATCAAAAAGTGGGCAAAGGATATGAACAGACATTTCTCAAAAGAAGACATTTATGGGGCCAGCAAACATATGAGAAAAAGCTCATCATCGGTGGTCATTAGAGAAATGCAAATCAAAACCACAATGAGATACCATTTCACGCCAGTTAGAATGGCCGTCATTAAAGAGTCAGGAAACAACAGATGTTGGAGAGGATGTGGAGAAATAGGAATGCTTTTACACTGTTGGTGGGAGTGTAAATTAGTTCAACCGTTGTGGAAGACAGTGTGGCAATTCCTCAAGGATCTAGAACCAGAAATACCATTTGACCCAGGAATCCTATTACTGGGTATAGACCTAAAGGATTATAAATCATTCTAATATAAAGACACATATACACATGTTTATCGCAGTACTAGTCATAATAGCAAAGACTTGGAGCCAACCCAAGTGCTCATCAATGATAGACTGGATAAAGCAAATGTGGCACATATACACCATGGAATACTATGCAGCCATAAAAAGGATGAGTTCATGTCCTTTGCAGGGACGTGGATGAAGCCAAAAACCATCATTCTCAGCAAACTAACACAGGAACAGAAAACCAAACACCGCATGCTCTCACTCATAAGTGGGAGTTGAACAATGAGAACACATGGACACAGGGAGGGGAACATCAAACACTGGGGCCTGTCGAGGGGTGGGGGGCTAGGGAAGGGGTAGCATTAGGAGAAATACCTAATGTAGATGATGGGTTGATGGGTGCAGCAAACCACCATGGCACGTGTATACCTATGTAACAAACCTGCACATTCTGCACATGTATCCCAGAACTTAAAGTATTATAAAAAGAAAAAGAAAAAAAAAAAGCACTTATGAGAAACGCCCAGTTATAATACAGGACTGAATTTTTCCAGAGACTAGGATAAGACAGTGTGGCAATTTCTCAAGGAGCCTTCTCCTGGTCTCAAAATATAGTGTGAATTTGAGAAGGTTTCACGAATTTCTGGTATTCAAGTTGGACGAAGATCTAAAATAAAACACAATTCAGTTGCTCCCCATTTCAGAGGAGGAGTACATGGGATGGCCCCAGGCCTATGCCCCAGTCTTCCTCCATACCTCCTGAAAATGGCCTCCAGACAAATTCACCCCTCCTAGACCAGGACCCTCTGAGTTTGTCATCACAGAGGCCAATCTGAGACTAACTGGGAATGTATGTTCACTGCATAGGACAAGTTTACCTCATAAGGCCGATTCCATAAACATCTATCCGAAAAATGCAATTTTATTTCTCTGAACCAACTTAAGGCTTTCTTTATACTCAACTTTTCCTTCTTGGCATTTTCACATCTGTTATTGAGTAAATATCTAGTCTGACAGTTGATGAGGGCTTATTCATCACCTTACCCTCAGTGCCTGGCACAAGGCAGGTGCTTATAAAAATTTGGTAAATGCATGATTATTATGAACCTCATTGATTTACAGAGGTACCATTCTTCGCATTTTAAAATGCCTTCACCAGTGCCCATGAGCAGAAGAGCCAATTGCTATCCTTTGGATGTCTAACTCTCAGTGTGGCAAATTCCTTCCATCCTAGAGAGCTTCCTAAGACTTGTCTTTCTTTTTCTTGGAAAACTCCAAATGTCCCTGACTTTTTACCTGTTCTCATATGGAATGCTATGGGTTTCATTTTCTAATTGAAGCCATTGAAATTAATACTATCGCAGAAGCCAACAGCAGAGCTATAAATTCAAAATTAGTCAACTGTGGTTTTCAGTTTTAATTTGGACAGACTTTCTGTTTCTATGTGAGTGTGCCTACCTTCTAAGCCAAAGGGTCTAGAGTGACAGACAGGCTTTTTTTTTTTTTTTAAAGAAAAGTACATTTTCCTCAAAATAAGATTTATTAGCTATGGAAAGTGAAATGTTTTTTCATTTTTTAAAAACCTATTCTTCAAAAATCTTTAGTACTTATTGTAAGATGTCTGAGTTGCCAACCTTTGTTTATTCAGAGAGAAGTAAACACCAACTTCAAGAATGTCAATCGAGACCTCAGCTTCTCAGAGAACAGCAGTGCTCTGAGGCACACTAGCTGCTCTACATGAGTGACAGTAAGCAGGGTAAGAACTATAATTCATAGTGGAACCAGGGCTCTGCCACATCCTTGTCAATCACTCAAGCTCTCCCCACCCCCAGACTGCTCTTGATTCTTCAGTGAAGGAAATAGTAGTGATGTGCACTTGAAATCCCAGTTGTAGTATCACCAAATAATGTGCACTTTGTAAATATCAGAGATGTAGAGGAAATGCAGAAGATGTACATTTCTTGAGGACAATTCTTTTCCACAGCAACATGTAGAAGGGTGTCCCATAGTAAAAATTCAATCCATAGCTCATCCAGACTTAGGTTCCTATGACATCATTCATGCGCCGTCATTAGCTGCAAACACTTTATGGTAATTTCCACCACTTATGAAATGGCCTACTCATATCACTAAATTAAATTAAGCTGCATCTCATAGACTCAGGGTGCATCAAGATACCTGACATCTCCGTTGATTCTTTTTTGCAGACAGTATATCTTCTTTTCAAACTCTGCCTCAACTTCCCATCAATGCAGTTCAGCTTCTTCAAGAAATGTGATGTTATTCTCATCATGAGTTTTCTTTGCAACTGTCCACCAGCAAGTCTCACCCCATCTCCACCTTTTTTTCTCTTTGCCTCTATCCTCTCTTTCATTCCACTTGTCCCAGAGGACACATACTCTCAAAGCAGGTCCTCTCTACAGCATGCTTTCCTTCCAGTTTCCCTTAGGGATCAAGAGTAAACATCTACAAGCAAGGTAAGCCATATTAACCACCTCTATCCTGTGCAGGTCATGGCAATGTATTCCAATTTTCACAAAGCCTCTAGGAACACAATATTCTAATACTGAGGACTGAGAAATAAAAATGGTATATGTATGACCTGTTCCCAGTGTTCATGATGTCTTTGGGAAAGTTTAAGCCAGCTCTTTCCATCCCTCTTCTTGCTGTATTTCTCATTTTAGCTAAGCAACCTGCTCATAATCAGTGAAAGGGAGTTTTGAGTAGGAATTACAGTGAAAGCCAAATGTCTGTGCATGGACTTCTGGTCAGTTCCTCCTGATGAATCAAGCTTTAGAAAGACATTCAATAGGCATGACATCAAATTATTCTCTCAGCATAAGAAATAGTGGAAGTGACTACAAATGCTCTAAGTGCAGGCCAGGTTTTAGAAAGATCTATTCCTTTTTCTCAGGTCTAAATCTTTGGGAAAACTATAGCTTATTTTTAATTTGATCTTTAACTTTTAAGAAGATAATTGTGTTGACTTTCTTTTTCAGACAAGTTGCACCAAGGAGATAAGAAGAATCCCTTGTTGGCAGACAGGTAGAGGATAAAGTCTCATCCCCTTTGTGTTGTAAGAACCCTAAACAGCCTCTCAAGTCTGAAGACCAGGTCGGCTAAATCAGGCTGGGGCCCAACATTGCATAGGACAGGGAGGAGACCACCTGGTTGTGAAATATCTCAGGAGCTCTATGTTTGTCAAAGATTTTCTTAGGAAAGTTAATGACTATGTACAATTCTTGAGGTCAACAAGAAACGAGTTAGAAAGTAATAAATTATTAAATGTTCACTGAGCAGCACTGCTGAGAGACGGCCAAGTTACAGGTTCTGTTCTGTAGTGAAAGATGTGTTAGTCACTGCGTAGTGTGGTATTCAGGATTTTTTTTTTTAAGAGATGTCACCCAGGCTGGAGTGCACTGGCACGATATCAGCTCACTGCAACCTCCGCCTCCTGGGCTCAAGTGATTCTCCTGCCTCAGCCTCCCAAGTAGCTGAGATTATAGGCGCCTGCCACCACACCCAGCTAATTTTTGTATTTTTAGTAGAGACGGGATTTCAGTGTCTTGGCCAGGCTGGTCTCAAACTCCTGACCTCGTGATCCGCCTGCCTCAGTCTCCGAAAGTGCTTAGGATTACAAGCGTGAGCCACCTCACCCGGCCAGGATTCAGGATTTAATTTCAGAACTGCCCTGTGATATATCCTGGTTCTGTATAACATTGCTACTTTTCCTAACACCATTACTAATAATAAGAGCTACCTTTTATTTTGAAGCCCTTACTGTGCCAGGCATTATGCTGATTTCTGACCCAATTTTATCATTTATTTTTCATAACAAAATATGAGGTAGATAATATCATCTTCCTTTTACCAATCAGGGAATCTACACTCAGAAAAGTTGGAAATTTGTCCAAGGTCACACAGCTCATAAGTGGGAAAGCCAGCATTTTTTTGTTTGTTTGTTTTGTTTTGTTTTTTTGACGGAGTTTTCACTCGTGTTGCCCAGGCTGGAATGCAATGGCGCTATCTGGGCTCACCACAACCTCCGCCTCCCGGTTTCAAGCAATTCTCCTGCCTCAGCCTCCCAAGTAGCTGGGATTGCAGGCATGCACCACCATGCCTGGCTAATTTTGTGTTTTTAGTAGAGACGGGATTTTTCCATGTTGGTCAGGCTGGTGTCGAACTCCCGACCTCAGGTGATCCGTCCTCCTTGGCCTCCCAAAGTGCTGGGATTACCGGTGTGAGCCACTGTGCCTAGCCCAGCCAGCAGTTTAAACCCAATTCTATCTAGCCCCAAACACAGGTCCTTAACCACTGTCCTATTGACACCCAGTGCTGTCCTTAACAGTGGGTCAATGGATATGTTTTCTAATGCAATACAATTTGAAGAGTGCTATAAATAAAATAATTATCTATTTTGTATCTTCATGTTCACATGTGAATAAAAAGATTTCTCTTGTCCCAGGAATTCCTGTTGTACTTTGAATTTCTAAGAGCATATGTTAAAACTAAAGAAAATTCCTTGCAGATCGAAGACACGGGCTGGTAGCACTTGCCTGATGGTTGCCTTTTGGTTAGAGGCTGCAGTCACCTCCCCTAACCACTGTCCCCCACCTGCCTTTCCTTTACATAAAAGGTTTATATTTCCTGGCTGTCCTTTACTCTCTGTTGTGGAACATGTTCCACAGCTTTGCTGTCAACAAGCAGTTCTTGGGGGAGGTGTCTGCGGCATGAAATTTCTTTGCATTTTATCACTTTTAATACTTGACCATTCAGACTGAAGGCATCTTCGGCTTAGTTTCAAAGACAGGGTAGGCAGCCCTCATTCAGAGATGTAGGACATAAAAGGTTTTTATCCTTCCCTGTGTAACTACTCACATAAAGACCGCATTAGCCAACCTGGATTTCCTACAGAGCGTGGGTTACCAAAACATTTCACTAAAAATGAACTTTTAAGAAAATAGGAAACCTGTGAAATTACAAAGTTTACAAAAGACTCTAATTCCTACAATGACCTGGAGGTTAAACACACACACACAGACACACACACACACACGCACACATACTGCCACTACCCTGCTAAAAATCCCTGAAATAGTTAATATTAACAATTTGACAGTGCCATTTATCCAGAGATAGTAATCAAATCACCTACTGTTATAGACTTGGCTTGGGGGGCAGTGAGAATATATAGTTTTCTTAAGATCTTTCCCTCCTTGCTTTGAAAAGTACATCCCCCCCTCAAGACTCTCATGCTCCCCCTCCTTCCAAAAAAAGAGAAAAGGGGAGGGGGAAGCCCTAGGGATGAAAGAGGACTCCTCACCCTAGAATGGGGTTATCTTAACCTCTTCTACGCTATTTATTTAACTTGTGTGTACAGCCAGAAGGAAGCCACTACTCTGGGGTCCCTGGGACAGCTTAAAACCCTAGTGACCCACTTAACACAATAGATTGTTTTAATCAGTTCGTGTCCTGGCACCATCTCGAAGGGGAACATAAACAGACGCGCACACCGCTCAGATTTGCTCTTTCCAGCAGGAGATCCAATTACCTATCGGTGGTCACCTCTCTGCCCTCGGACCGTTTAAGAGGGGGATTTTAACCCCTAACGCTGAGGCTGTATTTCTGTCTATAAGAGCCGAGATTCGGAGTCGGTCGAGGAGGGGAAGGCAGTAGACGGATTCGACCCGGGAATGCATTAGGGACAGCTCCGGGCGCGCAGGAATTTCTTCACAGCAGAGGCTGGTCACCTGCCGTCCGTCCCTCCCCGCCTGGCCCGGTGACCGTCGCCAGAGCCTGGCGCAGGCAAATAAACGCCAAGCTGGGGCACCCCCAAGGAGGAGCTGCGATCCGAAGGCAATGCCAAGCGAGAGCGGTGGCGCGTCTGTTCTTCCGGAGTCTGTAGTCTACAAATAACTCCGGCCAGCAAGGAGGTGACAGCCCCAATATACCTCCCACTCCCCTGCTATGGCCTTGCTCCGCAAGCTGTGGAGGGGCCAGCGGAGCCAGCCAGGCAGCGAGAGAGAACGAAAGACGCCCAGCTCGTTGCAGCCGCCAACCCGCCTCAGCCGCCAGTCCCTAGTCCTCAGGAGCTAGTGAGGCGCTGCAAGGCGAGGCTGGGGCCTCTAGAACACAGTTTAAGGGGTGCGCGCGGAAGTGGGAACCAGCCGGTGGCCGCTGCCCGGCGCCAGAACGTCTACCATTCAGCCCGGGCGTGCGCGGGGCGGGGAAGAGGCTGGAGTAGAGAAGCGAGCGCCCGCGAGTGCGTGGCCGGTCCGCGAGCGCGTGTGGTGTCTGCCTTGTGAGCACTGCGGGTTCGCTGGACCCCGCGGCCAGGGCCGCGCCCCGCACCGCAGCTGTCGGATTACCCACCGTTCGGTTTTCCGCTGTGGCTGAACACAGCGGCTCTGCCCTTGCCAGTCTCCATCTCACCTCGGGGATCGGCAAATGCACACATCATGGATTCTCCGGATGCTCCAACCCGCGGACTCCAATGGGCGCCCCAAGACGCCCCCAGACCCAGCGCGGCGCCCCAAGCACATGGGACCCTCTCAAGGCAACTCGCCGCGCAGTCAGCGGCCGACTAGCAGGTCCGGATGCTCCTGCGCTCTGGCGGCCTGGACTTCGCGCCCTCGCTAAGCGGGCGCGTCTGCCAGGCGCTGCTGCCACCAGCACCAGGAGCGTGTTCGGGGGCCTCCGGGAGGTGGAAACGGGATGTGGGGGTCATCCTGCCCGCTCCTGACAACTTTTTTTCCTACGTTTCCCTGCAGACCCAGAGCAGCGAGGTCACGGTGTCCGCGGCCTCAGCAGGAAGGACCCCGCGATGGTTCTTCACAATTCACCCCCGCGAACAACGCACCCGAGCCTGCGCGCACGGAGGGCTGCCGCGCGTGGAACTGAGCGGGTCCTGGGTTGGTTTGCGGCCCTCTTCCCTCCGCCCACTCACATCCCTGCCGGGTGCGTCCGCGCTCACCTGTCAGTGCGGCGGGTCCTCGGGGCCTGCGCTTTCGACGCGTGGCGCTGAGTGCGGCCGCGGCCAGAGCCGCCGGGGCTCGGCGCGGGGTCAGCGGGACCGAGAGTGACGCGGCGGCCGTGCACTGGGTCGCCCGGTCCGCGGAAGGCGCACCGAGTGCCAGGCATCGCGCCGTCTCCCGTTTAAATGCCGGCGGCAGAGCGCGGCGCCCGGGGCCGCGCCTCTCCATTGGCCAGGCGCCGCCGCCGCCGCCAGACCCGCTATCCGCCCCCTTTCCCGGTACTGCCCCCGCCCCCCGCACCCCTCCTGCTTCCCCGCGGGGTCCCCTCTCCGCCCGCCTCGCCTCTTTGTCTGCTCCCCCCGCCCGGGCCGGCTGGGAGAGGTCACCCCAGGGAACCGCGCCTGGAATGCACAGCAAATCACATTTTCCGCTCCCGTTGGAGAGGGAAGAGCGGGAGGAAATCCCCCCGGCTGGCGGCCCCTCATTCCTTCTCTGCCCCAGGTCTGGGCTTTCCCTGTCGGCCGCCCGGCATCGCCTGCGTTGGTCCCGCGCTCAGTAGCGGAGACTGCGCTGGGAAGAGCGAGATCTCCGTGGGATCGTGCCAGATTCGGCCATTCTTCCCCTCTGGAGGGAACGGGACTGCGGGATGCTCTGGTCGAGCGGCCGTCGTGGCTCCCCGGCGGCCCCGCCCGAGGCCCCCAACTTCGAGGGCGCTGACCCCGGCGCCCCCGTTAACCTGGCGGGCTCGCTGGCCGCCAGCAGGAGCCTGTCGCCAACATGACACCCTGCTCTCCTCGCCCGCCAAGGGTTCTTTCAGCCCAGATGCCGGCGGCCTCCCCTGTGAGTGTACAGAGGGGAGTCACGGGAGGAGAATAAAACTAAATGACCGTCAAAAGTCAAGGCTTCTGTTCCTAAATTATCTTAAGAGACAGAGAGAAAACAGCCACTGGGCGAGAGGGGTTTTCTGTAGCATATCAAAGACGAATAAGTCAGGAAAATAAAACGTTAGATGAGGAAGTAACTTCCCAGAAATTTAGGACAAAAACCTACCGACGTGTAAAACCAATGTCACATTCCGGATACCAAGTACATAAATAGTTTTCGAAAGATGAGCGAACACTTTCATTTGTTCTCTTAGCCTGAAAAATTGGTTCCTCAAAGAGGCCGTAAGTTTTGTGTGTTGAAGCTAAAGTCCGTGCAAAAATTAACACGTCTGCAAGATCTGCAGACCAGCTCCATCAGCCACGTCAAATGAAGACTTTGAAAAAGATTTGCTACAGAAGGAAATATGAAGGTGTCTGTATTGTCTAACGCGAAATAAACAAAACAATGAAATCCATCAAAAGATACTTACGAAACACCCGTAATTTAAGTACTTGACTAGGAAAACAAAACCAGACCAGAAAACAGCCTATTTTTTTTTTCTCTTTAGTCCGGCGTTAGGGGGAAGAAGCAAGAAACATCTACTAGATGCTGTTAGGAACGTGAAATAGATATTTTTAAATAAATGAAGCAAGAAGGACGTCTGCATTAGTATCCTTAAAATCTTAGTCCTCTCAATGTTTTGTTTGTGCAGATGGCAGTTTCTACACATGAACTCGAGGCTGCACTTTACAATTCTCAATCAGTTGTTGTTAAGTCATGCAGTGAGCCACAGTTTGTAGTTGCCTACAGAATGGGAGCATTGAACCAGCTTGAAGACCTGTCTTGCTCACGTGGGCTCCTGGAGAGATAGGTAATCAGAAATACACAAAATACTTAGGCGATGACCAGTTCAGTCGAAGCCCACCACCAAGCTGTATTGGAGCCAGCTGTTCTCCCAACGTGCAAACTGCTGTACTTCTCCCCACAAAAGGGAGCATATTTTACAAATTCATTAAGTCCTCCTCATCTAAAATAAAAGCTTTAGTCACTTCTTTTTTTCCCAAGACTTATATACTGCCCCAAATCAAATACAAAGAAGCTGAAATTACCTCCCAAAATGGAAGTGATTTTTTTTTTTTGGAGCCCTGACACTGTGGTTTTCTCTATCTCCATGTATCAAATCATGATGACTCTTCCTCATGCAGTTTCTCAGGCCATATTTTTTATAATAGAGCCCCCACCTCCTCCCCACAACACACGCCCCCTCTCTGTATCCCAAAGAGATAGAGAGGGCTATGCATCACTGCATCATTTTTCTTCATTCTCATTTCTCTCTCCCTTCTCCCTGGCATTATAGTATTTCCTGCCACTAGAATGTAAGGTTCATAAGGGCAGGGATTTTGTCTAGGTCACTTTGATTACATGAAGCACATAGAATATAGATTGTCTAACACAGCACTCAGATTCAATAAATAGTTGTGGATTGAGAATGTTGAGCACATTCCCACTAAGATTGTCAGCTGAACCAAATGCTGAGGGTATAACCATCGTGGATAGGATAAACACAGGCCCTCACCTCAAAGAATTTATAGTCTAGTATGTTTGTAAATATTTATATAGAAACACAAGTTTTTTGCCCAATATTTGTGTTTCCACAGCTCCTAACAAGTTCTTGCAAACCATTGTCCAATCAGGAGGAAGGCATAAGGATAAAAACTCCCTAGACCGCTCTAAACATGGTTACATAACTAAAACCTGCTTTTAGTAAGGGGAGAAGAAGTAGAATGACTCGATGTAGTCATGCCTAAACCATGATGCCTAAACCACGATCACTAAATGATTAATTTTATTTAATGAAAGTACTTTCAAACTACTTTGAGGTTGTGAGAAGAGTAGATTCTGCTCAGCCACTGGTTCGTAAAAGTAAAGTCCATTTCCTCTTTTTTTGCCCACCTGTGTTTGGAATGTGCTAGCCTCTCTGTAACCCCAAGAAGCTAAAAGAGGGCTACTCCCCAGGTTTGGAGAATAACTTTGAAGACCTTTAGAGAAGAGTTTTTACTTAGATCTGCAAAAGCTATTTACAGCTGTTCATCCAATTGCAGAGACTACGTATGCTGTCTTGCATAGGATTAAAAAAGAATAAAGCCCTTTACACAGTTGGAACTGACCTTGTATGCCCTTTCTAAAGAAAAAAAGTATTAACCTATAAACTTGATAATGATTAAGTAAAAACATATTTACAAGAGTCAAATACCAGTTAAATGGATCATATTCAGAATGAATTTTTCTTATAAGTTAGTAAGAAAAAAATCCCCACAAATAACCCAATAGGAAAAAAAAATTGCACATGGCCAAAGCACATGGGCAGGTAATTCACAAAAAAGAAACCTGGACAGCCAGTAAATATAAAAAGATGCAACATTACACCAGTAAATCAGAGAAATATAAACTGAAATGAGAAGATACTGTTGCTTATCTACAAAGTTACCAAAGATCTAAAAGTCTGACAATATCCAGCAATGGAAAAGGTAGAGAGAAGCAAGCAAGCAAATGCATTGCTAGTGAGAGGGTAAATTAGTACCATCATTTCAGAAAGTAATTTGTCAATTTGCATTAATATTAAACATGCACTTAGTATGCCACCCAGACATTACACTTCTAGGTAAACACCTTAGAAAAATTTGAACGTGTGTATGAGGACTAGAAACTTGTATAAGCATGTTTATCAAGGTATTGTTTGTAACAATCTTAATGTCCATCAACAAATATAGGAGAAGGCATAAGAAATTATTTTATTCATATGGCAAAATGCTACATAGCTAATAAAAGAAATTGATTAGATTTTTATATTTTAACATAGAGCTCAAAACATAGAGATGCTTTTTTTTAAAAAAAAAAGGAAGCTGCAGAATGATATAAGTAGTATGATACCATTATGTGTATTTTATAGTAAACATATAAAAATAGCATAAATTGCTTGTGAAACATATGGTCATGTGCATGGATAAATAGTGACTTGGAATCCATACCTTTAATGATGTTCACCAGAATGAGGAGGGGAGGAGGTGGATCAGGCATGGACGACAAAAGAAATTTCAACATTACAAACCATTTAAAAATCTTATGTCTTAAAAAAAATCTTGAAAGAAATATGACAAAATGTGGACAATTTGAATTTCTGGGTGATGGGTACATGGATGTGTTTGCTAGATAACTCTCTCTACATGTTGATAATGTTTTAAACCCTCAAATTTAAAACAAATGTGATGTTTCTATTATGATTTCAAGAGTGATTTTGAGCATCATTTGTAAACTGAACATTTTTGCTTCCCATGTGTTCTTTGTAACAAGCTCCAATCTGAGTAGGCATGCTTTCAGAATGCAAACAAGCCCTTATGTAAGTGTGTATGTCTGCTGACCTGTCTGAGGTGTATGCCTAACCAGTTTCCTGTGTATGGAAAATGCACGTGCATGTGAAAATTCTGGACAATGTTGCCAAATACAGGTATATGGAATGAGTTATTCAGGACCATTGTAATACAATTCTTGCCCTATTTCATGCACATATTTATTGCATATACTCCACGTGCAGTGCAGTATCAAAAGGTGAAGGCTTCAAACTGTGAACATAATCCTTCACAGTCAATAGTTCTGGCACAGTGGGAAAAAGCACGGAACTCGGAGTCAGGAAAGTCAGAGTAAATTCCTGATACTTCCCCTTAGAAGCTGAATGTCTCAATTAGGTATTTAAAGCCTCTGGGCTGAAATTCAACCATCTGTATTATAGGAATGGTGATAACACCCACTTCTGGGTAGATGCTGGAATTAAGTAAAACAAGCTCTGTGAAAGTGCCAGGCACCTAATAAACATCAGTGTCTGCATAGATACTAGAGTTCAACTGGGAGCTAACACAATAAAACAGTAAGTCTAATATCAGCGTCTGCTGGGTCTTATGTATCTTTTTTTTTTTTTTTTTTTTTTTTTTTTGAGGCGGAGTCTTGCTCTGTCGCCGAGGCTGGACTGCAGTGGCGCGATCTCGGCTCACTGCAAGCTCCGCCTCCCGGGTTCACGCCATTCTCCTGCCTCAACCTCCCGAGTAGCTGGGACTACAGGCGCCCGCCACCACGCCCGGCCAATTTTTTGTGTTTTTAGTAGACACGGGGTTTCACCGTGTTAGCCAGGATGGTCTTGATCTCCTGACCTCGTGATCCACCCACCTCGGCCTCCCAAAGTCCTGGGATTACAGGCGTGAGCCACCGCGCCCGACCGGGTCTTATGTATCTTTATATTCACTCTGGGTAACGCAGGGGTGGCACACGGCAAATGCTTGACAAAGCTATGAAATGAGTACTTGCACAGGGAGAAGGAAGGAAGGGAGGAAGAGAGGAGAAGAAAATAAGGGGAAAAGAAAGAGATAGAGGAAGAGATAAAGAGAGGGATGGAGGGAGGAAGGAAGGAAAGAAGGGAGAGAAAGGGAAGGAGGAAGACAGGAAAGAAAATGAGTGATACCTTCCAGTAAATGGCACAACAACTTTTTTTTTTTTTTTTTTTTTTTTGTAAAACCAGTAAACAGTTTTACCAAACACTTCTGGCTCTTTTTTGCCTGCACTACAAGAATCATGCTAACCTAAAGTTACCCTTCTCAGAATGGTTCCACTGCAGTGATAGAAGCTAAGAATAAGAGACCAGAAGATGCCCAAATGTGTAGTCAGACAGGCTGAAACTCCCATCCAAGAGACTGGGGAGTGAAACAAGACAGAAAGACAGAGACAGCAATGTATTTCTTAGCCAAAATTCACATACCCAGTGCCTAAATGTAACAGAGTCTGTGTGAAACAAGGCTCCTTCCTTTGTCTGCAGACAGGGTAACCTGTTACGTTTGAAAGGTTTATACCGAATGTATTTGTTTTGAGCTCTTTGATGTGACCTCACTCTTGGGAAAAAAATGTGATGGGACTTTATTCAGTTAATAATTTTGTGTTTTCCCTTATAGCTTGTGTTCTTCATTTTCTAAATTTTTTTTGGTGGAGGGTTTCTCTTTGAAAAAAGCTCATTTTAATGCAATTTTAAAATGCTAGTGCCTTGGGGAAGATCTGTTGAAAGTACCTATTAAACTGAAGGTTGCAAGGTTTTACCCCGCTGTCTCTGGCTATCCTGCTCCTCACTTTTTTTTTTTTTTTTTTTTTTTTGACTTTTGGCTTATTTAGTCCCTTCCCAGTCTTTGTTTCCTTGATGTCTCTGCTATTTACCAGAAGTCATTTTAGGATTCACGTTTTCACTCTTGTGTCCTTTTTTGAAGGCATGGAAGTATACGTGTGATTTTGCTCTTGCTGCCGCTCTCCTAATATGTCACTTGGACTGATTCATTACATCTTATAAAATATTTTATAACATGAAGTTATTGTAAAAATATTACAAACTCATCACAGAAAACTTGGAAATAGAGAAAAATACAAAGAAAATAAAAGTATGCCGTAATCTCACAATCCCCAAATAACCACTGTTTGCTCACACACACTGTATATATATGTACATATATGGATTTCCTTCTAATTATATAGTGTGTGTATATGTGTGTGTGCATGTGTATGTGTGTGCATGTGTATGTGAGAGAAAGAGAGAGAGAGAGAGAAGATGCTGTATATAATAAGATGCTTTATTTAACTTTTAAATTTAACCTAATATTTTGATTATTTTTGCGGACATTATTAAAATTCTTCAAAAATATCAGTTTAAGAGTAGTATAATATTCTCTTGTATGAATAACATACTATAACACTTTATTTTTTCTTATAGGATTAACAATGTGTGTGTGTATGTGTGTGTGTGTGTGTGTATACATACATTTCTTAAAGTGGCCTTTTATTAATTACTTAATGTGTACCAAACACGAGGCTTTATATGCATTATCTAATTTAATTACCTTAACACTCTTACGAAATTGCTACTATTGTTTGTTCTGTTTTAAAGATGAGAAAGCTGATGTCTAGAGAGGTTGTATGACTGTCTCAAGGGCACACAGCTATATGAAGCAGTGACAGCTGCTGACCCCTGAGCCCCATACACTGAGCTTCTACCCTCTATACTGTGAACAAGAGTCTACACCATACACTGTTAGAACTGGTATTCAAATACCACTATTTTTTCATGAAAGAAAACTATTCCTAAGTGCGAAATGACTTAAATAATTTGATAGTTGGTATTGTCAAAACATTTGGTTGTGTAAAATATGAACACACATATGAGGAATATGGGTTTCGATATCACATGAGTTTACTCATAAAGAATGCTGAACACATGGCCATTGAAAACCCATATGCCACCGGGCACAGTGGCTCACGCCTGTAATCCCAGCACTTTGGGAGTCCAAGGCAGGTGGATCACGAGGTCAGGAGATCGAGACCATCCTGGCTAACACGGTGAAACCCCGTCTCTACTAAAAATACAAAAAATTAGCTGGGCGTGGTGGCGGGCGCCTGTAGTCCCAGCTACTCGGGAGGCTGAGGCAGGAGAATGGCATGAAGCCGGGAGGTGGAGTTTGCAGTGAGCCGAGATTGCGCCACTGCGCTCCAGCCTGGGTGACAGAACGAGACTCCATCTCAAAAAAAAAAAAGAAAGAAAAAAAAAGAAAAGAAAAAGAAAAAAAGAAAACCCATATGGCCTGTCTTGAGGTTTCCTACAAAAACCAAAGCCTGCCTTATTGCCATTAGTTATTAATGACTGTATCAGTCTCTCTCTGTCTATCTCTCTCTCTCTCTGTCTGTCTGTCTGTCTCTCTCTCTCTCTATATATATATATACATTTTTTTTTTTTTTTGAGAGGGAGCCTCACTCTGTCACCCAGGCTGGAGTGTATTGGCACAATCTCAGCTCACTGCAACCTCTGCCTCCTTGGTTCAAGCGATTCTCCTGCCTTAGCCTCCTGAGTAGCTGGGACTACAGGCACTCGCCACCACGCCCTGCTAATTTTTTTTTGGTAGTTTTAGTGGAGACAAGGTTTTGCCATGTTGACCGCGGCTTGTCTCGAACTCCTGACCTCAAGAGATCCGCCTGCCTCAACCACCCAAAGTGCTGGAATTACAGGCATGAGCCCCTGCACCTAACCTGTATCAGTCTACCTTTAAAATTAGGAGCTTATAAGTAAGTTCAGTATTTTGGGCTTCTTCTCAAGGTAGAGAAGGATGGAGCTAAAGGTGGAAAGCAAATTCAATACCTGCTTTCCCTTCTAAAGATCAATGTGAACTTGTACACCAATTTGCACTTGGCTCACAAAGGGTCCAAATTTAAATCTCTTTTCAATCTTGGTTCCCTCTCCACTCTTCCCTTCGTAGCGTAATAGGTTGGATCATCTGGAATACGATTTCTCATTCCTTTTTAAAAGAAAGATGAAAAATGTAAACTGTGGGCTCCTCACTGCTTATGTCAGAGCAATACATGTGTGCTTTATATAAACTAACCATTTGTCTATTAATGTTTGCAAAGAACTCCGTAGACATGAGGCATTTGGGACACACTCTCTGGAGAAATGTGGTGCCTTTGGAGAGAGGATCAGAGAAGGAAGAAACCAATAGTAAGAGAAATTCCTTTATATGCACATGTATAATAAAATGTGAAAGAAAATCTACCAGTTGAGCATCGAGCTGCATTTTCCCTTAGGTTGAAAGTTAGCCAGTAGGAAGGAAACCTTTTCAAGGAGACTAGGTAACCTTGCCTGCAGTGTTTGTTTCTACACTCTGTTTTACTTGTTCGTGTGACAGAGAAAGAAAACAAAGCTGATGGACTTTGGACTGGACAATGTAGCAGTGTGTCCCCAGATACCAGCTTCCAGATGATCTCTCTTGGGTCTCCCAGATGGAGCAGAGGGTTTCTGGTGACTCTGGTCACTGCATCAGCCAGAGCAGACAGGATCTTAGAAGCTCCCAGGTGCACATATCTGCCTTTCCACGTCGCCACGATTTTGTAGGAAAGTGGCTGAGCATGGGATAGGCCCTTAAAGACTGTAAAGTGTGATTCTTGGTCATGTGGACATTAAGCCAAAGTAGAACAACTTTCTGAAAAAAAAAAATCGTAATGATTTTTGCAGTGCTACTCTGCTAGCCAGAGTGATCCATGGATGTCTGTGGAATAATTAGGATGTACTTCCCCTAGAGAAATGTATGTGCTGGTCTCTTGGCACGAGCAACTCCAGAAAGTTTACCTAGCCAACACCTCAGGACACTAGCCAGAACCCCTCGTTATGTTTCCACTCTTCCAACGAAGGAAGAAAGAAAAAAGGGAAGGAAGGGAGGGAAGGAGGGAAAGAGGGAGGGAGGGTATTGGTTCTTTTCAATAAGAAAGACAAATTATTTCAGATAACAGCAGCTTCCCTTAAATGGTATTTAAGCTTTAACTCTATAGTCCTAAATATCTATTTTAACAGCAGTGATTACTATGTGAGCTCTGCACTGTCAATCTAGAGAAAAGAATCTTGCCACTAAGAAGAATTTCAAGGTGAGAGTTCGCTTTTAATACGCACATATAACACAGACATTCAATTGCACACATGTAGAAAAGAACATGAGAGGAGTGCACAGCTGAGTAGCAAGCATCCACTCCTGCCCCTGGTGTTCAGTGCCAGCCTGATGGTCTCCAGCTAATGTTCTCTGTGCACATGCAACATTTGAGCCCAGCAGGAGCTGAGCACATACCACAGACCACCATGTTCACACGTTTGCTCTTGCTCCTCCCTCCCCTCAGAAGTTCCCACCCTTCTCTCTTCTGGTTGAATTCCTACTCTGACCTCAAGCCTCCTTCTCAGAGCCTTCTGCCTTTTCTATTATTCTTGTCATATTTTTCCTTTATTGTAGTTACATGTATGCTGGACACATCTTCTTCAATGAAATGTAGACTCCTTGCATGGAGAAAGTGTCTCCTTCCTCCTCTTTGAGTCCCTGTGGCCCTAGCACAGGCTGAGTTGAATCGTAACTAAAGTGCTCCAGGTCTCCTCATCATTTCCCCTGCTGTCTTCTATTTTTATCCCGTCACCTGTAGGAACTGTGTCGGAAGAACTAACTGCTAGAGTTTCTCCAAAGTGTCGCGGCCAGTGGCAGTCCAGTAGCTGTCTTGAGTCCATCCTGACTCTTCGCGGCCCATCCCCAAGTCCAGGTCACGGTCATTTCTCACCTAAAAGGTTGCAATTGCTTCTTTATTGCTCTCCCCACTTTCACCGATGCTGACCCAAAGCCACTGGACACTTCTTCTTTTTTGTTTTTTGCTTTTTTGTTTGTTTTGTTTTGTTTTGTTTTTTAGATGGAGTCTTGCTCTGTCACCAGGCTGGAGTGCAGTGGCGCAACCTCAGCTCTCTGTAACCTCTACCTCCCAGGTTCAAGTGATTCTCCTGCCTCAGCCTCCCGAGTAGCTGGGATTACAGGCGTGTGCCACCACACCCGGCTAATTTTTTTGTATTATTAGTAGAGATGGGATTTCACCATGTGGGCCAAGATGGTCTCAATCTCTTGACCTTGGGATCCACCCTCCTCGGCCTCTCAAAGTGCTGGATTACAGGTGTGAGCCACTGTGCCCAGCCTGGACATTTCTTAACTTATATACTAAGCCATGTCCTTCCTTTGACTAACGCCCTTTCTTCCTGGCTCTTACCAAATTTTTAAATTATGCAATTTGTAGATTTGCTTGGTTTTTGTCTGTTTCCTCCGCGTGCCTGTAAGCTCTGTGGGGGCAAGAACCGTCTTTGTGTGGCTCACTGAATCCCCGGCCTCTACATGGCACTTGGAGTACATAGATGCTCCCAGACCTTTGTTGAATGAATAGATTAAAAGTGCAGCTGTTCTTATTTTCCTTCCTGTTATAACCCTTGCTCTAGCCCCCTTTTTGCCTTGCTTCTGTTTCTGATTTCTCCTCCTTCATTTTTTTTTTTTTTTTTTTTTTGAGACAGGCTCTTACTCTCACCCAGCAGGCTGGCGTGCAGTGGTGAGATCACAGCTCACTGTACCCTTGACCTCCTAGGCTCAAATGACCCGCCCACTTCAGCCTCCCAAGTAGCTGGGACTATAGGCACACACTAATTTTTGTATTTTTCGTAGAGATGGGGTCTCACCATGTTGCCCAGGCTGGTCTCGAACTCCTGGGGGCAAGAGATCCACTCATCTTGGCCTCCCAAAGTGCTGGGATTACAGGCATGAGCCATTGGTGCCTGGCCTGGTTTCTGCATTTTACCTGGAACTCATTGGAGAACTGAAACTCAAGAGCCTCAAAATCTACAACTGAGCCTAGGGGAGCCTCAGTCCTTAGTTTTGTCGTGGAATCAGAGAGCACATTCCTGTGCTCCAGGTGCCCCACCCACTGAATAACAGCGGAGGCAATGATGGCACTGACTCACTCTGGAAACTGCAACTGCACCCCGATAAGTTCTCCCTGTAAAACCAGTCACAAGATGACATTCCTCAGACCCCAAAGAAGTGAGTAAGTTTTATGGCCTGTGTCAGGGTAACATGCACTCTGCTAAAAATAACATGGTAAAATTTCCTAAGAAATAAATAATGCACCATTACTTTGTGTTTCTGGGAAACCTTAAGGATTTGTTGTAGAAAGATATTTTAGTTTTCTTAGCCTGGTGAAAAAGCATGCAAAGGAAAAAGTCATATTGGATAAGAGAAAGAATATTTGGGTATGTGGCCAGGAATGATGCACGTTTTGCCACTTATTTCTTTTACGTTTTAATCTTTTTGGAAACAGAGGCAAGTAACTAGCCAAGTACATTTGAAGGGCATCCATAGTTCCAAATGCCTCTCCCTTTACAATTTATTGATGAAGGACTAAGTAGCTCATCTAATTCATCTTGAGGAGATAGGAAAATGCTTATGGCAACAGCATTTTATCATGGTTGTGAGGCTTCTGAAAACATAATTCCAAACGATAGGAATGGTTTGCAGAGCCATCTGGGAGGAGATGGGCTGATTAGGAATGTCTGGGGCCTTAGAAATAAATTCAGGTGAAGTCGAAGCATGTTTTTCAGATCTGGTAGATTTTTGTGAGACTATTTATGGCTGGGTGTAGTTTAGCAGGCTTCTCGTAGAGCAGTGGAGTCCCTGTGTTCTACAACCTTCCCTCCGGGGCTTTTGTATTCACCCATTCTCACACCATTTCTGGTTGCAATTGTGTGCAATGTTTCCCCAAATTCACTGTGTATCAGAGTCACTGGAGAAACAAAACAAAACAAAAAATTGATCCCCAGAGCTTGCTCTAGACTACTGAATCAGAATTTCCTGGGCCAAGAATCTGTATTTTTACAAAGCTCTCCAGATGATTCTGATAAGCAGCCAGGTTTGACAATCACTGGTGTGGTGGAAAGAATTCTGTTTGCATCTAAGCTCAACCACCAACTACCTAAGCAACTTTAGAGATGGCAACTCTTGGGCTATCAGGAAACAGAGAAAATGATGCCTATGTCACAGGGTTATTGAAGAATTAAAGGAAATTACATATGTGATCTATCCCAATGCAAATTTAGTAGGCTGCGTTAGTTAATACTCTGCTGATGACCTAGAAGCTTAAAAGAGTTTTTTTCTCTAAAAAAGTGTTTAGCTTCCTCTTCTGTGTTTGATTCCTTATGAAACTTGGTTTCCCCTTTCATCAGTCACCAAGGATCAGGCCATATGTAGATGAATCATAATACCATTATGCCATGTGTTCTAAGAGCCTTCCAAGTGCATTGCTGCAAGAAAAGCTCAACATTTAATGTATATTGTTTTTCGATATCTCTTTCCAAATTGCCAGTACAATTTCCATTCCTGGGAAATTACATAGACATGTCTGGATCCAGTTCTTTTATCTTTGCATTTCCAACTGCTCTGTTTTCCTTCTTTCTTCCCATCAAATTCTTATATTTTGACAGTTTTAAGACCAGCTCTTCCTTGATCCTTTCCTTCCTATAATATATTGAATTGAAGTGAGCCCATTTCCCTTAGTGAGCCTTCTCTCCAAACACAAAATACTCTGAAGTTCAGATTCTCCTTCTGTGAGTGGGTTAACATCACACAAAGTTTGTGGTTTCATCCATCATAAACAAGAGTGTTTTACATGAACTCTGTTTCTTGTCTCCCAAGAATCACAGAAAGGTTGGGGCAAAGTGAAATAAATTTTCAGAAAGAAAAGTTACTTATTAAAAATAGCAGTGATAAAAATATGTAGATTGATTTAGTAGGAAGAATTCGTAAATTGTTTTAACTTAAAAGGAAACACTCTTGCAGGCATTCACAATGAATCAGGAGGAAAACACTTTGGCTTCTTCAAAAAGCTATTTACTCTCTTTGGTGTTCACAAAACATATCCAACAAAAGCCTTTTCTCTTACGATGCGAGGGAAGAAGGCAAATTGCATTTGGGAGCATCTGATCATACTTCACTCAGGAATGTTATGGGTTTTGGTTGTGTGCCCAGCTGATCTGAGCATATTAGCAAACATAGTAATAGTATTAGCTGCTGACAGTGTTTGGTATCAAACACATCCATTTGCAAAAATAGAAGAAATACTATATTCACATTTTCAATGCTCCCCTTTACTTAAATACCACAATGTGGTTTGAGTTGTGAATCTATTGAAGACATCTTTGATGAATCAACAGTCAAGGCATATGTAGAAAGTGATTTGGAAAATTTTTCCTGGGTTGTTGGTGGGGGAAGGGAGATAGTGTTGGGACATTTTCCATTCTCGTTCCTGCTTTTTCATTGGCCCCTGCCGCTTCCTAAGTCTATCTGCTGTTAAATGAAGATAACTCCCTCTCTCATACCCCAACGTCTCATCTCTCAGGGCTTTCTGGAGTACGACAGACTAATTGCAAAGAAATTTGACCTTCTTGGATAACTGGTGCCATCTAAATACCACGCGTTATTCCCCTGTCAGACACTCTAACGTAGGATGAGCCAGGCTGAAATCTTCCAAAAGCTGTGGAGGATAAATAAGCTCACATTCCAACTCAAAAATCAACAATAACAAAAAAGCCAAGCATAGTGAAAAATGATAAAGATCAGCCTCCGCTGTCACCTTTTTCATTCATACCATTGTACTTTTGGGGTCTATGTCATGGGGATGGTTCCTATGTCAATCCTAATGATAAAGCTTGAGTTTGGTTTACGTCTGTGCTGCGATTATTCATCTTCTTTCAAGCACTATTT
Source organism: Homo sapiens (assembly GCF_000001405.40). NCBI lineage: Eukaryota > Metazoa > Chordata > Mammalia > Primates > Hominidae > Homo > Homo sapiens. The sequence continues at coordinate 32,704,127 of NC_000015.10, read as the reverse complement.
CTTACTTTATCAACCAGGAAGGCGGGAAAAAATGATCTCTAAAATTCTACGGTTTTTCACTTTTCTCCTTTGGAGCTATTATAAGATAGTAAATTGATGGTAAAACTGAGATCAGGACAGCTGGGCTCTACTTTGAATTTTCATAGAGCTTCAGCTTACCTGGGTTTTGGCTATCCCTATATGGAAAATATAGATCAGTGGTCTTCAGCGTTTTTGGCACCAGGGACTATTTTTGTGGAAGACAATTTTTCCGTGGATGGCAAGGGGCATATGGTTTTGGGATGAAACTGTTCCACCTCAGATTATCAGGCATTAGATTCTCATAAGGAGTGTGCAACCTAGATCCTTCACATGGACAGTTCACAATAGGGTTTGCACTCCTATGAGAATCTAATGCTGCCACTGATCTGACAGGAGGCGGAGCTCAAGCCGTAATGTTCACTCGACCGGGGCTCACTTCCTCCTGAATGGCCCAGTTCCTAACAGACCACAGACCAGTATTGGTTGGTGGCTCAGGGGTTGGGAACCCCTGATGTAGCTGATACCTGACTCCTCAGGAGACAGGCTTTTGGAAGCAAACTGGAACACCAAATAGATGCACTCCCACAGATGTTGAAGTTGGAAGAGAAAGAAAAACATCTATTTTTCTGCTGCTGTTTCTGCTATGAGAGATGGTAGCTGCAGGCAGACTCACCATTCTTGTGTCAAGACAATGACTTTGGGAGTATCACACATCATTGGTAGTGATGTGGTGGTGGCAGTGACACCAACCACTATTTCCTGACCTCTGGATTCCAGCTATGTGCGTGACCTTGAACTGGTTAAACTGAACTGTGGATCCCTGCCTCATGCTCCTCCACTTCTTTAAATAATTTTGTAAGCACATAATTCCTTGCATTAAATCCCTTTCATATGGAAATATCCAGAGTAAAGAGTTTGTTTCTTGCCCTGAAATCTGATGAATTCTGAATTTGGCATCTAAATAGAGGTTTAACACAGGTGCCATATTGCAGGGAATTTCACATCACAGGATCTTCACATCAATATGATAAGGTAAGTATTACCTTTCCCATTGGTTACATGAAAGAACTAAGGTTTAGTGAGATGGAATTATTTGCTCAAGGCCACACAACTTGTAAGTCACAGAACCCGTCAAATGCAAATCTAATTACAAAGTTTTTGTATCTAACTACTCTGTTAAACTGTGATGCCATGGGATCAAGTGTGTAATAATAGTGTACAAATAGCTGAATATTTATGGTTGCAAATGTGCTTTAAACTCCATGAAGGAAGAGCCTATATCTTATACCTCTTTAGTAAGACTCCCCAGTCCCAGAATATAGCTCAGTATTTGGCACATAGAATAGATCCTTGATAAGTTACTGCTGAATGAATAAATGAATGGTATCGTGATGAGTCCTAACAAGGAAGGTGACACCTTGTGGGGAAGTCACTATAGTTTCCAAATGGGCTTTATTAAGATGCGTCTCACTCCTCAGGTGTTCAGTTGCCACTGCTAAAAGCCATTACAAATATTTTTGTTTCCTGTGTGTATAGTTATGGTTTCTGTTCAGAAGAATGGCTTATCAACAAGTTCTACTGGCACATAACATTCATCAAACAATAGAACATTCAGTCTATTAGGATGGGCTGTTAGGTTTTTCTAACTCAGCCCATCTTATAGCAGCTCTTTTCTAAAAGAGCCTTTCTTTTGCAACTTATAAGTTAATAAGTTTTTAAACCCAAATTCAAGGACATGGTTCTACAAGAATCTTTGCAAACACCCTGCCTTTACTTGTGGCCTTCAGAAGCCGATGTGTGACACCCATAAATGTCTTACCAACTTTCTCCATGGATTCCTCTGTGCCCATTTGGAATCAAGTTTTCTTTTACTATATAGTTACGATAATTTTCAGTGGCCCTTGCCTTCTCACGGGGCTTTCTGGCCACCAAATCTGCCATATTCTACACATTTTCTTTTAATTGCCAAACCCATGTGTATTTTAGCAGGAAATTTGATCCACATGTTTCTGATTCACCTACACTTAAGTCACCAGACAATTTTGGAAGAGCAGCCTGATGGCCAAAAAGGCTTGGTAGAGTCTCCTTTCCCTTTAGAAACAGAAAGTTGAGTATGTGAAGTACAAGCTCCCCGAATCTTGCCAGGACTGGGCTGTTGGTAAAACCCAGGCTTCAGGAGGCTTCAAAGAATACTACTTTCTCAAGATATACTCCTGGCTAGGTGTGCCAATTGACTTTCTAAATTATGTCCTGGAGCACTTTGAAAGTTGATGGCCTGGATACTTCCCTGACCCCTCCTTAGGACTTTCCTCCTACCCTCCAAGTTTGCTTCTCATTGAGTGGCCAATGTTTCCCCAGGTTTCTCTGTTCTAATCCCCAAGGCTGTTGCCACAGCACATGATACCAGTGAAGGGCTGGGATATGCCTTCTGCACTGCCCATGTGGCTTTCCCATGGTCAGAGAGGGAACACTGGTCGATGAAAACCCACAGCAGAACCCAATGCTCTGTCTGCCCACAGATCTGCCTTGATGGTGAGCAGGGCCGTCCCACGCATCTGGTCTGTCTCCCTAATAAATGAATCATGCACAACCGTCATGGTGTGCAGCAAACTGAGATATTTGGCAGGAACTCTGTGCCTTGACACTTCCTGAACTACCGACACTTGAGCAGTGACTCAGAAAAGAAGCGGGTAGTTCTACTGGCTGATTCTATGAAAGACTTGAGGGCCGGGCGCAGTGGCTCACGCCTGTAATCCCAGCACTTTGGGAGGCCGAGGCGGGCGGATCACAAGGTCAGGAGTTCGAGACCATCCTGCCAAACGTGGTGAAACCCCGTCTCTATTAAAAATACAAAAAAAATTAGCCAGGTGTGGTGGTGGGAGCCTGTAGTCCCAGCTACTCAGGAGGCTGAGGCAGGAGAATGGCGTGAACCCAGGAGGCGGAGCTTGCAGTGAGCCGAGATCGTGCCACTGCACTCCAGTCTGGGCGACAGAGCGAGACTCCGTCTAAAAAAAGAAAAGAAAGACTTGAGAACCATGTTCACAACTTCACATCAATCTGTAAATCCCACCAAAGTGAGAGGTAATTCCACCTTTCCCTCTGTACACAGTCTAAGATGATTTACCTTTTATGACGTCTTTAAAACATTCCATCATGCTCATTCATTCAGCAGTTATTATTGCCTTTGTTAGGCCGCGTGCAAGATATCAAGATAAAAAGAAAAATGAGACACAGCCTATGGCTTCAAGGAGCTTATAACCCAGTTGAATGAGGCACATATATAATAAGTAAACAAGTATTAGGTGTGCCAAATTAAGTTCAGCCCAAAGCTGCCTCCTTACATAGTGAAAGCTCGGCCTAAAGTTTTCTCTGTACATAGCAAACTGTAACCTAGCTGGATGTGTAAACAGGCTGTAACCTACTCTTGTGCCAATCACTGAGATTCGGCCAAAGGTGGCCAACTGTTCAAACCATGTTCAGATAAGGCAAACACTGAAATGTAACCAATACGGCTGTTTCTGTCCCTCACTTTTCGTGTACCTCACTTTCCTTTTGCTGTCCATCGGTTGTCTTCAACCACACGGCAGTGCAGAGTCTCTCTGAACCTGTTTTGCAAATTGCTCTTTACTCAAAGTCTGTTCAGTTTAATCTGTCTAAGGTTTCTCTTTTAACAGGTGGTAGTGTGGTACAGGGGAGAGTGTCTACTGTGGAGTCCCAGAGGCCTAAATTCAAGTTCCAACTCTGCCACTTACTAGTTGAGGAGTTTTGGTTAAGTCATGGAATCCGTCTGCCTCAATGGCTTCATCTATAAAATGTAGGGCGGGATGTTTAAATGAACAATGTATACAGAGCTTGTTATGTATATAGAGTAACTCTTATCATTATGCCCCGTTTCAGGGACTGTATGAAAGTATGCGTGGGGTCCCACAGGAACACAAAAAGGGATCATAAGAGAGAAGTAATTAACCATGTCCTCCCCTACCCACTCGCAGCTAGAAGAATGAGTTCCTCTAGCTGACAATCTATTTTATTTATTTATTTATTTTTGAGACGGAGTTTCGCTCTTATTGCCCAGGCTGGAGTGCAATGGCGCCATCACGGCTCACTGCAACTTCCACCTTCCGGGTTCAAGTGATTCTCCTGACTCAGCCTCCCAAGTAGCTGGGATTACAGGCATGCGCCACCAGGCCTGGATAATTTTTTTTTTTTTTTTTTGTACTTTTAGTAGAGATGGAGTTTCACCATGTTGGTCAGGCTGGTCTTGAACTCCTGAGCACAGGTGATCTGCCCACCTTGGCTGGATCACAAAAGTGCTGGGATTACAGGCGTGAGCCACTGTGCCTGGCCGACAATTTATTTTTAATAAATGTTCCCATTTTCCTGGCTCTCCTGTCCCCCTGGCCAAGGCAGTGGCACTTTAGTGATCACCATGTGATCCTGTGACAGATAGGGGATCTGGAGGGTTTCGTTCTCCAGGACCTAACCCTGTGGCTGGTATCTGTGAGATTTATATGTGAAGCCTGGTATCTCTCAAAGGTTTCAAAGGAAAGAGGAGGAGAAAAGATGTTTCTGCTATTCCTTTGTGCCTAGCTGAGTAAATAGGAAAGGTCCTCGTCGCAGCCTTGCCAAAGAAATAGAATTCTGTTCCAGGAGTCTTGGGAAGTGTGGAGTCAGGGTCATGCTGCTCCTCATTGTGTGGCAGTGACTGTGGAACTGTGGATCGAGTGGATGACTCAGTTTTCCAAGCTCATATCACCTCCAGGTAGCTGCCCAACCCAGACAGACCCCCAACTCACTGGCAGAAACACTTCCAACTCTGAATTGCTCCCTTCAGGACCTCCAGGTGTGTTCCGGAACACTGCATCTTTGGGTGTAAACACATTTGGAAGAGCCATCCCTAGAAGACTCAGCCTGGTGACCTGGCACGTGACTCACTTTGAAGGCAGTGGGAGGGGAGGATGGCTTTGCACAAACGCTGTAGGAAACACTCAACAATCTATTTTCTCTCTCCCAGTAGCAAGAACGGAGGAAATTCTCTTCTAGAATGACTCCATTGTAAACCCCTCCTCATGCTGTGTGACTGCTCTGAGGCTCCAGCTGGCTGTGTCCACAGTGGGAGTTCAATCAGGATGAATGGCTGTGGTGCTAGCACCATCCTCTTCTTTTGTTCTCCACATGTCTCTGGGGTGACTATAACCACCTTTCTGGTTTCAAAGATCCTCAGCTGGAGCATTGTGGGAAGACTGAGATAGGAGTAATGACCCTCTCCAGCCCACAGGCAAATCCCTCTGTCTGTGCTGCAGATGCCCAGCTGACTCCATTCAGAAAGAAAGGGCCTTTCTGAGTCTGTCTAATGGAGGTTCTCCTTGTCTCCTGCCTCTAAGTTTCCTATTTTTTTTTCCAGGAAAATCCCTTCTCCTTCCAGCCACTCTGACTTCACTATCTAGTTCATCACCACTAGCCCCAGCCAGATTTTCTCTCCCGTGGATCCCTCTGCTACTTCCCTAGCACCTTGGGACAACTCTTCATTCACCTTCCTTTTTGGCTTCCTCACATTGTCCACAGCCTTATGTAGCCTTATTCTACCTTGTCCAACATTGCTATTTCCAGGCCAGTTTTTTGTTGTTTTTTTTTTTTTTGAGACGGAGTCTCACTCTTGTCACTTAGGCTGCAGTGCAGTGGTGCCATCTCAGCTCACTGCAACCTCTGCCTCCTGGGTTCAAGCAATTCTCCTTCCTCAGCCTTCGAAGTAGCTGGGATTACAGGCATGCGCCACCACACCCAGCTAATTTTGTATTTTTAGCAGAGACAGGGTTTCTCCATGTTGGTCAGGCTGGTCTCGAACTCTCGACCTCAGGTGATCCGCCTGCCTTGGCCTCCCAAAGTGCTGGGATTACAGGCATGAGGCACCACACCTGGACTCCAGGCCAGTTCTTACCATGATCTACTCTTACTTTTTAACCATTAACTGTGGTTCTATTGTTGAATTTTTCAAATACATACAAACATAGAAATAAGAAGTGCAAGCCAGATGCGAGGGCTCATGCCTGTAATCCCAGCACTTTGGGAGGCCGGGGTGGGCGGATCACTTGAGGTCAGGAGTTTTGAGAGCAGCCTGGCCAACATGATGACACCAAGTCGCTACTAAAAATACGAAAATTAGAGGGTGTGGTGGTGGATACCTGTAATCCCAGCTATTCCGGAGGCTGAGGCAGGAGAATCGCTTGAACCCAGGAGGTGGAGGTTGCGGTGAGCTGAGATCACACCAGTGCACTCCAGCCTGGGTGATACATCAAGACTCTGTCTCAAAAACAAAAAAAAAAGCAACAAAAAAAAAGATATAAGAAGTACAATGAACTCCCAAGTACCCTTGACCCAGCTTCAACAGTTATCAGTGTATGGCCAGTCTTGATTATCTATATCCCCATTCCCTCCTGGCCCTCCACCTCATCACTACCACTGGATTATTTTAAAGAAATCCAAGACATCATATCATCTGTAAATAATTCAATATTTATCCCTAAGATATAAGGGCTCTTTTAAAAAAATAGCCATAATATAATACTGTGTAACACTTGAATCATACCAAAATATTCAGTTACTACTCAAACTTCCCTGACTGTCTGATCAATGCTTTTCTTTGAGTCAGGATGCAAATAAGACCCACACACATTATATTTGGCTCGTATGTCTCTTAAGCCTTTTAAAATCTATGATAGTACCCCACCATTTTTCCCTCCTATCATTTATTTGTTGGAAAAATCTAGGCTACTTATCCTGTAGAGACTCTTCATGCTGGATTTTGCTGATGATTCCCAATGGTGTGTTGAACGTATCTCAGTGTGTTGAATGCATCTCAGTTCTACCATCTGTAAAATGGGGATAATACCAGACCCATTAAGTTCACAGCATTATTGTTTGGATCATATACTATCATATATGTAGATCAGGTTGTTCTATTAAACAAAGAAATTGTTCTTTATAATGCTTTAAAAAGAAAACTCCATATGCCAATGCTTGCATTCATGTTTATTAAGACGCAGCCAAGTGAAATGTGTCAGCTCCTCCTCTTGAGTACAGCCTTCTTTACTGGTGTATAACAATGCCCAAGGGCTGGATGAACTACATAATCAAAATCAAATGACAGCTTTCTACAGACTTGGCCAAAATAGTACAACCTCAGACACCATTTTAAACTGCAAGAAATCTGAGCCTTTCATAGTCTTGCTTTTTATTGTTGACATTCACATTTTAATTTTTATGATCATTGCAGATTCACATTTTAAAAACCCAAGAAACAAAAAAGCTCTTATTCTAATTTAGCAAAAAGCAGAATCATCGGTGTGAAGACAATACACTATCTACATACAGCTGCTTTGTATCCATAATTATCTATGTAAGAAACATGCTGTCATTCACAGGGACTCCATTTACACGTGCACATAAGCCATGCTGAGGCCTAACAGGTAATGTGGGTTTTCGTCTAGCATCTTCTCTTTACTCTGGATCCTTATCCTCATCTGAAAAATGGGGGACAGACTTCTTTGCAACAACATTATCCAGTCTCTGTCCTTGTAGATATGGATTGACACTCTGAAAAACAAACAAACAAAAACCATGTGGTTTGGTGTTATATGTGAACATCAGATACAGACATCTCAGAAAAGAAATGAACAAGAATCGTTTCTGGGGCCGGGCGCGGTGGCTCACGCCTGTAATCCCAGCACTTTGGGAGGCCGAGGTGGGCAGATCACGAGGTCAGGAGATCGAGACCATCCTGGCTAACACGGTGAAACCCCGTCTGTACTAAAAATACAAAAAATTAGCCGGGCGTGGTGGTGGGTGCCTGTAGTCCCAGCTACTTGGGAGGCTGAGGCAGGAGAATGGCGTGAACCCGGGAGGCGGAGCTTGCAGTGAGCAGACGTCATGCCACTGCACTCCAGCCTGGGCGACAGAGCAAGATTTTGTCTCAAAAAAAAAAGAAAAAAGAAAAGAAAAGAATTGTTTCTGGCCTATTAGGTTAACAACAATGTAACCAGTGGCACCTACCAACTACCAAACAATTACTCCAGTGTACTAATTAATACCTCAGTGGCCTATGAAACATTTTCTGACTGATAGATGTCTCTAATTGTGTTTTTCACACAACTATAGAGCTCTTTATCAGATACAATGTGGTCTTTTTAAAAATTATTATTTTTGGTGCAAAGAAGTGCAGTAAACCACCTCATAAGTCCTTGCTACTAATTTAGATACCAAGACCCATAAGAAAGATAATTATTATTCTATGGCCCTATTTAGGTAGGAAGGGGAATCTGAAATGCATTAAATTATATTTTGCAAGAAAAACGTTCTAAAGGAGAAGAGTAGGGCCAAGTGGGAATTAACATCTGAAGACTGGTCCCAGATCATCCTGTTGCTGGGATTGATTCTTCCTCGCCAGTATTTTACTAAGGAGAATTCATTAGGGGCTCGAGTGATCATTTCCACCTTCCTTCAGTCAAATTCAAAAACTGAAGCAAAAAAGGAAGCTTCCGGGAAGGGTCCTTTGTTTTTGACTCAAGACTCCATACTCTGAAATCACTTTCATGTGTTGGTATTCTTAATGAGTAAATATTTTTCCATTCCTTCTCTAATACATATCTATTTATTGAGGTGTGGATTCGAACTAGTAATTGAAACTTTACAAAATAGTATTTAGCAAGCAGAAGAAAAATTCAAAAGTTTTGGAAGATGTTTGTTCATTGAAGTTGCCTTCCAATAATGGAACAAAAATATAAGAAAGAAGCTGTAGCCAGGCGCGGTGGCTCACGCCTGTAATCCCAGCACTTTGGGAGGCCTAGGTGGGCGGATCACAAGGTCAGGAGATCGAGACCATCCTGGCTAACACGGTGAAACCCCGTCTCTACTAAAAATACAAAAAATTAGCCAGTCGTGGTGGTGGGCCCCTGTAGTCCCAGCTACTTGGGAGGTTGAGGCAGGAGAATGGCAGGAACCTGGGAGGCGGAGCTTGCAGTGAGCCGAGATTGCGCCACTGCAGTCCAGCCTGGGCGACAGAGCGAGACTCCATCTCAAAAAAGAAAAAAAAAAAAAAAGAAAGAAAGAAGCTGTAGTTACAAACGATCAGCAATCCCTGTTGCATGCTCAATCCCCATGTATGAATGGAGTCTGTTCACAGGTGGAGCTCTCTTGCCCATGAAATAACCTGCCATGACTCTTGAAAGGTGAGCAGACATTCTTCAAAAGAGAAGGAATGAAACCTGAGTTTAGCATTTACAAATGTTCTTTCACATTCTGACTGCTAAACGCATGAATCGTGAAAGGTCCGACTCACTCTACAAAGATGCATCACAAAGTAGGTGAGAATTACAAAGTGAGCAATGTCCTCAGACACTTGAAAAGTGACATGCCACAAGACAACACCTTGCTGAGAATTCATCTTAGAAATATTTAAAATAATAAAAATTCCTTTTATCAATTACAGTGGTTTGGCCTACCCCAGGGGATCATATCAGAATTTTGTTTAGTAATATTTATTCCAAAAATTCTAATATGTTAAAGGAGGATATGAGAGGTTCAAGTTTATCAAATATGAGATTAAAAGGTTCATAAACTGTTTAAATAAGATCAATAGTAGAGCTCAAATATTAACAAGATACAGCTTAAGAGTTTAAAAGTTCACAGTCATTTAAAGGTAGATTGACATTTCATTTGTGAAGCAATGAGGAATTCAATTGGATTTGGGTGAGTACAAAAAGTTGTTCAAAGCCATATGGGGCTTGGTTGCAACTTTGAGGAGAATCTATCTCTCATGGGAGAAGTCCTGCCCAGACCTACAACATGCAAAGGTTGGAGGGGAGGGGAAAAATTAATGAGGAGGTAAAAAGAGGAATCAGGTGAACTTTTTTGATAAATATTTAACTGAGTATTGAATCCAGCACTTAGGAATAATAATAATGAGCTTTGGGTTTGTTTTTGTTTTGTTTTGCTTTGTTTTGAGATGGAGTCTCACTCCATTACCCAGGCTGGAGTGCAGTGGTATGATCTCGGCTCACTGCAAACTCCACCTCCCAGGTTCAAACGATTCTCCTGCCTCAGCCTCCCGAGTACCTGAGATAACAGGAGCATACCACCACGCCCGGCTAATTTTTGTACTTTTAGTAGAGATGGGGTTTCACCATGTTGGCCAGGCTGGTCTTGAACTACTGACCTCAGGTGATCCACCCTCCTCGGCCTCCCAAAGTGCTGGGATTACAGGCGTGAGCCACCATGCCTAGCTGAGCCTTGGCTTTAATTGTGCTCTGAAAAACTCAAGGCACTGCTATATTTGTCTTCTCTCACTTGGGCAAGAGATTGGGTAGGGCACACAGAGAACATGATTCCCATTTCACAACTGGAAGAACCACTGGGATTGGATCTTTGCTTACAATGTCCTCTGGAAACTCACAGCAGATGCTGAGCTTCACTGAAGGAAGACTTCATTGTTCAAAAAAGAAAGCGTATAGTTTCTTTATATTGATTCATGTACTGGGGGTGGTGGTGGGGCAGTGTTAATGTCTTTAATCAAGATGGGAACATCATCTGAGACCTCATGATGGGCAGGGCCAACGTGCTTCCTTATCAATCCAGAGAGGCCCATGGTTTATGGCATGAGAATGGGTCTTTGTAGATGCCCAAGAACAGGAAGAACTTGATATCTCTGGGTCAAAGTGACCCTTCTTTTCCTAAATTCTAAGCCTTTCCTATGTGGAGGAAATTGAGGCTAAAGTAAAATCCTTTATAGCATGTGTCTTAGCCAGCATTCTGAGTTTTGGTAATCACTAGTCTCACGGAAAAATGACCTAAATCGTGACCATGGTCATTCACTGAGTCAGGGCAGAAGGAATGGTGGGCCAGGAAGTAGAGACAATTAAAGTTTCAAGCTAAGTTATTGATTTTGGGTCAGTCATTGCTCTTATTTGGAAATGTTCTTGTTGTGTTGTAGGGAGATATTCAAGCCGTGTTACTGGTAAATTATGTGTATTTTGAGTTCCTAGAATAGAATTTCTTGATGTTCCCTCAAGACCACATTATACCCTTTGGACCCTTTCTGTCACCATCTGCTATTGGAAGCTGTAATCACCAAGAAAAACCCCTAATAACTCTGTTAACTCTCCTCAAAAAAGATTTGTTTCCAGAGGTAAAAATTTTCTACTTCTCGCGTAGAAAATTGCTGTATGTCTTCTGTGTTTTGTCAGGCAGTACAGGGGCTTGGAACCTTCTGTTGTGGGGGCCTGAGGACTGATGCTGAGGCCAGAAAATCCACACCTCTTGAAGCTCTCTCTGACCGGATTTGGCAAAACCCTTCAGAATGGCCACAATTACCACTGCCCAGATTCCCAAATTTTGTGAGGATCCAGGCACTTGCTCTTCTGAATAAATAGTCAGTGGCTTTGAGTACGTGCTTAGGTTTGTATGTTTTAACTAAAATGGTCACTATCTCATAGCATTTTACCATGTAACAGTGGGGTTGTTTTTTCTCCCACTTTCATCTGATCAGATAAAGAAGGAGGTAGGTGGCCAGGCCCTTCTGACTAGTAAGGTACCAGTGGATTAGCAGAATGGACCTTGATCACTTATCAAGTCTTGATGCTATAAAATACCCTGGAAAGCCAAAGCAAATGTGACATTGAGTTTTACGTGAGGCAACACTGTATATGAAGTAGCTAAATGTGGAGTATCTAGACCAAGTTCCTACCTTGGGCAGCCCTGGGATGGTTAAAAACTAAGCCTGCAGTAAATTCAACAGACAGCAAACAAATATTACAGATCTAGTAGATTTTACATCAGTCTGGCTAGGCCAAGAAAAAAAGATACATAGGAGAAATTAAGTTTGTTCATCTCATCTTTTGCTCCCGAATTCCTTCAAAGTTATTTCCTGGAGCATGCAGTTCAGCACTTCCCTGTTTCTGTCCTGTGTTTTTATAGAATTGATGCAGATGTGTGATCAGTTTTTCCCCACTGGCCTACAGACCCTGGGAGGGCAGACAGACCCTCATGTCCCCCCAGATATGTCCCACACTGATGGGGGAAGCAATACACATTTCCTGAACGGAATGGAGTTGCTAGAATTGCTACAGACTGCGCGTTCCACTAAAAATCATCTGCTAAAGCCTGGGGAAGCCATCGCAGAAACCAAGGACAGACTTTCTGGGTGTGGCCCTTGTCACATGGACCAGTGTTTCTCAGGACTACACAAGGGAGGATTCTGTGACTTCCCAACAAGCGAGGGTTTCAGCCTGTTCACTGCCCCACTCAGAAAGCTCCAAGCATCCCCGCAACAATCCAGCCAGGCACGTGTTACCCTCCGCTTTCGTCTCTCTCCTCCCTTCATCTTCTCGTAAAGGAGTTTCTTGTTCTAGAATGGGGAGAAAAGAAAACAAAAAATGCAGAAGTATGGATCAAATTTGGTGAATGTCTATTTTAAAAGCAATACTTGGTGTGTCCCCTAGATATTTGCATACGCATATTTTGGAAACAAAACTAGATGAAAGGAATGTCGTGTCAGAAAGATAGACCACAAGAGTAAAGCTGGTGGTGGTTCGGCTTTTAATAAAGTCCTCTGCAATGCCCTGAGGCACACCAGTGTCATCAACAATCACATAAACAGGGAAATACGACATTTTAAAACATGAAGGGTGCTGGAAACCCATCTCCTCACTTTGAACAGCCTTTGTTTAAAACAAATGATTTTATCTCATTTATTTTTGTATCTAACTCCCTTTTTATAAACTGCTCTCTAGAGTAGCGTCTGACTATTAACAACAATCCCCTGTGTAAATAAACGAGACATTCTGACTTCTGCAACCATTTTGTCTGTGGCGTTAAGTCAGTGCCCCCAGTCAAGACAATTGGAAAACCATTTGGTCTATAACATTTTTAATAGAGTGAACCTTTTAAAAACTGCCAAAAAACTTCTTGGCAGAAAGGAAAGTTATGTTGGGTCGGGGGGCAGGGCTCTGTTACCACAGTTTGTGTAAGTGTTTCCACACATTGCTGTATTTCAAACACATAGTGGGCTTCAATGAGCTCTAGAATATCAGACACATGCTCAACAGATTTCCCTTCTATTGAGATTATAAAAGACAGAACACTTAACCTGAAGGCAGAAAGGGAGAAGGGGATTTGGTGGCGGTGGGGGGGGGCTTTACTTGTGTTGTTTTATTTATTTGATTTTTTTTATCTGGAGGAAAATGATGTATAAAAGAGGTGATTCGTTTTGTTCTAAATAAAATACTCTGACATTAAGAAAAAAAAAAAACAAAGACAACCACAGAGTTCTGGTAAGGAACAAGTTTATACAACATGTATCCTCTGAGCTGTCCACTTATAAAGACTTATTTTTAGTGATAGATTTGGAATTGAAAATGACAAATGCCAAGAATGAGCTTCATCATTTTTCACGTTCATTAAAATCTACCCCACCTGCAATTTACAATGCATATCTCTTGCCCAACCTCAACTATGCAAGGAGGCGGTGCCAGAGTGAAGGAGCCTCTACTACCAAAAACACCAGTACTGGCTACAGCCTCTATCTCCTGCTCACTTGGGGAATAAATCAATTTAATATCGGAAGGGAGAAAAGGCAGACTTGCAGATCATTTCCTTGAGGAATGAGGATATTGCTGTGAGGCTCATTCTCTACAGTCTGTGGTTGCCTTTCTGTGAACGTAAAAACTCCTGAGGCAGAGAATATCCGAAGAGCTGGTGTTAGAGCTGGGAAGGCCGGGAAGGGGTGAGGACATGTCTTCTTCATGTGTACCATTGTTTTCAGCTGCCTGAGCTGGATGGAGTGTGGAAGAACCTGAGAGCTACTACCATGGGGTGGGACTGTCAGCCAGCTCTGGCAGAGTTCCACTGTGCCATCAGCCAGGTAAAGCCAGCATCATTTAATTCTTTAGGAGATCTTGGGGGCAGATCCTACCCATAAGAGTCTTCATTCAAAAAGAAATGTGCCCCAGCACTTTGGGAGGCCGAGGTGGGAGGATCACGAGGTCAGGAGATCGAGACCATCCCGGCTAACACGGTGAAACCCCGTCTCTACTAAAACTACAAAAAATTAGCCGGGCGTGGTGGCGGGCGCCTGTAGTCCCAGCTACTCAGGAGGCTGAGGCAGGAGAATGGCATGAACCCAGGAGGCAGAGCTTGCAGTGAGCTGAGATTGCGCCACTGCACTCCAGCCTGGGGGACAGAGCGAGACTCCGTCTCAAAAAAAAAAAAAAAAAAGAAATGCAAAAGGCCTGGCTAATCTTCCTCTCAAAGATGGTCCCTGTGTCTCCTTAAGAGCTAGGGTTAGGATTAGCAGGATAATGCTTCCCTACCCCTGCATGAAAGTGTCTGGGACATTCTTAATTAGCCCTATTATTGTATGGACTTGAAGGCATTGGCAGGTATGGTATGGGTAAGAGAAGCATACAAATTGAATGAAAAGAAATCAGCTATCTCTCCTCACGCCCATTCCTTGTTGATTCCTTGGGGAGTGGTGAGCCTGTTTTCCATGTGAGTAGCAGGTTCAAGTTCATTAAAAGGGCTTTCCATAGTGCCATCAAGATTTTGGACAACTGTCCAGATCCTGGTTTCAAATTACACTCCTAAATACAGCCAGGGAGCTTCCTGGAGAAAAGTCTAATTCCAGGGCTAGGAAGGAAAGTGCAAGGATGGGTGAAGATGGAATAGCTAATTAGGTCAGAAAATAAAGAAGTGCTCAAAAAAATGATGAGGTCCTGTCAAAAGGAAAGAAAAGAAAGCTTGAGGAGACTCGCACTGGCCAAATTTAGGACAGTTTGAACACCAGAATACATAATAATATGCATTATGGAATCCATGAATCCATACTTATACTATATAAATAAACACATTTATAAATAAATAAATAAATAGAACAGCAGGGGAAACTCTTGCTTAGAATAGAATGTCAACTAGTAAATGCAGAAAGAATAGCGGAGTAAGAAAATCATCATTTTGCAGCTATCATCATTATTGAATCTGGTAAGCATCATCAATGGATGTTATATTTGTTGGTTAAAAGTTGAACGAGGAGCAGAATATTTACACAGCCCCAAAACTTCTTCCCACAGAGTAACTATTAATTTCTTTTTTTTTTTTTTTTGAGACGGAGTCTTGCTCTTTTGCCCAGGCCGGACTGCAGTGGCACTATCTCGGCTCGCTGCAAGCTCCGCCTCCTGGGTTCACGCCATTCTCCTGCCTCAGCCTCCCAAGTAGCTGGGACTACAGGCACCCGCCACCGCGCCCGGCTAATTTTTTTGTATTTTTAGTAGAGACGGGGTTTCACTGTGTTAGCCAGGATGGTCTCGATCTCCTGACCTCATGATCCGCCTGCCTCGGCCTCCCAAAGTGCTGGGATTACAGGTGTGAGCCACTGTGCCCGGCCTATTAATTTCTAAGGGAATTTTACACCAGAGAAACCTGGAGGGCAGCACCTTAACAAAGTGAACACTGCCAGTCATGAGACAAACTTCCCTGACATCATGTGCTTGCTGATGTAAAATACTAAGTAGGACATAAAATACTAAGCAGGTCTAATCACATGGAAACCTGAGTCAAATCCACATTGAAGAGCATTCAACTCATCAAACATGTTAAGGTCAGGAATGACAAAGCAAGTCAGGGAGGGGTCTGGTCCCTCATATCCCCGTGGCTCAGGCTCTGGCTGTGATCAGCTACTGATGAAAAGGTGTGAAAGCATTTGGAAAGGAAAAATATTTGCTTTTTGAGACAACTTTTTCTTAAGTAAATAACACTCAGCAGTTAATGTGTAAAGGGGGAGTGGGTAGCTGGCATGTACAGGAGCCAGCCATTGGTGTGGTCACCACTGGTGTAGTCACACACATTGTCTGGAAGGCAGCCAGCCCTCGGTAGGACTCAATAGGACTACCACACAGGACAGGTTAGGAGCAATGAGCCATGAAAAGATAGGGAATGTATTCAGCTTGTAAAGTACTCTGGAGTCAGATGATGGGGTTCAAATCCCAGCTCTGTGGGCTGAGCAGGCTCCTCAGCTCCCCAAGCCTGCATTTTCTCATCTGGAAAGTGAGAATGACAAGGATGGGCAGATTGAATAAGATTACTGAGTATTTAGAAAGGAGTCTGGCATATAGTATGTGGTCAATAAATATTACTATTTACTATTGTATTATATAGTATTATGTATTATGTAATACAATTACTATTATCATTCATCTTTGTATTCCCATTACCTAACACGGGGCCCGGAAGGCATATGATGTGTCGTTAATAAATGTGTCTTGATGCACTAACGAAGAGAGAAATGCAGGAAACAAGACAGACACTGAAATGTGTAATATGTGAATCACTGTTAAAGATGCAGCTCAGCTCCAGCTACTGTCAAAAACAAGGAAGCGTTATTAGCAGATAAGGAAGCAGGGTCTTTGTGCTGTTCTATCATGAAAGATGATGACTCTGTTAACTTAAAGGATGGCTGGGCTGAAGACAAGCTTGAGACTGTCATTCCATATAAGCACTGAGGAAGGTTTGTGGTTCCCAGTTTAGAAAAGCAAGACATACTCAATTCCCACTTCCATGTGAAAACCAAGGAAACAATGTTTTACTGGTAGGTAGTAATGAGAAAATAAACAAGGAGACCTAAGTTTAAGTAAACACATAATTGCAGATGATAAAAGGTATCTAAACATTGTTCCTGGTCATTGATCTCTAATATTTTCCTTTTACATTTGATCCTAGATTCTAGTCTTTAGCTCTAATGTGGACAAAGAATAGGAAACACTGAGAGAAACTCAAGTCAGTGTTTCGAGAAGGAAGCACAGAGAATGAAGGACCGTGGTTGGCCTCATACTGGGGCACTGGAAGTGAGTGGAATTTGATGAGAGAAATCTGTGAAGATTTTCAAGAAGAGATGAAGAGAGCTGAAAAGAGATGTTTTCATCCCTCCCACCTCATCATGCCACCAACTGGGCTCCTTGCCTTCACTCACACCTTGACTCAGTCTCCCTCCTTTCTTTCTCTCATTCCTAGCCTACTGGTGAAGCTGAAGACTTTCCCACCTGAAACTTCAGTGCTGCCCTCCTTAGTGCCTTTGACTTCCTCTGTGGCTACTACCCCAATCAGCCACACCAGTCCTCAGTTCTGGATCTTCCTCTACCCTTGTCTTCCATCTTCCCTAATAATTGCCCCTGGCCCTCAGAATACAGACGAAACATGAAGTGGAGCGGTGCTAAGTTGGGTTCATTTCATTTTCATGCAATTCATCTCAACCGTGGGACTATAAGCTCTCTGAAGACCAGCACCATGTCCTGATGACTCCTGCATACTGAGCATCTAGCACAGTGCCTGGAACACAGCAGGCTCAATGTGTTCTCTTTGTGCCTTATCGAACCTGGCTTTTGCTTCTGTTTGGCAATGCTTCGATCACCTCTTGTGGATCTCTTCCCAGTACTCCTCCGCAATCTACTCTTTCCCTCACTCTCTCTTCTCTTTTTTATGTCCTTCCTCCCTCTATTCCTCTCTTTTCTTTCTTTCTAAAATGCATTCAAAGAAAAAGTTCATATTGTCCATTTCATATGAACCTGACATATCTCTTCTTTCTTCTTCATGTTATATTTATTCCGTATACCAATTCTAGTTAGTTTTTCCCCCTTTAAAATGTCTTGGATTCTCACCCTTCTTCACGGTGTTCACAGTCATCATAACTGAAATGACTCCCCATATTTTCTTCCTGTCTAGGGTTAGTCTCTTCTCCTTTTACTTCATCCTTTAATATGCCATCAAAATAACTTCTTTTATAGAAGGCTTTTATTATTTCAGTCTCCTATTCGAGAACCTATAGATGTTTTTCTATTTAATTCAACATGTTTAAGCTCTACTACTAGGCTTGAAAGTGGCTCCACAAACCAATTCTTCCAAACAGAACTGTTTATGAAAAAGAAGGAAATGGAATAATGCAAATTGGAAGAAGCAAAATTAACTTAGGAATGTTGTTGCTTTGTTGTTTTAAGACAGGAAATGTGTGTATGTTGAAGACAGAGGGAACTGACAATGCATGTTAAAGCAAGACGCTGAAAAAAATAAAAGTGGTCATTAATGAAGATTTCTCTAAAACAATGTAGGAGGAAAGGAGGGAGTTTAGTTTTGAAATTTCAGTGTTCCCAGTAAAGCAGTAAGCAAGGCCATCTGCCAATAATGAGCTAAGAAGAGATGAGGACTTTAGAAGGGCTGAGGGAGTTGGAATATTTGCTCATTCACTCACTCATTCATTCCACAGACGTACTGGCCACCTACTGTTACATGTGAAGGAACACTCCTAGGTATTTCCCCACTTTTCTCCCATGGCTTCAGCATCTGGCCCAACCACAGAAACACAGACATATCCCCACTCAGTTCTGATCTTGTTTGGCTCATTGTTCTAGTCTGCTGGGATCTTCTTGAATCCCAACTCTGTCATCTGATGGTATCTCTTCCAACTTCATGTCATCCTCTGGGAATCTGATAAGTACAAGTTCTATATTATTACAAACATTGATAAAAATGTGGAGTGGGGTAGTGCTAAGACACACAGAATACCATGTGAAATCTCCCTCCCTATTTACATGGACTCTTTAACAAGCCCCATTTTGGTGACATTCTGTTGCCTAGGCTGTATCTTTCCACCTCTTCCAATAGGGGAACATAAAACGATCTTGTCAAATGCTTTGCAAAAGTCCAAATGCACCATGCCCACTGCATTTCCCTCATCAAGCTGGCAAATAAATGAATAATGCTGGCAAATGGAAGAATATAATTAGATTGGCAAGACTTGTTTTTAGCACACTGATGCCAAATGGTCATGATTTATCTTTCCAAGTGCTTATAAACAACTCCCTTAACTGACAGCTATATGCACTTACCTAGGACTGACAGCAATCTCACTGCTACACATCACGGAATATTTTTTCTCTTTCTATAAAGCAGAATTATATATATCTGTTTCTAAGCTCTGGCATCTTTATTCCCTTGATTCTGCAGAGATCATCTCCCTTAGTTTAGAGATCACATTTGCAAATTTTCTGTGTCAATTAAAAAAAATCATATCCTTTGATAAAACCCTATAGAGATGCATGAAACACTGGTGAAATTTAGGATGTGTATGACACAGGCTGTGAAGCAGACCAGAGTAGAAGACTCTGGAGACTATGGTCAATGTTAGGTTGCTGTCTCTTTAGTTGGATTTGGTATAGTGCTGCCTGGACACATAAGTGTGGTTTTGAGTAGTCATGACTTGAAGCTCTGTCAACCAGAGATTTCTGAAAAATTAGCTTCTAAATAATTTTTCTTCTCTCCTTCTGCCCATATTGCTCATCCCTGCCATCAGCACCTTCAGAGTACCAAAGTGCAAAATCTACTAACAATTGAGATAGGACTTACCCACTTGCCCAAGCCTGGATAGTCATGTTCCGGATCAAAGAGATGCTGGTGCAACTGGAACTCTCGACTGAACTCTGCAGTGTCAGGGGTGTTTTCTAGACATCCATCATCTGCTGCAAACAGCCAAAGGTTTTTGAGGAACGGCCAAGACATTCATCATTATTCTAAGAGTTAATTTATCAAAAACAACTAGGCAGCCAAAGGTCAGAATCTGTTCACATCAGTAGTAACTTAGAACACTAGCAGCCACCTTCCCTCTAGGATCCAGTTAGATAGGATTACTCATCTCAAACTCCCACTCCTGTGCAGAGACTCACTGGCTGTTCACCAAACCCACTTCCCTTTCCTCCTTAGCACCCAGCTAGACTAATTTCCCAGCCTTGCTTTGCAATCACGTGGAGTCATTTGCCTGAGTGGAGGCCAACAGAATGTGGGCACAAGTAATGTATTCCATTCCCAGGCCTGGAATTGAAATACATCACCTAAAAGCATAAAAACCTCTCATACCATGCTCCACTTCTCCTCATTCCCCACCCCCATCTCCTGGTCAGCTTGTTACATGTTGCCAGGGCAACTGTGGGGGTCAAGTGTAAAGATGGCAGTCTGGGGTGCCGAACCATCCACCGCACTACAGCCTCACGCGCCTCTGGCAGGACTTCACACGGGTGAAAAATAAACTTCTATTGCGTTGAGCCATACAATGTTTTTATTTGTTACAAGAGCAAGTGTTTCCTTAGGTAACATACTTCTGTTGCACATGACCCACTCTGTTTTCTCCTGAGCAAGCAGTTTAGAAACTACTTTGGCTTCTTGGAGAAAGTACATTACACAACAACAACAATCTCCACACAGCACTTGATGTTGTGTTTTATTGTGATAACAGCTTAAGCTTTGGAGTCAGACAAGAGCAGAGCTCAAGGATCAAATCCCAGCTCCTAAGATATAGATAGGCTTAGTTCCTTTGGAAAGTTAACTTGGTCTCTCCAAGTTTGTTCATGTATGTGTGAGATGCAAATAATCAAATACTTACCTACGGGATTGCTGTGAGGAATAGAGATGATTACATTTAGAACACCCGGCACATAATAGGTTTGCAATATGTTTTAGTTCCCTTCCCATTATCTCCCTTTGACTGACAGTTTATACTATGACTGCCCTTTGAAATCAAGCAAGTTTTCCATTGAAACCAAAGAAAGAAGGCTATCTCTCTCAGATGCTGCTTTTATGTAAATTCTATTATTACTAGGCATGATGCTCTAAAAATGAGTCATTTTTCCCATGTCTAATATATTTTAGACAACAGCAATAAAAAGGGGGACAGAGGAGGGATTGTGAATTTTGTGCAGGGTTAGGGGGAAGAAGGAGGGTCTCATTTGAAAGACATAATGAGACATCAAAGTCAATGCTGAAAGGGGGGCCATTTACAATTAGCCAGGTTGTCTAGTTCTTGACACTGCTCTTAAGCTTTCAGTACACAGTCTCTCAGCTCTTAGCAGTATACAGCTAGTGTGGAAGTCATCAGCATTCTGAACAAATCCCTAATGCGGCTCTCCACTTTTCAGTGAGCTATTTATCTAACTTACACAATATATAGCAATTAACATGTAGGAAAATATACCAATTCAAGAGAGTTCAGGCAATCTGCATATGGCACCTTTATAACCTTTCATAATTGTTTCTGGTGTACCTCTGAGTGGGCCCTGACTGAGATGCAGATAAAGCCTGCTCTGGGAACCGAAGGTGTCTCCGGGCTTAAAAATGTGCCCTAGAATTCACATCCTATCTCTGAGGCTGAGATGGACTCTTTGAGCTCTGCTGCTCTATCCAGGGTGAGTGGGCCATGATTCAGAGGACAGCATGGCATGAAAGGAGAAATCAAGGTTTTATTCTTGGATTGCTCAACTGTGCTGTGTTGTGTCATAATTCAAGCAATTCCTCACAAATAATGGCTAAATTTAGCAAGCGATTTCATTCTTGGAATGCAGATTGTGGCAGAACAAAGAATGAGGGAATATGTTAGTTTCATGGAAGAACAGCAAAGGAAATGGCAGACAACCTGTGACAAGAAAGTGTCTGGATTTGGGATTTTGTCCAATTCTACCAGGCCAGCTTGATTGCTGTCCTCTCAGAGCTCCTAAGTGCACAGACTAGAGCTTGATTCCACAGGTCTGTATGATTTTGTGTTTTTATTGTTTTTGTTTTCAGACAAGCTAGAACTACACTGTATGCTCTTTGGAGGCATTGCCTATGTCTTCCTTCCATAGGTGAAGACATTAAGGCTCAAGAAAGTGAAAGTGGCATACTACAGTCAACACTAGAGGTCAGATCTCTTGGCTCAAACTCTGGACCTCTTTCCATTCTCCTATAATATTCTCTAAGTTCAGTGTGCACTAGAACCATGAGGAGGACTGGTTGCAACAAATTCCTGGGTCCCACCCCCAGAATCTTCTGATTCAATAGGTTGAATCAGGGTAGGGACTGAGAAGTTGCATTTTTAGCAAGTTTTCAGGTGCTGCTGCTGCTGGTGGTCCTGGAATCACACTTTAAGAACCACTGCACTGTACCACATCCAATGGACTTAACAATGGAGACTGTCGCTCTCTAAACTCTGAACTAGTCTTTCTTCCTACCCATCCAAAACCCTACAAACAAGTAGAAGGTGGCTGAAATGATTAGAGCCAGGCAGGGATTCAGGTTTTCCTGCCTTCCTGGCCCAGCAGCCACACATTGGCTTGGTCACATCCAACTACTTTGGTTGTTCTGCCTCAAGATGGAAGCTTTGTGCCCCACGGAAAACAGAGGCCTCATCCTAAATGAAAGGAGGAGCATATTTTCTAAGACAGTCTCTTTCAGAGACAGCCTGCATTGTGTTTAAGAAAAGCTGATGTCAGACTAGTTATGGGTATCATAAGAAAAAAAAGTCTCGGTGTGGTAGCTCACACCCATAATCCCAGCACCTTGGAAGGCCAAGGTGGGAGGATCGTTTGAGCTCTGAAGTTTGAGTTTAGCCTGGGCAACATAATGAGACCCCACCTCTACAAAAAATTTAAAAATTAGCTGGGCATGGTGGCACACACCTGTTGTCCCAGCTACTTGGAAGGCTGAGGCACAGAATTACTATAATTGTGCCACTACACTCCCACCTGGGCAACAAAGTAAGACCCTATCTCAAAAAAAAAAAAAAGAAAAAGAAAAAGAAAAAAAGTTGAGTAGTCAATGTTATCACAATTTTCAGAGCAAGGCAGTATGTCCTGGTGGTTGAGTACACAGTCCTTAATCAGGTAGACTTGGGTTTGAGTCTTGGTTCAGCTACTTGTTACCTGGATAACCTTATGCAAGCTACTCTCTAAGCTTCTGTTTTCTTAATATAAAGTAGAAATAATATTAGATTGGTGCAAAAGTATTGCAGTTTTTCCTATTGAAAGCAATAGTAAAAAGTGCAATTACTTTTGCACCAACCTGATAAATACCAACTATTATTATTATTAGGCTTGCAGGAAAAGACTACTCTGGTGCTAGAAGCTAACACAAGCCCAAGGTAAGAGGTGCATTATTTACTAGGGGCAGCAAAGCTAATTATAATCAGGATGACATTTAAAGAGTCCTTACTCTGTGCTAGGTGCTGTGCTAAAATGCTTTACATGGATAATTTTATTTAATTCCCACAATGACCTCCATTTTGCAAATAAGGAAATTGAGGTACGAAGTGGTTAATTAACTTGTTTAAGGTCACACAGGTTGACCTGGAGTTTGAACTCAGGTAGTCAGAGTCTAGAGCCACTACTCTTAACCACCAAGGTCAGCTGCTCAAAGCCGGATGTAAGTGAAGCCCACTCACCATTCTCTATGGCATTAGTGGGTAGGAAAGTGGGTGGGATGCATGAACAACATGGAAAATTTCAACCTTCTTCCTTAACCAGCTTCTTCCTGAACCTCTTCTCTCCCATGCCACCTCCTGGCCCCCAAATAAACAGGATTTTAGGATAGATGCTAACTCGGTGTTGATGCATGACACTGTTAGAATGTTGACTGTCATGATCAACGAGGAGAACAAACAGGCATGGATAATCCACAAACTAACTAGTTCCAAAGACATTAAAACTCAGCAGAAGTTGTATCATGGAAAAGGAAAAAAAAGTGTTTCCCCTTTCATTAAAAGAGTAGCAAGTGCAGGCCGGGCGCAGTGGCTCACGACTGTAATCCCAGCACTTTGGGAGGCCGAGGAGGGTGGATCATGAGGTCAGGAGATTGAGACCATCCTGGCTAACACGCTGAATCCCCGTCTCTACTAAAAATACAAAAAAAAATTAGCCAGGAGTGGTGGCAGGCGCCTGTAGTCCCAGGTACTCGGGAGGCTGAGGCAGGAGAATGGCATGAACCTGGGAGGCGGAGCGTGCAGTGCACCAAGATCACACCACTGCACTCCAGCCTGGGTGACACAGCGAGACTTTGTCTCAAAAAAAAAAAAAAAAAAAGAGTAGCAAGTGCAGAAAAGTGCATCAATTCCCAAAGAAGGGGAGACACAGAAAGAAAGTAAAGCCTTGGCAAGGGAAAATCCTATGTGGGTGTGTCTGAACACAGAGCTCATATAAAAATTCTAGAATAAATTTCCCCTTCCCATCTACTTACAAATACACATGGGCTCATCAGAATGGAAATAACAATTTCTGGGAATATTTGTAGCTGATGTTAGAATTTCTGATTTCCTTCCAAAGCCCCAACTTTTCATGGGAACCCAAAGGCATATCTGTTACCTGTTTTTCCAACAGGACAGGGATTTGGAGGGTCTGGGTACCCCTGATCCTCACTAAAGTCCTTAGGAATGTTGTCTCCAGTCAACTCTGCCACGATGTTGGGGATGTTGCCAAAAGGACCCAAATGCTGAAGTCCTTCATGAGCTCCACCTGCGAGGGAATCAGAAGTAGTTCATTGCAGTGCAATTCAATTAATTTCAACCAATATTTATTCAGGCATATCACACAGGAAAAGCCCTGTGCCTTCTGCTGTGGGGAGAGAAAAATAAATGAAATGGTTCTTGCCCTCTAGGGGTTTAGAAATTTAGTTGCAGAAACAGACACATACTGTACACATATTATTTCCATACAAGGCAAACTGTATATTATCCTGTAAAAGAAATGTTAATACAGCATCACAAGAGCATGGGAAAGGGGCCAGGCCTGGTGGCTCATGCCTGTCATTGCAGCACTTTGCGAAGCCGAGGTAGGCGAATCACCTGAGGTCTAAGTGCAAGACCAGCCTGGCCAACATAATGAAACCCCGGCTCTACTAAAAAACAAAAATACAAAAACTAGCCAGGCATGGTGGCAGGTGCCTGTAATCCCAGCTACTCAAGAGGCTGAGGCAGGAGAATCACTTGAACCCGAGAAGTGGAGGTTGCAGTGAGCCAAGATCATGCCACTGCACTCCAGCCTGAGCGACAGAGCAAAACTCTGTCTCAAAAAAAGAAAAAAAAAAAGAGCATGGGAAAGGGAGAGTTCCATTTGGCTGATGGGATGGGAGGGCTTCTTGGAAAAGCTGGAAACTAAGTGGCATCAACACAGATGGGTAGGGCTCTGGAAGCTGGGCGTGGAGCTTGGGCAGGACTTGGGTCAAGAAAGGAAGGCAATTGCCATCCAGAAATACAGGCTGAAAGCACATTATGAAAAAAGATAAGGTCACTGTTATCCTGCTATTTTAGCTCAACCACTTAAAATTTGGTGTATTGACTCCAATTGTTGCTACGTATCTTTTTATACTAAGTATATATTCATTTCTATTTAATATTGAAGCACAAGCATCTTTCCATTTGGCTGCATGGTCTCTATTCCTGTAATTATAAATGGCTATGTAGTTTTTAGTCCAATGGCTGTACTACAACATATTAACCAATCCCCTATTGTGAGACATTTAGTGTTTCCCAATTCATTTTAGACATTTAATGTTTTCCATATTTTGGATTAATTTTCCTCAGGATAGATTCCCAGAAGTCAAATTACTAGGTCAAAGGCTATAAAACATTTTAATGACTCTTGATATTGTATTGCCAAACTGTTTTCCAAAAACGAGGTACCAATTTATAAGCCATCAGCAGCAAAATATGAAATACAACTTTTGCAACATTCTCACAAGCATTGGGTTTTATGAAAATCAATTTTTAGATTTTCTTTGCTAATTCAAATTTTTTAAAATTACTGTTTTATTTTGAATGTCTTTGATTACCAGCTGGGTCAAATATCTTCCCATATATTTACTAATTTTAATTTCTTTTATGTGAGCTGTTTGTTTATGCTCTTGGAATTTCAGTGTTTTTCTTATCAATTTGTATGAACATTTTACATAATAAAGATGCAAGGCCTTTGGCTGTCGCATTTTCTGAAAATATTTTCCCATGTTGTCTGAGTTTGAATTCTGGTTACTATTATAGTATTTTGCTAACATACGTTTTTAATATTTATGTAGTCAGATTTGTCATTTTTATTCCCCTTGTGATTTCTTCTTATCCTTCTAAATGCACAAAATCGTTGCCCCTTCAGAAGTACTACTGACATTTGGATCATTCTTTTAATTTTCTATTTGTAAGTTAACTCTTTAATCCATGTTATTTATTTCAGTGTATGTCAAACAGTTAATCAATTATCCCACCAGCATTTGCTAAATAATTCTGTCCTTTCCTACTTGTTTCATGTCTCTACCAAATACTTAAGTGTCTCATACATACGAAAACCTATTCTGAGCACCAAAACACAGCAGTGAATAAGAACAACTTCTACTCCATAACTTGTTTTACTAAGTTACCAAGTTAACATACCAATGTATGTTAATTTCTGGACTTTCTTTCCTTGTAGCCTTAACATTCTATAAGGCTCATGAAGCTTCCTTTTCCAGGACCACAGCAGATCATTTCTTAGAAGGATTTCATACTTACCAACTCCATGAGGACAGAGGAGCCCCACACTCACAGTTCCCCTAAGGGACAATCATGGTGTACGCAGACCAATACAGGAAAGGCTGGTTTACAATCAAAAGGTGCCTGGTGTGCATGACATTTGAGCAAAACCAGGCAAAAACAACACCATGCTTCCATCTTCTCATGAAGGAGGATCCTGCCACAGGCTGGATTAGTTAAGTCTAGTTGAATGAGGCTCCCTTGTCCCTGGATGAACACTAGCACTTGCCTTTGTTTGTTTTGGCTGAGCCAGCTCTTCGTTGGATTCACACTTTTTTCCCCCATTGGAAATGTTAATATATTCAGTAGAATCATGACTAGATCTCAGTGTCCTGGGGATCATATTTTCTCTCTGAAGTGACATTGCATCACTCTGGCTTTGTGTGCTGTGTTGATTAAAGTTTAACCTTAAAAGGACAATCTTACCTCTGCTGATTCCTCTAGCCCCCGCATTCAGGCAACATCGAGTGGTTGTTCGCTTGTTTTGTTTACATTTATATTATATTTCATTGCTTTGTAATGAGAATGATGAGAAGTATCTAGCCCAGATCTAGGTCACTGCTTTGTAATGAGAGAAACTGTAAAATATCTGCATTTAAAAAAAATGCTATTTCTTTTGTAAACTACCATATTATTTTTGTAAAATTTCCATGTGAATATGTAATATAAGGTATTTTATATAACCCATAAACATCTAAATATAGCCAATTTATCAACATTTATAATTATATTCTTTTTATATCCATATTCATATTTTATCTCTAGTCTATCATAATCTGATGGCTATATGTTAAAATCTACTACTAACAATAAGTGACTGTCATTCTCTTATTTCTTACTGTTTTTATCATTTTGATGCTGTACTAGTTAGCATATCCAAGGGTATAAATGTTTCATTTTAATTGTGTTGGCAATTGGCTGCTAAATATAAATTGATAAATCAGATGTTGATTTATAGTTCTATTAGCTTGCCACTCTCACTCTGTTGATTTGTGTTTAATTGGTAAATCTTTGATTATCCTTTTATTTTTAACCTTTCTGTATCTTTCTGATGATTCATCCAGCTCATTTGTGATAGCTACCTTCAGAGCTAGTGTAGGGATACCTATGATTCCACATTAACCCAATAGATGCAAAGGTTAGACATATCAGTACACTTGGTATTGATATATTTGAAGCTTTATATAATGTTGGCACTATAGACACCACTGTGCTTGCTATAGGGCAGGCTCTCTGGTGTGTCAGTACATGTCTCAACTTTTGAAAGCACCCTAGCATTAAGTGCCAGGAATTATCCAACTTGGCTCAAGGCAGAATGCGTGTCTTAATGCTCCATTAGTAATTAATGAAGGAAGCAAACAGTTTCTCTTATGGAAGGCCTGCCAAAGCTCCGTTTACCTCTGTGCACCAGTGCCATTAAAATGAATGCAGCACTTGTTAGGAAGCAACAGATGTTTAGCACTAAGCAGACAGATTAGAACACAGACTCTTTTTAAACTGCATTTAATGATGTCAGATCAAGAAACACTCACTGAGGTAGGAACTGAGGGAGATATGCAGAAGTAAAAAATGCTGTCCTTTGCACTCCAGGAGCTAGAATTTTATAGACAATTAAACAGGTATAGAAAATATAATAATTTTAATATTATACAGTTGCAAAGGGCCAAATGCAGTTATCTGGTTCATTATAATATTTAGGTTATATTGATCTATTGTACCTGAAGCCAAGTCAAACAAAATAATATGATGCTATGGATGCCATTTGGTCTATTCATCCCAGCCTCCTTAACTATCTTACTGCACTAACCAACAACAAATAATCTAAAAATATGCATTGAGCACATAATATATAATCAAAACCTGGGCTAGGTACTAGAGGGTCAGTGATGAACCAGATAAATGTAGGCTCTGCTCTCATAGTTCATAGAGAAACAAAAAGAAACAAACGTAATACAGCCAGTTGTAATGCACTGATAATGTAACCAGGATACGGCAGTGTGTCACAGTTGTGTAGAGGAGAAGTATCTAGCCCAGATCTAGGCCACGGAAGACTCCCTGTAGCAACATACTGTGTAGCAATAATTACGTTAGGTGCTATAGACGACATAAATGTGAAAGACATAGTTCCTGTTCTCTAGTTCGTTCTTCATTCTAGTTGGTTACCCATGACTAACACAATAAGCCAGTAGTACATAATAAGATATATTCCCAACATAATGTATTGTAGTATAGACAATAGATGGTGGTATAGAGAACAGACCATTGTACAAAGCTAGGTTGGAGAGAAATTAAGAAGTTCTTCTCTAAGAGTGTTGCTGAAACTCAGGAGTGAAGTGACAAGGATTGGAATTAGGGTGGCTGCAACATGAGTTAAATAAGATTTCTAGCAGTGCACAGGAGAGAGATGAGTCAAAAGCTTGTGAGGTTTCAAAATCTGATTTGAGAAAAGAATACCATTAATAAAGATAGGATCTTTCACTTACAGCTTTGAAATTATTTCAGGCAATTAATTAATCCTGTCCTGTGATGATGCTTTATTTATGTTTCCACCACAGCCATGGCACTCTAAAAATGTCTCTAGAATAAATGGAAAATATTTAATTCTTGCCAAATGAGTTTTAAGCCCAGTTGCGTTTATATAAACTTTGCTTTATATAATAAAATTGGTACCATGCAGCTGTTTATTTCTAAGCTCTAGATATCAAATCATTGGTAGACTTTCTTTGTATTGCCATGGCAATAAAGTTGCACTCAGATGTAATTGTCAAGGGAATGAGAAAGAAGGACAGTTGGTCTTATTTGAGTCAGAACCCTTAAATCTCTTTCTTGGCCTGTGCTGGAACCCTCCATAAAAATCTGCCAATCTTTTGACCGCATCCTGCTCTTCTCTGCATTCTCACCCTCTGCTATGTGCCTCCAATTCTCCCTTCTGTACGTATCCCTTTGAGGTTGGCAATTCAGCTGGGAAGTTGACCTGGTTGGTTTGAGTCTCTCCCTGGCCTTGGAGACCTGATCAACCTCAGCTCCAAGTTTTGCCACTCATGGTCTTGTTCGGTGTTAACAAAGCCCCCAACAGCACTCCCAAGGACAACCTCTAACAACTCCAATGATCGCTTGTCCAGAAGAGGGCACTAACTTTTCTGGTTACTTAAAAACTCCCTTGGGTTTCAAATCCATTTTCCTGTCTCTATGATTTTGAAGATCAGTTGTTAGTACCTAGTAAACAGAAATATGAAAATTAAATACCTTCTGACCCCCAAAGTTTTACTTGGCTCTGAACAGCCATGGCCTTTTTGTTGCACTGGTAGGGTTTTTTTCATTGTTTAATTTTAGAGTAAATCTCTGTTATCATATTTTATCTTGATATAATTTGACTCTCTAAAATGTGCATAAAAAACAAAATCCGAATTAACAGAGGTTTCCGATTATAGTACCATCTCACTTATCTCTTTAGAGAGAACGTGCTGTTTCATGTAGTATTCAGATCACTGAAGCATCGGTTTAAGATCAAGATTTATTTAACCATTTTAAAGGAGAATTTTCCACTATGAACATTAGGTAAATACTTTAAACAGCAGGAGAATATGACTTTGCCTGTTCTTGATAATTTGGGACTATTACTGGGAATATCAATGACTATACAGTGTTGTAACAGTGTATTCTCAGAGTATTAAAGGGCATTCGGATATAAAACTATATTAAATGGGCCGGGTGCGGTGGCTCACACCTATAATGCCAGCACTTTGGGAGGCAGAGGCGGGTGGATCACAAGGTTAGGAGTTCAAGACCAGCCTGGCCAAGATGGTGAAACCCCATTTCTACTAAAAATACAATTACAGGCAGGCGCCTGTAATCCCAACTACTCAGGAGGCTGAGGCAGGAGAATCACTTGAACTTGGGGAGTAGAGGTTGCAGTGAACCGAGATCATGCCACTGCACTCCAGCCTGGGCGGCAAAGTGAGACTCCGTCTCAAAACAAACAAACAAACAAACCTATATTAAATGGTCCCAGATGCAATAGTTTTTAATGTTCTTTGTCACCTCACTCCTTCTAAGTTATTAATTCTAGTCATCCCAAATCCTTTCCATAATGAAATACAATAAATTGAGAGTGCGCCTAGGCCCTGCAAGTCTCTTCTAATTTTACCCTCCCCCGCACAACACACACACACACACACACACACACACACACACACGGGGATCTTATCCAAATGTGGATTCTGATTCAAGGTGAAGGGTGGGGCCTGAGATTCTGCATTCCTCACAAGCTCCCAGATAGTGCAGATGCTGCTGGTCCATGAGCCACATTTTCAGTAATAAGGGGCTAGAAAATGAGAGAGCCAGGCTTATTAAAATTATATATAAAATGAGATAAAATTAGCTCCGAGAGAGTGCCTAGGTGATCTTGCTTTATGGAATTTGTGACATCGGTGTG
This sequence comes from Homo sapiens, assembly GCF_000001405.40. NCBI lineage: Eukaryota > Metazoa > Chordata > Mammalia > Primates > Hominidae > Homo > Homo sapiens. Next base: position 32,673,288 of record NC_000015.10, on the reverse strand, counting down.
GCTGCTAAGAACCTTCTTAAAAGTCTGCAGTTTCAGATAAAGGAGCTGTCACTGCCGTTGTAGTCCTTTTACTTAAAGTTTTACTCTACAGAGGCACTTGCTCACACTTTGCAAGGAAAGGATCCTGCTGCCCCATTTTTTACTTACGCTAGTTCTGTGGGAATTAGAGGTAAACACCTCCCTTGAACGTGAGTTCTCATAGTATAAGCGATGTCCGTTGGAGAGCCTGATGATGTCCCACCACGATGCAACGGCTCTCCTGGCTGGGGCTAGTGGAAGCAGTTTTGATGGAAGTTAAGGTTGGTCAGAAATTAAGAACATAAATGGGACCTGCGTTACTTCGTCACTCTGTCTCTTTTTTTTTTTTTTTTTTTTGTGATGTTATGGTTTCAACAGTTTCAAAGTGCTTTCATCCTTATTAAAAACGTCCTAGTGAGGTCAGTAGGACAAGAATCACTATTCATCATTCTAAGTGAGAAAGTGAGACCTGGGGAAAGGTTTCTTGCCTAAAGCCACTCAGCAAGTTGGTGCTATTTTGGATTCCAGCCCTGTGTTCACTCTACAGTGGCACTGAGAGAGCCCCCACGAGGCCTTCTGCGTCCATTCATACCCTTTCCAGTGCGTTTCCGTCTTCCAAAGATGAGCTGGAGCTCCACAGCCACAGTTAGTAGAATGACCTGTCGGGGTACCTGGGGTCTCTCATAGTTTCCAGGTCACTCAGGGGATCTCCGGTGTCAGTGACTACTGCAGAGCCAGGCCCCGGCAAAATGGCTCTGGGATGGGACGCCACCTGTGGGCCTCGCCACCATGGTTCCTTCGCACCTGAGTGCCCACCTCACGCTGGAGGTTTGGAACATCCGGACAACCCCTGCCCTCCAGACTCTGCCACACAACTTGGGAACACCCTGACAAGCCCGCAGCCAGCATCGTCCCATTCGCACCCCTCACGCTGCCTGCAGCCCTGGGGATTCATGCAATTGGGCACTGGCGCTGGGCAATAAAGAATTGTGGTGGGGCAGCCTGGTGCCAGGGAGCCAGTCGCCCACCTCGTAAAAAGGGAGTTCTGTGAGGAGCGTCTGGCAGGGAGCGGGCACAGGCCCCTGAATACCAGCCATTCAGCTGAAGGGAACGGGTCCAGCAGTTTTCACTTATGTTACCACAAACAGCAGATGCTAAAAATACACTGCGGTCTCGATACATCATTCAGAAAGCGACGGACCAGTTTTCCTTTTGTCAGCGGTCTGGGAGCCTGAAGCAGTCGGATGGGGCATTCCAGACACCGCCTGGCCTCCTTTGGTTTCCCCTCAGACTCTGACAGAGCTGAAGGTGCCAGCGCGAGAGCGCCCGAGGAGACCAGGAGAGAAGGTGGAGAGGCGGCAAGGCTCCCCAGGCTAAGGGAAGGCAAAGCGGAGTGGGGCGAGGAAGGGGCGGGGTGGCTCCTTCTGGAGGCCACAGAACAGCCTGGGACTCCCTGAGGCGACACCGGCCGCAGGCACCAGGCACTGGGGGCTAAGAGAAACCCCGAGACCCAGAAATCTCCTTCCTAAGGTCCAACTTGCCCCAAAAGTTGTTTTTTCTTTTTTTTTTTTCACTACTTGAGGTAAACACATACACAATTTTACAAAAAGCGCCATCACTTGTCCACAATCAGAGGACTCATTCGTCAGCTTCTATACAATCTGCGCTTGGTTTCTCCTTCTCAGTAAGCACTCAGGCAGTTCCACCACACGCTATTGTCTCCACAGGAAAGAAGAAGACAGAGGCAAAGAGAAAGAGCAGGAGAGGGAGAAACAGATTGGCCCCTAGGAATGGGGAAAGGAGGCTGAAAGAAATGGCCAACATGAGGGTGGAACTTCATATTTTAGATGTCTGACTCCCAGTTTCTGCTTCCTCCATCCCAAGTAACTGAAGTGAGATAAAAGAAAAGAACAGAGTCATTTTCACACATCCTTTCTCAAAATTCACTCTTATTTATAAGACCTTTTGGCCTTGACTCCTGGTGAGAAATGAGGGTCCCAACATTCAAACCTATTTATGAAAAGCAAATATTTTCATTTACTGAGGACCCACAGAAAGAGAGCACTTTTTATACAAAGAGGCTTTTATAGCTTCCTGTTGTTAGGGCCCTGAGTTCAAGTCCACATTCTGCCACACACTGTGGGATTCTCATAACCTCCCAATCTCACTGGACCCCAATTCCTCCCCTTTTAACCCGGGGATAACATGCTTGTGGGAGGATACAAATCGGATACTGTATGTAAAATGCTTACCTCAGTACCTGGTATGTAATAAGCACTCCATGAACGTTAGCTGCTTTTCCTATCTAGTCAACATTTCCTAACAGCACAATTAACAGAGCCGAAATTAATGATCCTGCATATTTTTCATTGTGGTGATCATGGTCCTGTGTTTGAGGTATTGAGCAACAGGGCTCAGGACATTTGAGCTTTTTACTAACATCAGTGCCTCCTCATC